>NC_000011.10:116566364-116869394 GCF_000001405.40 Homo sapiens | reverse complement strand
TAAGAATGAAATGAGACCATTTTTTAAGAACCTGCCAGTTGCTGGCTAGGACTCTCATCCTATCCCCAGTAGCTCTGTGTGAGAGCTGCTATTCAGAAAGCAGCTGGTCCTATGTGGAAAGAAAACCATGGCAAACAGGGGTGTTGGCAGGTGGGCCAGCTCCTTCTACAGCTTGGCCAATAGAAGGAAAATTCTGGTAACTTTTTTTTTTCCTTGATGCTGTTGTTTCTATAGTTTGCTGATAAGAGGGTATATAAGGTTACAAATGGGCCCTACTGGGTCATGAAGAAATGAGAAATCAGGAAATTTACTGCCTTTCTACCTTAAAAGAGACAGCAATATTTTATCTTCTTTGTCTTAGACTTTCCTTCCTCCAGGTCTACCTTCTTTCTTCTTTAGACCAACATTTCAAGGGTATAATGCCCATCAGTTTTGATGTAATAAAAAAGGTGTAGTGCCTCTTTTATTCATGCCTCCAGAAGAGCAGCAGCGGTGGAGGAAGTCATCCACCAGACAAAGAGGGACAATATCTTATTGATGGTATTAACTAAGTGCTGGGTCTGAAAGATCTTCCGAATAAAAGCCATCAGTTTGGGAACTCTTCGTCTTGTGAGACTCTTCTGTTTTTATTTTTTGCCTTGCTTTTTCCCTCCCTAACTAAACATTTCATGTGGTTTTATTTCTTCATCCTCCACAGAATGTTGGTTCCCCAAGGACAACATCAGTTTTTCTTCTCTGATGATTGAGTTATAGTCACCAAGCGAGAGGGAAAGGGTGGTTTTGGAATTCATTTATCCTCAAATGGAAGGATCAGTTTTCTGTGACCTGTAGTGAAGAAAGTCTCAAACCTGGGGCCTGTGAGATCGAGAGACATGCACAGAGTCCTTCTGAATATCTCCCCAGGTTCATCTCTAGGAATAGTCCTTAGGGCTCATTTCCTCTGACTTGTATTTTGGAAATTTGGAGGGAAAAGATGAATAAATTAACATGGAGAAAATAAATTCTTCTACCGAGTAGAATGAAGCAAGGAAAAGTGATCTCATCTTTGTGAGCTAGATCTACTTTCTCTCTTCTCTTCAATGGCTATTCTTAGGTTCAAAATTCAGCCACTTCATTGTCAAGCCAACTTCTGTTGGCCAGTTAGACGTGTCTCACTTCCATCCAGGCAGGGATCTGTTTGCCATCAAGCCTTCGTGAGCTCTGGCACTATTTCATTGAGTGCTTTGGATTAACTTCTAATGCTTCTTGTGGAGGAATATTCCTGTCTGTCTTTTTTACTATGAAATGTGCTCCTGCTTGTTGCAGGTACTTGGCAAATAGGTCCAAAAGACATACACTGGCCATGACCAACCCTACAGCTGAGATCCCACCGGACCTACAACGGCAGCTAGGACAGCAGCCTTTCCGTTCCCGGGTCTGGCCTCCTCACCTGGTACCTGATCAGCATCGGTGAGTAGCCACATGAGCTGTGCGAGCTCCTTGAGGCTCATCGGACAGGCACCCTTCTGATTAGTCTCACAGCGACGGTGACTAGCATCGTGGCTTTAAATAGAAGCCAGCTGTCATCCTGAACTCACATCTTCTCAGCTCCTTGCAGTAAGCAATGCACAGGGCAAAGGTTTTTTACTGCGCCCTGGAGCAATGCGAGATTCCTCTCTCCCATTACCTTGCAGACCTGTTTATTGTCTGCATTTGATTCCCATGATTCTAGATGTTGATTCATAGATAAAATTGAACTTGAGACCTGCAAGAAAGTGAAACTCTCAGAAGGCCACCTGGAAACAGGAAGATTTTTAGCCATATCGATAGACTTGACCTTTAATAATCCATCACCTTCAAAAGAATGAGCATTTCATATCGTGTTACCATTGAACCGCCAGCCTGGAAATGAAGACAAAGCCCCTTCTGAATAGTAGAGCAGAGATCCTCTTGAGCGATGTATTTAAGAGGTCATTCTTTCAATATTCTGATGGCAAAAATCTTTTGCTAGGTTCGGTTATGGTTATAATCCATTCTCTTGAAGAAATAAAAGCAAGTTTAACCTTCCTGACCAAGAAAACTTCATTGACTCCAAGTAAGCCTGGAAGCAGCTGCGGAATGACACTTTGCTAGTTGAAGAAGATGATTATCTTCTGTGACTATCTTGATGACTAAAAATCTCAGTCTTGGCCACTCCGAAGCTATCCCCAAGCTCATGGCCCACACGTTCAAAGCCACCACCAGTTACTAGAGCGTATTTTATTTCTGTCTTTTGGGGAGGACACTGAAAAGCAGCCTTGGGAAGGTTGAAAAGCAATCAGATTCCAAGGAAACTAGGTTTATATATGTGGTGTTATGAAATCTTGCAGCCAGCTTGCACTGGCAAGCTTGACACATTTTTTTTACTGAGGCTGGTTACCCATTTGGCATCAACATAATCAGCAGAGGCAAGTGAACTCTGAGCAGAGTGGGACATAATTAGTGCCACGTTGGAACCCTAAAAGAAGGAAGATAAGCTTTCATAAATGACTATGAGTAACTTGGTAAAAATGGTCTGTCAGGAGTAGCAAGAATGACAATTCTCAAATAAAACTCTGATGGCACAGAAAGACAGGCTTTTTCTAATGAAAGTCTCTCAGGACTTACAGTGTTCGTACACACTAAAGAGCACTTTGAGGCCAGGCACGGTGGTTCACGCCTGCAATCCCAGCACTTTGGGAGGCCGAGGCGGGTGGATCACAAGGTCAGGAGTTCGAGACCAGCCTGGCCAATATGGTGAAACCCCATCTCTACTAAAAATACAAAAATTAGCCGGGTGTGGCGGTGGGCGTCTGTAGTCCCAGCTACTCGGGAAGCTAAGGCAGGAGAATTGCTTGAACCCGGGAGGCAGACGTTGCAGTGAGCCGAGATCATGCCACTGCACTCCAGCCTGGGCAACAGAGTGAGACTCCGTCTCAATAAATAAATAAATAAAGAGCACTTTGAGTGATTACTGGAGACCTGCCTTCTCCTCCCCTATACGTTTCCTGTGATTTCTCATAACTTCAAGCTCTACACTGGTATCTAATACACCCTTTATTCCTTCTTTTCTCCTTGTCTCCTTCTTCCCTTCCTCCACAGCCTGACACTTAATGTTTCAGCCCTTGTCTGAGTCTGTTGTTTAGCTGAAGTCCTTTAGGTATCCTTGTTGAATGCTAGGTGTTCCTCAGGAGGTCTTCTTATGAGGGGAACATGAAGATCGTCACATTTCCAGAGTCAGGCTTTATCACAGACCCTATATTCTGTTGACATTTGTTACTCAAGGAGGTCCACACTGGACCACAGCTCTGTCTGTGTGATATCCACCCTGCCTAGAGTCATTGTCAAGGCCTTGCCTGCTGGAAATCTATCTGCTGTCTGTTTTCATGTGAACCTTTTTGGTGTTTTGAGGGTTGCCTGTGGCCAAGCCTATTTGAATTGGAAGAAAATGATGTTTTATGAGTGGCAAATTGCATAAGATGGGGCATTTGTGCAAACCCAGCATGTCTTGATGGGATCACTATACAAATATGCAGCAAAAGAGATTAAAGCCAGTCTTCAGGGGAAATGAGAAACTTTCCAAGGCTATAAAACATGGAATACGGGTGGCCTGCATGGGTTCTTGAATTCCTTTCATTTTCTGGAGGAAATGATTAAAGAACAGTATATATAGCTATCCTTCTGGGGTAGAAGAGATGAAGTTCAACATGGAAACAGAAGAGTGGTCTAATCAACCTTTTCATTTCTGGAAATGTGTAATTTAAGGTTAAAAATGTTTTAAAAAGTGTAACTAAAAAATTTTTTTAAACTAACACAAGATAGATTTTATCCAGGTGGGAAACCAAGTCCCTCCTTGAAGAGTATAGTGTGGGAGTATCAGCCTAATGCGAGGCCATCCTGAATTTGAGTGTGATTGCAAATAAAAATAAAATCAAGCACAATTGATACTTATCAGTGCTTCTCAAATGAGCAACTGCATCAGAACCGTTCCTCTGAGGTTACTGTGCTGGACTGACCTGGGTATCAGTCTCTTCACAACCTGAGCTTCTGAAAAAGTCATGAAATACCTGGACCTGGGATTTTCTGTGATGGGAGAGAATTATTTTTGTGCAGAAAGACTGTATTGCTACTTGAAGAACATGGCTTTCTGAGGGGATCAGAAACATGTCCATTTCAGAAAACATTGAAAGCATAGGAATCAAATTTTAGGAGAAAATAGTACTTACTTGCTTCTACTTCAACCTGAAGTAGAAACAGAAATGACAAGTTATAAGGAAATGCTTCTCAACACAGCCTTCATGATCCCTGTTCCTGGATTGTGGCCCGCCAAATTCATTTGTTTTTTGTGTTGCTGAACCAAATACATGTTCGTGCTCATTTCATTAGCTCACTGCTGGGTCAAGCCTCAGGTAGAGTCTGAAACAAAAGCCATCATTAGCAAAGACAGGGTAAAAGGCTTTCACCTGCTGCCAGAACTCTCTGGATACCTCTGCACGGTCATTAGATTCCTCCTGGTCCCGCGCTGTCTGCATTGTATTTGAACTCGCTTGTTAACCTGCTTCCTGAGCTGTGGTTCTGCTTCAGTCCCAAATGAATCACTGGCAAGGTAGCACATCATTTCATCCAAAGTTCAGTGTAATGGCATCTCTGCCCTGGACATGAAACCCTGATCCTTTCCATCTGCTACTGGAATGCTGCTGCCTTGGCAGTCTTTTATCTGCTTACCTCAGCCCATAAACATCTCTTTCTGATCATCAGGTCACAAGAGTAGGTGTTAGCTTCTAACCCCGATGCTGTCTTAGGCATTCCTTATCAATAGCTTGTTCTTTCTTTCTGTAAGATTCTGGCTGTGTTCCAGTTGAGCAGTGGGGTCTTTGAAGGTAATCCATATGATTCCTCTTTCATTAGGAGGTTGGGTGAGTGCTGCTGCTCTGAGAAGTTGATTTTCACAGTAGGTGACCTTATTTGTTGACCAGGTACGTGCAGGATCTCAAGGCCCACATTCCTTAAGAATTTGTTGTCTCCATCCCAGGATCAGAAGTCTTCATTTTCCCCCACCCCAATCGCCACCTTCTATTTTCTGTCACAGAACCTATGAGTTCTAGGCCAGACCTTTGACCACAAAACTGACTGTTGTTTCCCTCTGGCCATACGGAGATCATTGCTCAGGGAAAACTTTGGCTCAAATGGTGAATTTAAGGTTTCTAAAGGCACTAGATAGACATATGATTATAAAAGCAAGAGCTTCTGTACAGTCTGGCCTGGAGGATATTGAGAAGCTTTTCTCTCTGGCCTAGTGTATTTATAAGAACTGGATGTACTTGATCTCGGGACCTCACCAGGCTTGGAAAGTAAGCCAACCGAAGGTAAGTAGAAATGGAAGATGTACACCTGGAGCCCTCTAAAGGGAAGCAGGCTAGGGAAACGACTGATGTCTGGAAATGGCATGAAAGTGGCATAATATGCAGGGCTACCTGGGCAGCCAGCCGTCTTTATGTTCATCTGGAACAGCAGTCCCTGTGTGATTTGGTCAAAGCCCCTGAGTCCTAGCCTCTAACCTTCTCTTCCCATATATTCAGCTCTACCTACAAGGACTCCAACACTCTGCACCTCCCTACGGAGCGTTTCTCCCCTGTGCGCCGGTTCTCAGATGGGGCTGCGAGCATCCAGGCCTTCAAAGCTCACCTGGAAAAAATGGGCAACAACAGCAGCATCAAACAGCTGCAGCAGGTAATGGAAGAGGTGGCAGGCATCCCTGGAGGAGCATGGGTGACAGAGGCCAGGATTGCAGGAGGACTGGGGTGGTAAACGTACCCCTTTTATGTCAGCAACATTGCAGTTTTATAGGTTAAAAAAGTATAGCTTTCTGGGCCGGGCGCAGTGGATCCCGCCTATAATCCCAGCACTTTGGGAGGCCAACGTGGGAGGATTGCTTGAGCCCTGAAGTTCTAGACCAGCCTAGGCAACGTGGCAAACCCTTTCTCCCCCAAAAGATTAAAAATTAGCATAGTCCCAGCTACTCCTGAGGCTGAGATGGGAGGATCACTTGAACCTGGGAGGTAGAGGTTGTAGTAAGCTAAGATCACACCCCTGCACTCCATCCTGGCAACAGAACGAGACTCTGTCTTAAAAGAAAAAGAAAGTATAGCTTTCTAATGCACTTTCTTTACTTTGTGTTATGTACAGCCCTCCCCAGGATCAAACTTCCTTCCCCTGTGAAGGGACTAAATTTTTCTCCTGTCTCTAGTTCATTGGAAAGGAATTTCTGGGCTTGGGTTTCTGTGGGAACCACCAGAGAAGGTGCTACTTTTTTTTTTTTTTTTTGAGACCAAGTCTTGCTCTGTCACCCAGGCTGGAGTGCAGTGGCACAATCTCAGCTCACTGCATCGTCCGCCTCCTGGGTTCTAGAGATTCTCCTGCCTCAGCATCCTGGGTAGCTGGGACTACAGGCGTGCACCACCATGCCAGCTAATTTTTGTATTTTTAGTAGAGACAGGGTTTCACCATGTTGACCAGGCTATGTCTCGAACTTCTGACCTCAGGTGATCCGCCCGTCTCGGCCTCCCAAAGTGCTAGGATTACAGGCGTGAGCCACCTTGCGCGCCTGGCACTCTGCGCATGATTTAGGATGCTGGGTCTTGATTAAACCTGCTGTACATTGTTACCACCTGGCATTCTCTCCAGGTGGTATGGAACGGCACTCTCAGAGGAAGGAAATGTACCTCTATATGTTTCTGTACTATAAAGATTCTATAAAGAGCCAATTTCCTTTCTGCCTTCCTGATGACCAAGCTTCCAATGGCGTGTGCTTTGTACACAGATTTCACATTGGACACTTGTACTCATACAAAGGCCATCCTTGATGTTTTCCATTCATTCATACAGAACAGGATGTGAATCTATTTAGTGCACCAGATACTTAGGTAAATGAGTTAATTGCTCATCAAGGACACTGTTCTCTTGCGGCTCTTTCTGCCCATGAGAGCTTGGAGGCAGATCTGCATCTGCTGAAATCACTGCATGAGGCGGGTCTGGCTGCATCCCATCTGTATTAACTACTTTCCCTTCAGGAGTGTGAGCAGCTGCAGAAGATGTACGGGGGGCAGATTGATGAAAGAACCCTGGAGAAGACCCAGCAGCAGCATATGTTATACCAGCAGGAGCAGCACCATCAAATTCTCCAGCAACAAATTCAAGTAGGCCCTCACTCTTTGCTTTCTCCAACTTGTTTGGAGTTTGCTTTCAGGCTGATTTGCCTGTGCATTTTGGAGGAGACCACTCAGTGCAAAGTGGATTTGAGGTCTGTTTATGGTTGACATGTTTGAGTAAAGGTAATCAGACCTTCTGGTGAACAACAAAAGCATAAATCTGAGACACAGATAGTTCTTTCTGTTTCTTCCCTTCCTGAGAATAGCTCTGAGTAATCTTCAAGCTCACAATAATTTTTTTCCTTTCCCCATATATGTTTTAGGACTCTATCTGTCCTCCTCAGCCATCTCCACCTCTTCAGGCTGCATGTGAAAATCAGCCAGCCCTCCTTACCCATCAGCTCCAGAGGTATGAGTCATTTTGTGTTGTGCCTAAGCCATTGTCTCGATAGCCTGGTACCCTTGGCTTGACTCACTGGGAGATATGGACTGACTTGAGCATTCATCTTGCAAGAATCTATTTGAAAAGGAGAGAAACCACTGTAAATTTCAGGAGCCTTCTTGAAATCCCAACTTCCTGTGCCACTTCATTTCCTTAGCCCCATGAGCAAAGTAATCTGATATCTAATACAGGAGCCAGACATAGGCCCACAATGAACTCTGCCATTTTGGCTGAGTTCTTTTCAAACAAGATGTAGATAGGTTTTAAATACACTGTGGTGGATGGCTTATGTATATTTTTCTAACATGAGGCTTATCAAAGTAAAAAAAAATAGTTTCCACTGATATATGTTGTATGGCTGAAACTTAAGATTGTACTGTCACCTTAGGAAGCTTCTTTGTGTATCTCTTTTGTTATTTTTAAGGTTAAGGATTCAGCCTTCAAGCCCACCCCCCAACCACCCCAACAACCATCTCTTCAGGCAGCCCAGTAATAGTCCTCCCCCCATGAGCAGTGCCATGATCCAGCCTCACGGTGAGTGGAGAGGTTCAGACCAAACAGTTCATTTTATGCCACATGGGAAAAAATGATGGTCTCAGTTTTGAGCACCATAAACCATTTGAAAGGCAGAATAACATAGTATTCAGGGGTATGGACTCTAGAGCCAAGCTGCTTTGGTTTGCATCCTGGTTCCATCAGTTTCTTAGCTGTAAACCCTTGGGTAAGTTAACTTGACTTCTTGAATTAGTCCATTTCACACTGCTCTAAAGAACTGACTGAGACTGGGTAATTGATAAAGGAAAGAGGTTTAATTGACTCACAGTTCCACATGGCTGGGGAGGCCTCAGAAAACTTACAACCATGGCAGAAGGAGAAGCAAGGCTCATCTTCCATGGTGGCAGGAGAGAGATTGCACAGGGGAAAGCGCCAGAAACTTATCAGACAACCAGATCTCAAGAATTCCCTCATTATCATGAGAACAGCATGGAGGAAACTGCCCCGTGATCCAGTCGCCTCCCACCAGGTCCCTCCCTTGACACATGGGGACTACACTTCAAGATGTGGGTACACACAGAGCCAAACCATATTACTTCTCAAATGTCAACTGAGGATAATTATGGTACAGTATGTAGATATACGTAAAACACTTGGAACAGTCTCTGGCACAAAATAGTTCTCAATAAAGGTTTACTATTATTAATATTTTTAACAAAACCTCCAGCCCTACCAAATAAAAAGCAGCTACCAGAACCTTCCTTATAGACATGCCTCCGTTTGGCTGTCTACTATACACGTGGGCCCCTCTCTTGTGGGTGTACAGATGGGAGTGAAGATAAGTATAATGTGACTGTGAGTCTTCAGAGGTCAGCCGTCTTAGGATCTCTTGAGTAACACTCCACGAGCTACGTCCCTAGTCAGTCTCCCTAGGATCCTTGAGAAGAGTCTGAATTGGCCTCTAGGCTCTTCCTACTTAAAGTGGGGTCCCCCAGCCACCAATATTGGGAGAAAAAGTAAGATCTCAGGTCGTATTCCAGACCTGTTAGAGTCTGTTTTTTTTTTTTTTGAGATGGAGTCTCCCCCTGTCACCCAGGCTGGAGTGCAGTGGTATGATCTCGGCTCACTGCAACCTCCACCTCCGGGTTCAAATGATTCTCCTGCCTCAGCCTCCCAAGTAGCTGGGATTACAGGCGCCCGCCACCACACCCAGCTAATTTTTGTATTTTTAGTAGAGACAGGGTTTCGCCATGGTGGCCAGGCTGGTCTCGAACTCCTGACCTCATGATCCGCCCACCTCGGCCTCCCAAGTGCTGGGATTACAGGTGTGAGCCACCACGCCCGGCCTAGAGTCTGCATTTTTAACCAGATGCCAGGCCATTTGTGTGCATGTGAAAGTTCAAGAAGCACTGCCTAGATCCGAGTTACCCCATGTAATCCATGGACCAGCTTTTAAGGGAACTTGTTGGAAACACAAATTCTTAGGGGCCCATCCTGACCTACTGAATCAGAGTTTGAAACAGAATTATATAGATAGGACCCAGGAATCTTCTGTTTAACAAGTTCTCCAGACTTGTCCTATGCTCAGTGCAGTTTGAGAAGCACTGTTCTAGCTGGTATGTCGTCTGAGTATTCTCATTAGCTCTCATTACTTCTGGCTGGCTGGTGGCCTGGGCACTTGGTCACTCTGAGGTTCCTTTCTCTCCAGGGGCTGCATCTTCTTCCCAGTTTCAAGGCTTACCTTCCCGCAGTGCAATCTTTCAGCAGCAACCTGAGAACTGTTCCTCTCCTCCCAACGTGGCACTAACCTGCTTGGGTATGCAGCAGCCTGCTCAGTCACAGCAGGTCACCATCCAAGTCCAAGAGCCTGTTGACATGCTCAGCAACATGCCAGGCACAGCTGCAGGCTCCAGTGGGCGCGGCATCTCCATCAGCCCCAGTGCTGGTCAGATGCAGATGCAGCACCGTACCAACCTGATGGCCACCCTCAGCTATGGGCACCGTCCCTTGTCCAAGCAGCTGAGTGCTGACAGTGCAGAGGCTCACAGGTAAGACCGCCTAACGTCACCCAGCCATCTATGCATGGGATCCAGGTGGGAGGAAGCCCCTTAGCAGAGTGAGAGAAAAGGAGGGAAGGAGAATGGGTCTGACTAGGCTGTGCTCTTGTTTCACGCTTTCTAAAATCAGGATGCTGGGTTTGGAATGAACTTGTCAGCTTTTTATTGACCCAGGGTTAAAATTCTAATGAGACTGAGGTGGAAAATGGGAAAGCTACCTTATTATTTGCTACCTTATTATTTGCTTGCAAAGAAGAAAATGGCCTGTTAGAGGAATGTATAAAAATTCCAGTTCCCCTTTTCTTGAAGGGAGCATCTTGAAGTTGCTTCCTTCAAAATGAGCTAGATCTATTACCCACGCAGTGCCCTCAGTCCCTTGGAGGTTACTGGACAAGCCAGTAATGGAATAAATAGGGACAATGCATACATCTGCCACTTCTCTGTCACACCACAGTTCTCTGTACCAGTGGGTTCTCCCTACTGAGGAGGAGGAGCTGTTCCCAGGAAGTCTAGTACTTGTTACATGGATGTCTGGTACTCCCTTTTGTGTCTGCAGCTTGAACGTGAATCGGTTCTCCCCTGCTAACTACGACCAGGCGCATTTACACCCCCATCTGTTTTCGGACCAGTCCCGGGGTTCCCCCAGCAGCTACAGCCCTTCAACAGGAGTGGGGTTCTCTCCAACCCAAGCCCTGAAAGTCCCTCCACTTGACCAATTCCCCACCTTCCCTCCCAGTGCACATCAGCAGCCGCCACACTATACCACGTCGGCACTACAGCAGGCCCTGCTGTCTCCCACGCCGCCAGACTATACAAGACACCAGCAGGTACCCCACATCCTTCAAGGACTGCTTTCTCCCCGGCATTCGCTCACCGGCCACTCGGACATCCGGCTGCCCCCAACAGAGTTTGCACAGCTCATTAAAAGGCAGCAGCAACAACGGCAGCAGCAGCAGCAACAGCAGCAACAGCAAGAATACCAGGAACTGTTCAGGCACATGAACCAAGGGGATGCGGGGAGTCTGGCTCCCAGCCTTGGGGGACAGAGCATGACAGAGCGCCAGGCTTTATCTTATCAAAATGCTGACTCTTATCACCATCACACCAGCCCCCAGCATCTGCTACAAATCAGGGCACAAGAATGTGTCTCACAGGCTTCCTCACCCACCCCGCCCCACGGGTATGCTCACCAGCCGGCACTGATGCATTCAGAGAGCATGGAGGAGGACTGCTCGTGTGAGGGGGCCAAGGATGGCTTCCAAGACAGTAAGAGTTCAAGTACATTGACCAAAGGTTGCCATGACAGCCCTCTGCTCTTGAGTACCGGTGGACCTGGGGACCCTGAATCTTTGCTAGGAACTGTGAGTCATGCCCAAGAATTGGGGATACATCCCTATGGTCATCAGCCAACTGCTGCATTCAGTAAAAATAAGGTGCCCAGCAGAGGTAAGTGTCTCCTCACAGTGGAAGTCCTGGGCCAGTCTGCCCTAATCAACTGACTCAGTAATGTTATCTTTTTTCAGCTAGTATTCTGTGTTCCTAAGAAAAAAAGAATTTCTGAGCTTCACGACCTTCTTGGGGAGAAGCATGTAGGAAGTGGGTATTGGTGGGCAAGGGGTCCATTTTCAAAATCAAAGGACCATGATACAAAATTAACACTTAGTCAATAAGATAGATGATCCATTTCCCTTATTCATACCACAGTTTCTTGGAATCCAGAAATTCCTGACTGCCATCCAAACAGCTAACTTTAAACTTGTGCAATAGAAAAAAAGTCAGCCCAACATAATTTAGTGTAAATAGTGTGGGAACAAGAGTCAGAGCACCTTAATTCTGCTCTTGCAGCTATCATAAATACGATAACTTTGTCATTTAATCCCTCTGATTCTGATTTTCCTCATCTGTGAAGAAGGTGTTGGAGGAACAATGGAGTATCTTACGGTGTATCTGTGGAGATGAAAACATGTATATATGTGTTTGTTTCTACATAATGTTTGCATGAGAGAGAGAGGCACATTCAGATCATCTGAAATGTTTGAGTTCAGTGCATAAATGTGAGGTATTATTACTCTGGTCGTTTTATTAGTGAGCTAAATGCAGAATATTACAGCATCATAAGGGCCCCCATTATCATTTCATTTTGTACCACTTTATAATTAATGAGTATATTCATTATCATTCTGAAGGAGATCAGGATTGCAATTAGTAAGTTATACTTAGAAAATATAGTTCCATTAGCATCACGGCATTCATCCTAGACAAAATCAGGAATCTTGCAATTTACCACTCCTCACCATTGCCATCCAAGGGAATAAAAAGCAATTTATCTGTAAACTGTACAACCCTGAGACTGAGCAGTTTCTTCCATCCTTCCCTCCCCGGAACTACCTGCATCTCCTGCCCTGTCATTTAAAGTCAGTGCTGAAAACTCAGCCCCAGGGGGAATTCGGTCCTGCAGCACAGAGCAGTAGAGAAGGCCTTGCTGTAAAGCGGTGTCTGTGAAAACGCCTTGGTGGTGCCAGGTTGTACTCATTATGCGCTCTTAGGGGGGAATTGTTGCCTGAAATGCCAATTCAATCCTGACCTTTTGAACAGATGGGTGTCATCCAGCTGAGAGATTGGCTCCAGTGAGATGTACTGTGTTCACCTGTGGCTGCTGTATTCTTAGTAGACATAGGAGGGTGGGAGCTTTCAGAACCAGATCATAGGTGGAATGGTTAACAGACCTGAGGGTGTTTAGGATTGGGAGGAAAAACTAAGAGAAACATCACGCTTGTTAGATGGAAGAAGGGATTAGATTTTTCTGGGTTCATATTATGGGGCAGAACCAAGATCAAGATAGAAGTTGCAGCAAATTTCAACACCCTGTGGAAGACCTTTATAAGAACTCTCCAGAACAGGCTGCCTTAGCAGCCTGGGAGCTTTCTAACAGAGGTGGGATAATGGTATGGGGATGTTGTGGAAAAGATTCCCCTGCAAATGGAAGCTTCCAGCAGATTAGCACACTATAGTTGGCATGAAAAGGAGATGAGCTCACGTTTCTTTTTTTTTTTTTTTTTGAGACGGAGTCTTGCTCTGTCACCCAGGCTGGAGTGCAGTGGTGCGATCTCAGCTCACTGCAAGCTCTGCCTACAATGCTCACGCCATTCTCCTGCCTCAGCCTCCCGAGTAGCTGGGACTACATGTGCCCGCCACCACGCCCGGCTAATTTTTTGTATTTTTAGTAGAGACAGGGTTTCACCGTGTTAGCCAGGATGGTCTCGATCTCCTGACCTCGTGATCCGCACGCCTTGGCCTCCCAAAGTGCTGGGATTACAGGCATGAGCCACCGCGCCCGGCTGAGCTCACATGTGCCAGGCACCAAATGCTGTTCACATACGGATTCATTTAATCCTTACAACAACCCTACAACCCTAGAATAACCAACTCTTATTCCCATTTACCAGTGAAACAGCGGAGGCACAGAGATTAAGTAACTTGTCCCCAAAGTCAAGAGGTAGTCAGGGGCAGCTGAACATAAGAGTACTCACACTAGCTGTCACTGACACGAGAGATGCTCACCGAGCAAGTCCCGGGTGTGCAGGGCACTGAGGAAGGAGCATAGCTGCAGCAAACAGTGCTGCTGCCCTCCACCCCTGCCCCAGGCTGAGTTACCGTGTACTTTCAATACTTCCTGAAATGTTTTTCTTCAAAAATTATTTTCTCTAGTTTCTCTTTACCTTCCTTCCTGTGTGACTTGTGTGTGTAGAAAGTCTGGAGAGCATAATTCCCCATTGTCCCCTGATTGTCAGAGGACCCCTTCTTCGGCAGGCACGCTAGTCTGTTGAGTACCCACTGTTGGTGCAAGTGCTGTGGGCGCACCAGAGGAGGGAGAGATTACTTCAATCCAAGGAACAACGTAGGTTTCCAGCAATAAGTAGCCTGTGGGTTGGGTCCTGGTGGATGAAGAAGGTTTGCCATTTGGATCTAGAGGAGAAGCAAGAGAAAAGAACAATGGGTGAGACTGTCTCAAGGAATTTTCCAAGGACAGCAGCAGGCTTGGCTGGTTTGAAGTACAGTGTACATGAAGGCATTAGTAGAAGCTAAGGACAGAGGTTTTCTAAAATGCATCGTCTAGATTCAGCTGTACTGTGAAAAAAACTCAAGTTTTTTTTTTTTTTTTTTTTTTTTTTGGCAGAGTCTCACACTGTCACCCATGCTGGAGTGCAGTGGCACGATCTCGGCTCACTGCAACCTACCCCTCCTGGGTTCAAGCGATTCTCCTGCCTCAGCCTCCTAAGTAGCTAGGATTACAGGTGTGCACTACCGCACCCGGCTAATTTTTTTTTGTAGAGACGGGGTTTCACCATGTTGGCCAGGCTGGTCTTGAACTCCTGACTTCAAGTGATCCAACCACCTCGGCCTCACAAAGTGCTGGGATTACAGGCATGAGCCACCATGCCTGGCTTTCAGGTTTCTTTTAAAAACTCCAGAGCTTACATTTTTACTTTACTGAAAAAATCATCAGATAATTTGCTGTTCACTTCTGTCACGAAAGGCTTATAATGCTGTGCCCCCACCACTCTGCAGGCAAGTGGGGGAGCTCACTCTTCTCAACCTTTTTGCCAGGAAGGAATGCCTGCTGTTTCTTTTAATGGTCCCTCCATCTCAACTGTGTTGCACAAGACTCTACTGTAGGTGCTGTGAGAATGCAGAGATGAAAGGATAACCTGTCCTCAGGGAGCTTCTACTCTACTAGGGGATGTAAAACAAGCTCATAAACAGCTTTGCTATGAAGTGCTAGGTACTGAGTGCTGCAAGAAGTATCACTGAGAAGAGCAGAGCTAGTGTGATCTTCTTAGCATTTCTTAAGGGTAGATGAACAGGGATTGTTGGTGTTATTTAGTTACTTTTTGAGTCAGGGTCTTGCTCTGTCACCTAGGCTAGAGTGCAGTGGTGCAACCACGGTTCACTGCAGCCTCGACCTCCTGGGCTCAAGCAGTCCTCCCACCTCAACCTCCTGAGCAGCTGGGACTACAGGCGCGTGCCACTACACCCAGCTAATTTTTTTTTTCCTTTGGTATAGATGGGGTCTTGCTATGTCGCCGGGGCTGATCTTGAACTCCTGGGCTCAAACAATCCTCCCTTCTTGGCCTCCCAAAATGCTGGTATTACAGGCATGAGCCACCACACCCAGCCATATTGGTATTAGTAAAGGAAAATTAGATGCCATCATATCAGTGTCCATGGTTACCTATTTCCTTGATGGCGATTTGCCACCAGCCAGTATGAGGCCAGGCACTGTGAGAGCACTAAGCAGGCAGCATGCCAAAGGTTTCTTCCCAATTTGTAGAAGTGTCAGGATTTCACATGCCCCATGCTGTCCGTAATCTCCCTGCCTGCCACCCTAGAAGGAAAAACAAGGTTTGTCTTTCTTCTATAGTGGTACACACACTTGATCTTTTTGACTTTGCAAATAAACACAGCAGCATAACCAATCTACACCATGAGATTACCAACTGGAACTCACAAAGAAAACCACATCCTCTTCTCTGAGCTCAGTCAGCCTCAGCTTTATTACTCAGGCCTCATAGAGCAGTAAAATGCTGACAGAGTGGGAGGGGTTACCCCAGAACCTTTAAGGGGAGTATGCAGTCACGTTATTGCTCCCATTTTCTCTCAAAACCCAGTAAGTGAGTCAGGACGAGTCAACATTGACAGATTCAATAGAGAATTGTGCAGGTTGCCCCAAAGTTCCCCGGGAAGGTGGGTGGCGTGCATTGTGTCCATTTGTGCACTTTTCCCCTTGTGTGATCGGACGATCATCCCACCTCTGCACTCTCTTAGCTTTAGTTTGATAAATATTCGAGCATGTAGCTCTTGGGAACCATCTTTCCTCCATGACTTTGGTAGCTGCTGAATTGGCATAAAGGGTTGCCAAAGATTTGATCCTGAATGTCATGTTCCTTGGGCAGTGGGTTAGTCTGTTTGTACCCCCCAAAATGGTCGATAGGGTCTTATTTATAGAGTGTCACAAAGGACTTCTAGACTCAGGGTCAGCATTCTTACCAAAAATCAGACTTGACTTATTTGGTCTTTTACAGTTGATTAAAGACTCTTTCACATGTGTTGTCTTTTCGAGCCCCCAAACAACCGTCATTTTTCAGATCAGGAACCTTGAGGAGAAGCTGAAAGATTTGCCAACACTTTGCTGGTGAGGGAGCTGGGTCCTGACTTCAAGTTTTCTGATCCCCTGGTCATGTATTTTTTCCTTTACGCCTCCTTGCCCACTCTGCACCCTCCAAGCACAGCTGCCAAGTGAAAGATGCTAGCCCTTCCAGGTCTTTGACCTACTGATGATACTGAAACTTGAGCAGACAGAGCCCTGGGGTATCCCCTGACTCCTATTAATACTCTTTTTCATCTGGCTTTTAACTGACATTTGTCTGTCCTGAATCAGAGGCTTCTCCTGGAAATTAAAGTTTCCCTGAGTCATTTGTTCATTTACATATGGGTATATTGTCCCTCATAATTCTGCAAGCAGGGTTCTGTGATTAAATCAATTTCCTTGTTTGTTTTTGTCAGCTGACTCAGCACGTCCTTATGCACTCAGAAATAACATCTCTAAACTGAATATAAATCATGCTAGACTTTATTGAGCCTTTACAGTGTAGTAACCTCTATGAAGCACTCCACACCCATGGAGTCAGTCCAGTTGTACAGATAACTAAGACCCAGCAAAGCAAGATAACTTGCCCGAGCTCCTGCTCCTCAGGAAGCAGCTAAGCCAGGATTCACGGCCAACTCTTCCTGACCCCAGAACTTGTGCTCATGACCCTTGTGCTCAACTCCAGCTTGGCTGAGGGATGAGCTCTGGGCTGGGAGTCAGGAAGGCCCCCTACATGATTTGTCAGGTGGTTGCTTGCTCTGTCTTGGTGCCTACAGGCATCAGACCTGAAGGCGGGGAAGACAGCAGACAAGGCAGAGCCCAAAGGAGGGTGGGTGTTTTGGTTTGCAGAGGCCCCATTCTCAGGGATAAAAACAAGTCTGAGAGAGGGAAGGAAAAGAGCCTTAAAAGACACAGCAAACAAACCAAAACACTGAGGCCTCCAGAAGAGGCAGGAAGGCTCCAACCAGGACTATATACATTTTGTTAGCTTTGCTGTTTCCTCATGGTTAGTAATGATGTTTTAAAAATCTTTAAACAGGAGAGCGCTCATGTTTGTCCTTGCGGAGAGCAAAGAGATGCAACTGATGAGATTTGCATCCAACTATATAATCAGGCTTAAAGGAAAAAAGCACCCCGAGGAATTGAGTGGATGATGTTAGTTATCAAAGAAGACAATATAGGTTTTTGAAAAAGTAAGAAGCGGCTGCTCGCATTGCTTCTTGGCAAAGCAGACAGAATCACCATTTCCTCACTCCCACACAACCATGTTGCCCCACTTCCTGCCAGTGGTTTTTGGTTGGCCCTGGCGCCAACATGCGAGCAGTGCCCACTGAGAGGAATTGGGCAGAGTGGGTAGGACGGGCGGGCTAATCCCACAGAGCAAGTCCTGGTGTAGGTTTTCTTTTATCTTCTCTCTGCTGGCTTTTAGCTTTCTGTAGCAAAATAGTTGGCTTCTGGCTGTTCCTTTTACCTCTTTGCTCAGAGAACTTTCAAAAGATTTCTCACTTGCCATCATCTTTGGTAGCTGGGAAGCTCCCTCCTCTAATTTTTCTCCAGAATGTCTTGCATTACTAGCAATGGGCATGTCAGTTAGCTCCCCTCCCTTTCCATCCTGCCTCTGCCCCTAAGTCCCAGCCTAACCTTAATCATTATAGAAAACCATTGAAATACAGAGACCTGAAATCCTTTACCCAACATTCAAGAAGTATGCTTTACTTTCATTATTTAAATAGATCATTGGAATGGCACAGTTAGCATTACAGCTGTGTTTGCTATTAAGAGCTTTTGTTTTAAACTTAGTCCCACCAAGAGTCAGTTCATCCAAGATAAGCTCAGTAGTTTCCAAGAAGCTTTAACTCAGAAAACCAACCAAGCAAACACAACTTATTTTCAAGTCCCAGGCTTTTAAAGACTGAAGTCAAAAGTGCTACCAGGAGGATCCTGTCAACATAGGTGTGGCTTTGATAGTCTTCTTGACTATCCTTGATCAAGAAGAAGTACTCATTCCTTTTTCTCTCCAATTCTAGTCCATAGAATGGTATGCTCTGACAGGATAGTAACCCATATTAAGAGAGTATTTATTTTTATTATTCTTTTTTGAGATAGAGTCTCACTCTGTTGCCCAGGCTGGAGTGCAGTGGCATGGTCTTGGCTCACTGCAATCTCTGCCTTCTGAGTTCAAGCAATTCCCCTGCCTCAGCCTCCTGAGTAGCTGGGACTACAGGTGCACACCACCACACCCAGCTAATTTTTGTAATTTTAGTAGAGGTGGGGTTTCACCATGTTGGCCAGGCTGGTCTCAAACTCCTGACCTCAGGTGATCCACCCGCCCCGGCCTCCCAAAATGCTGGGATTACACGCACCCGGCCTAAAGAGCATTTACTGACATCAGTGAAAGAGATCATAATACTGGGTATAGGACAATGTTCTAGAACACTGAAGATTCACAGACATACATGAGATATAGTTCTTGCCTGCAAAGAATTTATAGTCTAATGTGAATGATTAAGTACATAATTGAACATGGTACCAAGGATAATGTTAGAGCAATCAGAGACAAAGTCTTTTGAAGTTTAAAGGAAGAGATGATCTATTTCTGTTTGAAAGGAAAAGTTTAATAAAAACAATAGCATATGATAATGGATGTAGAATGATGAGTTGCTTTGGATTGGCAGGAGTGAAGGCAGAAGAATCAGTTATTTGCAGATAGAAGGAACAGTGAGGGCAAATGCATAGAATTGTGCATAGATGGGGAACAGTTAAGTGGTCCCATTTGACTAGAGCTTAGAATGTATGGAGAGGGGAATATGAGACACTGATTGGAAGATAGCCCAGGGCAGTGTTGTAAAATGAAAGTGAATGGACTACAGAACGGTTGGTCTTTGTAGGGTAGTAGTAGGGGATTGGTTATGAGGCTAGCATAATAATCCAGGCAAGAGGTAATCAGGTTTCCATGAGATTGGCAACAAAGGGACTGAAGTGACCAGCATTGCAGAGTTAGATTCAGCACCAGGAGTAAGGAATCAATAGTGGCCCCAAGAGCTTATGCCTGGAAGATTTGGAAAATGAGGCATCAAAACGACAATGTCTGAAGGAGTAGCAGGTTATGGGGGAAGTGGATGGGTTTGGAATTGGACATGGTAAGTGTTACATGCTGGTTAGATATCCAGGGAAAGATACCTAGTAAGTAGCTGGAAGTATGGATCTGGGGCTTAAAGGAGCACTTCAGTAATTCTTTACATAAAGGCAGTACAGCCATGAAAATAGATGATGTTGCCAGAGTAAGTGTGGGGAGAGAGAAGGTCAAGGACAAAAATGTGGAGAGTACTTGCTTAGAAAGGGTGGAGGGGCCATCAAAGGAGTCAGAAGCAGCAGTTAGAGAAGTAGAAAGAGGAGAGTAGCAGCGTGGTACACTGAGGTCACCGGGGGAGGAGAGAGGACGCAGCCAGCCACAGAACAGATGCATCCTCTAGGGCTAGAGGGTCCTGAAAGCTCCGAGAGTAATTCTCATGTGCATTTAGGTTTGGGAATAGATCACTGTTAATTCAACAGAGAAATGAAAGAAGAGAAGGTTCGGTGGGGTCCAGCCATGCCCTGTTACGTGGAATTTTTTCCCTAAGGGTGTGGTCCCCTCCCCTACAGCTCGTCTTTTGGAGGGCTGGTCCAGGCTCCTCTAAGCCATGACGCCGGCTGAGGATCAGCGGTTGGTGTACATGATCTCCTCAGCCTTGCCCATTGTCCCTTGCAAGACATTTCTTGGATGGGAGTTTCCAGTGCTGGGAGAAGTTCCGCCCCACTGACTCTATTCTGCTGTGTCTCCTCAGAGCCTGTCATAGGGAACTGCATGGATAGAAGTTCTCCAGGACAAGCAGTGGAGCTGCCGGATCACAATGGGCTCGGGTACCCAGCACGCCCCTCCGTCCATGAGCACCACAGGCCCCGGGCCCTCCAGAGACACCACACGATCCAGAACAGCGACGATGCTTATGTATGTTGGTCCCACCTGCTGCACAGAGGTGGATCCTCCCAGTCCCAGCCTTGAAACAGAGTATAGTGATGTGGGGTAGCCTCTCTTGGCCGCTCTCCTCAGTCAGCATTCAGCCTTTCTGGAAACGGTGGGGAGCATTTCTTTTTTTTTCTTTTTTGAGATGGAGTCTCACTCTGTCGCCCAGGCGGGAGGACAGTGGCGCGATATCAGCTCACTGCAACTTCTACCTCCCCAGTTCAAGTGACTTTTGTGCCTCAGCTTCCTGAGTAGCTGGGACTACAGGTGCCTGCCACCACACCTGGCTAATTTTTGTATTTTTAGTAGGCATGGGGTTTTACCATGTTGGCTAGGCTGGTCTCGAATTCCTGAGCTCAGGCAATTCGCCTACCTTAAGAGCATTTTCTTTGAGTCACCCTAACAGACCAAACCTTAATTCAAGTAGAATCTATGCTCCAAATTTTAGACCAAAGAATCAGAAATAGTTGCCATCTGTTCCCTGTAGTTTTGGTTATTAAACCTCTTCTCAGTCTAAACTCAGGCCCCAGCAAATGAGCCCATAGGCTTCTGGTTATTTTTCAGCAGCTACATTGAGCTTACTCAGATCAGGGGAGCTGGTGGGCCTCAGCAAAGTTTTGTTTTCCTAGGGTGGTGCTAGTCTAGTAGCTAGCCACATGTGGCTATTCAAATCTAAACCAATTAAAATTAAAAACAATTTAAAATTCAGTTCCTCAGTCACACCAGTTACACTTTATTTTTTATTATTATTATTTTTTGAGACAGAGTCTTGCTCTGTCACCCAGGTTGGAGTGCAGTGGCGCAATCTCGGCTCACTGCAAGCTCCGCCTCCCGGGTTCACGCCATTCTCCTGCCTCAACCTCCCGAGTAGCTGGGACTACAGGCGCCCGCCACCCTTTTTTGTATTTTTAGTAGAGCTAAATTTTTTTAGCCCAGCTAATTTTTCGTATTTTTAGTAGAGACGGGGTTTCACCGTGTTAGCCAGGATGGTCTCGATCTCCTGACCTCATGATCCACCAGCCTCAGCCTCCCAAAGTGCTGGGATTACAGGCATGAGCCACCGTGCCCAGCCCAGTCACACTTTAAGTGCTCAGTAGCCACTTGTGGCTACTGGTTACCATATTGGACAGGACAGAGAACATTTCCATCACTGCAGAGTGTGACTGGACGGTGCTGTCCTAAGACAAAGTCCCAGTGGAGATGGGGATAGGTCAGAAACCTGGTTTTAGAAGGCCATGTAGGTATCAAGATGTCACCACCAGCTGAGATTTGCCACATCCGCCCCACCCTCAGCCCCCCCACTGGGCAGAGCCAAGCAGCTTCCCACACTGTCGCTGTGGAGCACCCCCTTTGGGTGGTGCTTTAGAGGAAGGAGTCTGGAGTGGGGCCCCGGGCTGTCTTTTGCCTGGGCTCCTTCAGAAGGACCAGCTGTCTCTAGGGGTTGCCTGAGAGTGGTGTCTTGTGTGCTTATTTCTTCTCTTAACTGTTTTCTGCAGGTACAGCTGGATAACTTGCCAGGAATGAGTCTCGTGGCTGGGAAAGCACTTAGCTCTGCCCGGATGTCGGATGCAGTTCTCAGTCAGTCTTCGCTCATGGGCAGCCAGCAGTTTCAGGATGGGGAAAATGAGGGTGAGGAGCCTTATGCATGGGGCACTCCAGAGAAGTTCCTGGAGGGGCCTCCCTCCATCTTCCGTAACTGCTCCTCTCTTCGTAGGAAGAGCTCATGGGGAGGTAGAGCCACAGCATCCCACAGGTTCTGGACACAGCCCCTTTCCCCACTGGTCTTCCCTGAGTGTGGGTGTGTAAAGGAGGTGTGGCTTCTGGCCAGATGGCACAGGGCTCTCCCATTCCTGTCTCTCATCTCTGTGATGATATGCCTTCAATCACTTTTTCCAGTTCTGCTTAGAGGGCATCAGGTCCTAATGGCACATTTCTACCTCTTCTTGGAGCCAGTCAAGGGAGGGTGTCATAACAAATAATAGGCGTAGGCCTTGGGCGGGGCAGGTCTGCCACCAGTCCCAAGGCTGTCCTTTTCAGGCTCTGCAGGTGAGGCACTTGGCTTTCTGGACCCCGAGATCCTCATCTGTAAAGTGGCAAAAACGATAGAGCCTTTATCCTACATTGTGCCCTGAGGGCTGGCTGGCTTAGTGAGTATCAAGTGCTTAGCACAGTGTCTGGAAGACAGACAGTGCCCAGGAATGGGTGCCTGCAGGCAGTAAAATTATTCTCCCTTTCACTCTTTAAGAGGTGATCCTTTCTGAAGGAGTCCTCTATCTTCTCTCACACTACAGTAGTTGATCTTACCTAAGGATGGGAAAGGGTAAAGGAAAAGGGAAAAAAGCAGAACAGGTAGAGGAGAATATAGGAAGAATCTTGGCCCCCGCCCATCGTCACTCAACACCTTGAGGGCCTGCTGTGAGCTAGAATTCAGGGCTGGGAGTCAGGCTGTGGGATGCTCGACAGGTTGCCTTCAATTCCTCCTCTCTCTCCCCCTTGCTCTCCTAGTCCCCCAGTTCCCTGCCAACCTCATACGTTCTTTTTGGTCTTGCAGAATGTGGGGCAAGCCTGGGAGGTCATGAGCACCCAGACCTGAGTGATGGCAGCCAGCATTTAAACTCCTCTTGCTATCCATCTACGTGTATTACAGACATTCTGCTCAGCTACAAGCACCCCGAAGTCTCCTTCAGCATGGAGCAGGCAGGCGTGTAACAAGAAACAGAGAGTGAGTGTCACCCTGGCCAGAGCCAAACCAGCCCTGTGGCCCAGTGCCTGCTCCCAATCCCATCAGGAGCTTCAGCCCATGTGTTGTGGTGGCCAGTGCAGTCGACAGTACCACGCCTCCCCTCGTGGCCTTCACAGTTTCTTGCTTTTCATTAACGACGCTGCTAGTTTTAGGGCGCGAGGTAGGGGTGGGGGTGTGCAGAAGAAATGCTAAACACAGTCTCTTGGTTCGGTTATGGGAATAAGACACAAGACTCGCCGTGTGTTACAGGTGCTCTAGCCTTCATAGCGACAGAAGTGAGCTACGGCTCCAGAGGATGCAGGTGACCTCCGGTCAGCATAATGAGGAAAGGAGGAAGTCCTTAAACTCAGTCCTAAAAGACAAAACCTGGCAGGAAAATATGTCCAGCCATATTTTTTAAGGCCATACAGAAGCAAGTGGCAGGATATTCCAGATTAGGGAAATGTGTGATGAGAGGCCCATGGTAGAAAGAATGGGGAAATTGGCTTGTTTGGCTGGAGTAATGCAAAGAGTACACAGCAGGCACCATTGGTTGTATCTGGAAAATCCTTGACAGAAGAGGCCTGATGAAAGGGAAGCCACTTGGCAAATCCACATCAGAGCCTCAGTATGGCAAGCTACCTGAACACCTGAGGGAAAGTAAACCCGTTGCATTTTTTAAAAGGTTTTAAATGGAATATTTGAGCCTTTCTCTTTTCAAACTAATTCTCCTCTGTGTCTGCTTTATTCCAGGTTTTGTGTACAGCTTGGGAATGAAAAGGTTGATTGTAAACCCACAGTATCTAGCAGCGTTGTGCCAAATTGCCCTTGTGTTTCTCTCCACCCAAAATATCACAGCTGCTTTCCTCACATTTGGTTCATCCGTGTGCTGTTCTTTTGGGTTCTGAGAGGGTTTTGCCATGTTTGCTTGTATGACCAAGTCACCAAGGAAATAAACAGGAAGGAAATCCATGTTCTCCATCTTTTGTGAAAGTATATTTGAGTTGGTGGTTTTTTGTTTTGTTTGGGGGTTTGTGTTTTGTTTTGTTTTTGGTATGTTTTCTTCCAGAGGTGATATACTTTCTTTTTTTTCTTCCTTTCTTTTTTTTCTTTCGTTCCTTTTTTGAAACAGGAGAGCAAAGCAGTTAGAGTTCAGAGGCCAGCGGCCTCAGGGCCACTCCCTCCCTAGCCTTCATCAGCAGAGCACCCTCCATCCCCCTGCATTGCTCTTCTGTGAAAGCAAATACTAAAGGATGCCATCCTCTGGAATCCTAATGGCAGGCAAAGGGAGAGAGGAAGGGTGACGGCTTCTGGCACTTAGAAAACAAAAAGAACAAAAAAAGAGAAACCCCCAAGCCTGGAACGCAGAGAG
The DNA here is from genome assembly GCF_000001405.40 of Homo sapiens. NCBI lineage: Eukaryota > Metazoa > Chordata > Mammalia > Primates > Hominidae > Homo > Homo sapiens. The sequence goes on along the minus strand of NC_000011.10, from coordinate 116,845,010 downwards.
GTCTTTACTGCTGGGATCCACGGAAAACATGTCTGTCCTAGCCAAGATCATATGAAGAGTTTGGCACGGAGGCTGAGAATGACCTGGCATAGATGGTTTGCCAGTTAGGATGTCTCAATTTGAGCCTTTGCTTTTGGTGGATAACTCAGCTCCCCTCTTGTAACCTGGAAAGTTGGTTGCCTTTATCATCCTGCTGGTTTTATCCATGGACTGAACACCCAACAGCAGTGCACTATGCTTTCTATGGCATCTTTCATTCTCATTTTATATTGTGCTATAAAAAGGATTGTTTCTCCATATATATATTATATATGTGTGTATATATATAATATAATATATGTGTATATATATATTATATATATAATATATAATATAATATATTATATATATATTATATATATAATATATATATAAAATATATATATATATGCTCTCCTCTTTCAGCCTCTTTGTCACAGGGAAGAAGTGTAGGAGGTTGCCTTGGGCCCTGCCTCTCTCCTAACCTCCTCTTCCCCACTGGGTACCCTCAGCCCCTATATTTTAATTCTTGATCATGTAGAAATTGTTTTTGGTAAATGTTGATATTATTGTTATTATCATTATTAATAAATAAAGAGAAAAGGAATTTTTGTTTAAATGAGAAATGTTTAACCAGATTCTGTTCTATTTGAATTGTGACTTGCACCTTTTGTTCAAAGTATTTCCTTTAGGCATTGTAATTGTGAACAGCTCTTACTTGTGCCAGTGACAGATGCAGTGGTCTCCTTTCCCCAGTTGAAGCAGTGCATACGCAGTAGCTATTATTTGTGTTATCTTTATTTCTCTTCATTGTTAGAAACCAAAGTCTTCTCTGCTGGCTGGGGCTGAGAGAGGGTCTGGGTTATCTCCTTCTGATCTTCAAAACAAGAGAGAGACCTTGAATACACTGACTCTTCCACCCTTTTTTTTTCTGGGAAAGGAGAGCAAGAGGTCCCGAGTCCCCTCCTAGTCTTTCATCCTGAATTTGCACAGAGGAAAGCGGGTGCCCGGCATGGCCATCCTGATGTTGCTGGCGGGATCCCCATGCACCTTGTCCTTCTCCACTGATACTGGCAGCTCGGCTCCTGGACCCAAGATCCCTTGAGTGGAATTCTGCAGTGCAAGAGCCCTTCGTGGGAGCTGTCCCATGTTTCCATGGTCCCCAGTCTCCCCTCCACTTGGTGGGGTCACCAACTACTCACCAGAAGGGGGCTTACCAAGAAAGCCCTAAAAAGCTGTTGACTTATCTGCGCTTGTTCCAACTCTTATGCCCCCAACCTGCCCTACCACCACCACGCGCTCAGCCTGATGTGTTTACATGGTACTGTATGTATGGGAGAGCAGACTGCACCCTCCAGCAACAACAGATGAAAGCCAGTGAGCCTACTAACCGTGCCATCTTGCAAACTACACTTTAAAAAAAACTCATTGCTTTGTATTGTAGTAACCAATATGTGCAGTATACGTTGAATGTATATGAACATACTTTCCTATTTCTGTTCTTTGAAAATGTCAGAAATATTTTTTTCTTTCTCATTTTATGTTGAACTAAAAAGGATTAAAAAAAAAATCTCCAGACTCAAGTTGCTAAGACCTTTTGTCCTGCCTTTTGTCCTTCCTTTTGTGAGGCACTTACTTACAACTTGGTTACTTAGTTGGACAGCAGGAAGTTGTGTAGATAGGAGCCTGATTGTGTTCTTAGGCTGATAGATTATTTGCCTGTGGTTTGGAGTCTAGTTGGAAGAAGCCTCAGGTAGGTGGGAGCTGGAGCAGTGGAGGCTGGAGAGGTCTCCCAGGCTAAGGGTGGGGCTTTGAGTGACTTAAGAAACTCGCATTCTCTAGAAGCCTGAACTCTGCTTCACACTGTGTCCCTGGGCACCCAGCTCGGACTCTGCCCTGTCAGAAGGGAGCATTTGAATTTGCTGGGCCAGGTGGAAAACAGCTTCCTTGAAAGGGCACTTTTGAAGAGTACAGGGAAGGATCCTTAAAGAGTGGACACAGGCTGGACCCTTCATGACGTGACCCCCATTGGCCGAGTGAAAGGATAGCCAAATAAGTATTTGGAAAGAAAGGGAGGGGCCTGGCATGGCTCACGCCTGTAAATCCAGCACTTCTGGAGGCCGATGGGGGTGGATCATCTGAGGTCAGGAGTTTGAGACCAGCCTGGCCAATGTGGCAAAACCCCGTGTCTACTAAAAATACAAAAATTAGCCAGGTGTGGTGGCAGGTGCCTGTAGTCCCTGCTACTCAGGAGGCTGAGACAGGAGAATGGCTTGAACCCAGGAGGCAGAGGTTACTGCAGCAAGCCAAGATTGCACCACTGCACTCTAGCCTGGGTGACAGCGGGATACTACATCTCAAAAAAAAAAAAAAAGCGGAGCGGGGGTGGAATTTTCCTATAGTTTTCTCCTTTATCCCACACCTGAACTCCAAAGGGCAGGGTAGAGTTTCCAGCAAGTTTCCAGGCATGGCTAAGAGACAGGTGGTTGAAGGTCTTCTATGAAGAAAGCTTACTGAAGCTGGAAAGACCATCTGAGTTCACAGAAGGAAGAATGAGAGGAGGGAATTTAGAAAGCCTTCCAAGCTGGGCATGGTGGCGTGCGCCTGTAATCCCAGCTGCTCAGGAGGCTGAGGCAGGAGAATTAGGTAAACCCAGGAGTTGGAGTCCAACCTGGGCAACATAGCAAGACCCCCACCTCTACAAAAAATAACCAGGCTTGGTGGCACATGCCTGTAGTCCCAGCTGCTCAGGAGGCTGAGGCTGAAGGATCATGTGAGCCTAGGAGTTTGAGGCTGCAGTGAGCTGTGATCGCACCACTGCACTCCTGCAAAGAGAAAAGAAAGATTTCAAGTCCATGAGGGCGGCTAGAAAGTTGCTGTAGGGCCATTTAGATTAGAGAAGAAAAGAGCCTTCTCAAGAAGGGCCTTCTGGCCGGGCGCGGTGGCTCACGCCTGTAATCCCAGCACTTTGGGAGGCCGAGGCGGGTGGATCACGAGGTCAGGAGATCGAGACCATCCCGGCTAAAACGGTGAAACCCCGTCTCTACTAAAAATACAAAAAATTAGCCGGGCGTAGTGGCGGGCGCCTGTAGTCCCAGCTACTTGGGAGGCTGAGGCAGGAGAATGGCGTGAACCCGGGAGGCGGAGCTTGCAGTGAGCCGAGATCCCGCCACTGCACTCCAGCCTGGGCGACAGAGCGAGACTCCGTCTCAAAAAAAAAAAAAAAAAAAAGAAGGGCCTTCTAAAACTCCTCTGAGTCTGTATACGCTGTCATGCAAGACTAGGTGAGTCTCTAGAATCAAACAGTGATAATACCCAGATGCCTTCCAGCAAATTGTAGCACCTGTTGCAATAGGTGCCACTCCCTCCTAAAATCAGCCAGGGTGCCTTTGGACCAGAGGTAGGGTGAGCTTTTGTAGGAAGCAGGGCACTGGCTCCTGGATACAGACTGGAGAGCTTAGCTCCAGAAAACAGGAGCCATGTTGACAGAAAACCGTGCTCTACACAGTTTTCTTTCTGACTTTGTGCCAGCCCCCACCCCACCCCAACTGCAAAGATCAAGAACTCAGAGGGCTACTGTGCTTCCCTCCTGCTGATCAAAGATGAGCTCTGTCCTGGCCTTAGTCTTTTCCAAGCAGGAGGGCAGGAGAGAATCTTGCATAGCTGGCTACGGTGCCCCACCCAAGGGTCTAACTTGGGGCTCTATCACAAAAGCTGCAGCAAAATTGCCAAAAGTAGGAACTACTGGGGGTGGGGGTCCTGTCTCCCCTGCTCAGTCACCACCTCCCCTCCCTAACTCTCATTCTGGCTCATACCACGTGCTCCCAGAAGAAACGTTCTGAGCAGGGGCTGGTATGAGACTGCCTCCCCTCCCAGGACCCACTCCTCCCTATGACCAGGCTGGTGACCCTCCCTCTAGGGTGCCAGTGCCATTCACTGAGCAGATGTTTGGCAGGTGTCTGTTATGTGCCAGACCTAGCAGGGGACAGAGTCCTCCCGATACAGATGGACCAGTATGTTTGGACATAAATTGTGAAAGGAGTTGCTAATCTTTCTGTGCAAAATCCACTCTTGCGGTCACCGCCAACACTCCTACACATGTCAGGGCATCCAGGGCCAGGACTTGGTAACCCTGTTCAGGAGCAGTCGCTCTGGAGACTCCCAAGACGAGGGAAAGAAATGGGTGGAAACAGGGGCCTACACTGTGGGCCCCGCAGCCACCAAACAGTCCAACCCGTGGCCACTGAGTGCCTTGAACAATGCCTGGCTGGACCCTGAGTCTGAGTGTGTCATCAACCCAGTTTGTTATTGTCGTTGTTGTTGTTATGTATTTTTCCATCAGCTCTGTCCAGAAAGACCTCCTTCCTTTCCAAAATATTAGTAAAGGGGGCTTAGACTAGTTTAAGCCAAATACCTTGCAATAAAATGGAGTAGCCACCCTGGTGAATAAGTATATTTAGAAAAGGAAACTGCCTGCTTGGTAAGATGCTGTTCAACAGCACCCCCTATCCTGATGCCTCGCAGTCCCTGAGCCAGGAAACTGAGAAGTCCCTGATCAGACTGCAAAGGCTGCAGGCTCCGCAAGGGTGCAAGGCCACCCTCAAAGAACTAGAAGCCAGGCCTCCCGATTCCCACCCCTGCCAGCGCTAAATAGTAACCGCTGAAGGATGCAGGGCAGCTGTGAGCTGCAGTTTTCCCACAGGCAAAAATCACAAGGGTAAAATCTGGCCTCCAGCCTTATAGGGATATTCTAAGTTGTGAAAGTGCTTTGGCCACAAAGAACTGCGCAAATGTTAAATACTAGGTTTAGCCATAACAATCATTTTAGTAACAAACCAAAGAGAAGGGTGAAACACTGGCAAGTATCTTGGAGTCCAACCAGTAAGCTTCTGAGATTCCCCCATGTGCTGACTGGGACAAACTCTACCCCCCAAAAGAAAAGACGCTCTCTTGGCCCGAGACACCTGTGAGCTGTCCCAGCAGGGGACCAGCCACCTTCCCACTTTCTAAAGCTACAGACAGCTGGGATGGTCAAGTAGGCAGCCCAGGCTGATGGCTCACCAAGGCCACCTCCCTGTCTACACAGTCCCATAGACATCTGGGGCCACTTCAGTCCTAGAAAAGATGTTCCATATCTCAGCAACTGCAAGTCAAGGACAAGCAGAGAGATGTGGGACTGCTGCCTTCATGCCTGCTGCAGAAGCTGAGGTCTCAGATCTGATAAAGCAAGTGTAGTGGGAATAAGGGAATACATTACCAGAAACTGGGATTCTAGAAAACAGAATAGTTACTGTTTACTAAGTGCTAGGTACCTTTCTAACAGTTTTGCATATATGTTCAAAGTTCATGCTTAAAACGATACAAATTTATTATCTTACAGTTATGGAGGACAGAAGTCCAAAATGGGTCATACTGGGCTAAAATCATGGTGGCAGCAGAGCTGTGCTCCTGGAGGCTGCAGGGAAAAATCCTTTGCCTTCTCCAGCTTCTAGGGAAGGGTTGCTCATGTCCCTCAGCTCATGGCCCCCTTCCAGCAGTCACGAGTCTGATCTCCACTGCCATCCTCACATCTCTTTCTCTGACTCTGAGGCCACTGCCTCCCTCTTGTATAATTAAGGACCCCTGTGATGACAATGGGCCCACCTGGAGAATCCAGGCCAACCACCCCATCTCCAGGTCCTTAATCACACTAGCAAAATCTTTTTTTGCCATGGAAGGTAGCAAAGCCACAGGTTCCAGGGATGAGGCTGTGGACATCTTTGGGGAGCGTTATTCTGCTTGCCACACAGTAACCCCTGCCATAACTCAGGGCGATGGCATATTCTATCATTATCTTCAATCAGAAACTGATGTGTGGGGAGGTGATGTATCATAACTCATCCAGGGTCAGGCAGCTGGATTTGAACCTGCCTGACCCTTAGATTTGAGGTTTTCTGGCTCCAGAATCTTCTCTGAAGTGAAAGGCATGAGGCCGACCACTCCCTGATCTGGTAAACAGAGATGTCAGCCTGGTTTCTAGTGTTAGGGAGTTTCCTGGAGTGATGGTACAGGGTACATTTCTGCCCTGCATCCCAAGTCCAGAGACTGGGTTCTAGGTCCAGCCTTTCTTCTAACTCCCTGAGAGATGACAGCCTCTGGGCAAAGTCCCTCTGTGCTCTTCAGTCTCTTCATCTGTGAGATGGTGGCATGGGGAGAGGCTGGAGTGATGTCACAGTTCCTCTCAGCCTGCATCACAGGCTCTAGGACTCAGGTCCTATCAGTAACCTGCTGGGGGAGGTCTGGGCCTTCCAGGAGAAACCTGACAAGATGGTGCTGCAAACACCAACGGACACACAGCACTTTACATTCACAGGCTGTCTCAGGGGCCTCCAACAACCCTGACCATTCTTGCCCCATTTTGCAGATAGAAAACCGAGGCTCAGAGAGATTATATAACTTGCCCACGATCTTCCTCCAGCAAGATGGAGGCCAAGTGAAATGAGAAAGCAGGTCTCCTGCCACTTCCTTTGCCCAGAGGTCTTCTCCCCACACCAGGGCTTCCCAAGGGCTGAGATCCAGTCACACCTGTGCGTGATCAAATATAAGTGTGAACAATGCAAAGGGAGACGTCTTCAATCTAAGGGGCTTCAATTCTGTAATGTAATTCTGAGATTATGCCCTTTTTTGTTAAAGCCTTTCCTTTTTGAAGTGATGGTCACTGTAGATGGTGAGGGTTTTTTGGAGGCGGACAATATCTTTACATGACAAAATTAAAAGTTGGCAGCTCCGAATTGATCTCTGGAGTGTTTTGAAATGCAAGAGGTCTCCGAAACCTCAGTCTGGGAGCCACGGAGGGCTCTCCCCTCTCCCCAGGTTTACCAGTTTGGGAGGCTTGGAGAGAGGCCTGGAGGACCTGCTGGGGACTAAAGAAGAGCACTGGTGGGAGGACAGGGCGGGGGAAGGGGGAGGGGAGTGAAGTAGTCTCCCTGGAATGCTGGTGGTGGGGGAGGCAGTCTCCTTGGTGGAGGAGTCCCAGCGTCCCTCCCCTCCCCTCCTCTGCCAACACAATGGACAATGGCAACTGCCCACACACTCCCATGGAGGGGAAGGGGATGAGTGCAGGGAACCCCGACCCCACCCGGGAGACCTGCAAGCCTGCAGACACTCCCCTCCCGCCCCCACTGAACCCTTGACCCCTGCCCTGCAGCCCCCGCAGCTTGCTGTTTGCCCACTCTATTTGCCCAGCCCCAGGGACAGAGCTGATCCTTGAACTCTTAAGTTCCACATTGCCAGGACCAGTGAGCAGCAACAGGGCCGGGGCTGGGCTTATCAGCCTCCCAGCCCAGACCCTGGCTGCAGACATAAATAGGCCCTGCAAGAGCTGGCTGCTTAGAGACTGCGAGAAGGAGGTGCGTCCTGCTGCCTGCCCCGGTCACTCTGGCTCCCCAGCTCAAGGTTCAGGCCTTGCCCCAGGCCGGGCCTCTGGGTACCTGAGGTCTTCTCCCGCTCTGTGCCCTTCTCCTCACCTGGCTGCAATGAGTGGGGGAGCACGGGGCTTCTGCATGCTGAAGGCACCCCACTCAGCCAGGCCCTTCTTCTCCTCCAGGTCCCCCACGGCCCTTCAGGATGAAAGCTGCGGTGCTGACCTTGGCCGTGCTCTTCCTGACGGGTAGGTGTCCCCTAACCTAGGGAGCCAACCATCGGGGGGCTTTCTCCCTAAATCCCCGTGGCCCACCCTCCTGGGCAGAGGCAGCAGGTTTCTCACTGGCCCCCTCTCCCCCACCTCCAAGCTTGGCCTTTCGGCTCAGATCTCAGCCCACAGCTGGCCTGATCTGGGTCTCCCCTCCCACCCTCAGGGAGCCAGGCTCGGCATTTCTGGCAGCAAGATGAACCCCCCCAGAGCCCCTGGGATCGAGTGAAGGACCTGGCCACTGTGTACGTGGATGTGCTCAAAGACAGCGGCAGAGACTATGTGTCCCAGTTTGAAGGCTCCGCCTTGGGAAAACAGCTAAAGTAAGGACCCAGCCTGGGGTTGAGGGCAGGGGTAGGGGGCAGAGGCCTGTGGGATGATGTTGAAGCCAGACTGGCCGAGTCCTCACCTAATATCTGATGAGCTGGGCCCCACAGATGGTCTGGATGGAGAAACTGGAATGGGATCTCCAGGCAGGGTCACAGCCCATGTCCCCTGCAAAGGACAGACCAGGGCTGCCCGATGCGTGATCACAGAGCCACATTGTGCCTGCAAGTGTAGCAAGCCCCTTTCCCTTCTTCACCACCTCCTCTGCTCCTGCCCAGCAAGACTGTGGGCTGTCTTCGGAGAGGAGAATGCGCTGGAGGCATAGAAGCGAGGTCCTTCAAGGGCCCACTTTGGAGACCAACGTAACTGGGCACTAGTCCCAGCTCTGTCTCCTTTTTAGCTCCTCTCTGTGCCTCGGTCCAGCTGCACAACGGGGCATGGCCTGGCGGGGCAGGGGTGTTGGTTGAGAGTGTACTGGAAATGCTAGGCCACTGCACCTCCGCGGACAGGTGTCACCCAGGGCTCACCCCTGATAGGCTGGGGCGCTGGGAGGCCAGCCCTCAACCCTTCTGTCTCACCCTCCAGCCTAAAGCTCCTTGACAACTGGGACAGCGTGACCTCCACCTTCAGCAAGCTGCGCGAACAGCTCGGCCCTGTGACCCAGGAGTTCTGGGATAACCTGGAAAAGGAGACAGAGGGCCTGAGGCAGGAGATGAGCAAGGATCTGGAGGAGGTGAAGGCCAAGGTGCAGCCCTACCTGGACGACTTCCAGAAGAAGTGGCAGGAGGAGATGGAGCTCTACCGCCAGAAGGTGGAGCCGCTGCGCGCAGAGCTCCAAGAGGGCGCGCGCCAGAAGCTGCACGAGCTGCAAGAGAAGCTGAGCCCACTGGGCGAGGAGATGCGCGACCGCGCGCGCGCCCATGTGGACGCGCTGCGCACGCATCTGGCCCCCTACAGCGACGAGCTGCGCCAGCGCTTGGCCGCGCGCCTTGAGGCTCTCAAGGAGAACGGCGGCGCCAGACTGGCCGAGTACCACGCCAAGGCCACCGAGCATCTGAGCACGCTCAGCGAGAAGGCCAAGCCCGCGCTCGAGGACCTCCGCCAAGGCCTGCTGCCCGTGCTGGAGAGCTTCAAGGTCAGCTTCCTGAGCGCTCTCGAGGAGTACACTAAGAAGCTCAACACCCAGTGAGGCGCCCGCCGCCGCCCCCCTTCCCGGTGCTCAGAATAAACGTTTCCAAAGTGGGAAGCAGCTTCTTTCTTTTGGGAGAATAGAGGGGGGTGCGGGGACATCCGGGGGAGCCCGGGTGGGGCCTTTGGCCCTGGAGCAGGGACTTCCTGCCGGATCTCAACAACTCCGTGCCCAGACTGGACGTCTTAGGGCCAAGATCGACGTTGGAGGACCTGCTGGACGCCTGGCTGCTTACGAGTGAGGGAGTAGAGTCTGCCTTAGCAAGGCTCAAGTAGAAAGGAAGTCACAGCGGACCAGGCAAAGCCACAGACAATCCAAGGCCAGGTGCCCTGAAAGGGGCTCAAACAAGGCCTGCAGCCCTGTCTGAGGCGGGCCAGGAAACAGGGTTGCTTTAGCTGGGAGCAGTGGGTTCCCCGTCCCCAGAGGTGTGTCCGTATAGAGCCTTCTCCAGCCCAGCCGCTGTCAGCGGGGCGGGACGGAGCGGGGCGGCCTCAGGGAGCCAGCCACTGGGATTGGGGTTTGGTCCCGGGTGCAAGTGAAGCGCTTGGAGTTTGCGCCTGTCCTCCTTTACTAATTCAAAAACCTCTCAAACAGACACTTCCCTTTTCTTCTCACAAGGCCAGTATCCCCCTCCCACTACTCCCATCCCGCCCAGAAACAGCCGCGGCTTCCTCAGGCACAGCAGTGGAAGCCAGTCCTCCACCCCCTGCGGCTCCATGCCATGCCACCCCCTCTTTCTGCCAGCCCTGGCAGAAGCTGGCCTGAGTAAGAAAATTCACCACCACCTCTTGCAGGTACATTTTTATTTCCAAGATGCTCTCATATCTGTGCTCTCACTGCATCCTCCCTTCCCCACATCCTGGCTAGATTGCCATCAGACGCAGAGCATGGATGAGGACACTGAAGCCTGGACCTGTGACGTCGCTTGCCCAGTGAACAGCAGGATGGGCTAGGCCGCGCTTTTTAGACCCTGCACCCCTGGCCATCCATGATTATTGAAAAGAGTGCGCGGGTCGGGTGCGGTGGCTCAAGCCTGTAATCCCAGCACTTTGGGAGGCTGAGGTGGGCGTATCACTTCAGGCCAGGAGTTTGAGACCAGCCTGGCCAATATGGTGAAACCCTGTCTCTACTAAAAATACAAAAAAAATCAGCTGGGCATGGTGGCTTGCACCCGTAATCCCAGCTACTAGGAAGGCTGAGGCAGGAGAATCGCTTGAACCTGGGAGGCAGAGGTCACAGTGAGCCGAAATCATGCCACTGCACTCCAGCCTGGGCGACGGAGCAAGACTCCAGCTAAAAAAAAAAAAAAAAAAAAAAGAGTGTGTGGCCTGGCACTCAAGTTCACATGGGTGTGCAGGCATGCCTGTGTATTCTCACATGACCTCCCTGCTCACGGTCCCTCCTTGCACTCATGTCTGAATGTCCCCGCGTGCACGCACATGGCTTCACAGATCTGGGCAGTGCCTTCCCTACCCTCTCTCTGCAGGGCCTTTTGCCCCCTCATGCAGGCCCCTGGATAATCGGCCCCATCCCCATGTCCCCATCTCCAGTGTATCTTAGCTACCCTAGGTAAAGGAGTGGGCTTTTTAGTTCCTAACCTTCCAGAGCTACAACAGCAGTCATCCAGCCAGGTCTGGGTGGGAACATTTTCTAGATACGGGTGCTGAGATCTCTCAGCCCAGAGAGAAGCCCTGGGGAATTTTCAGAGAGAAAGCAGTCTCCAGGTGGGGCTGGATGTACTGATGCCACTGAGATCTGTAAAGGAGTCCCTAACACCTGACATAGGAGTGACAAAACTGTTTTCTGCACCAACTGAGCAGAATACACGCAGCTGACCTGGGCTCAAGGTCTGGCCCTGCCACGTGCTGGCTCTGTGATGCTGGCCAAGTGCCTTCGCCTCTCCGGGCCACAGTTTTTTGATCTGAAGAGTGGAGCCCTACTCAAGCCATCTGCAGCTCTCGGGCTCTCTGACCTGACATCTTTCGGGTGGTGGGGACACAAAGGAAGCAGCCTCTATTGGGAGACCTTGTGCTTCTTTTTGGTCCCAGGACACTGCCCCCCACCACTCCAGTCCGGGTCCCAAGGGCCCAGTCAGCTCAACTGTAATCATGACAACATTGATCAAGCATCTTTACGTGCAGGTGCTGTGCCAAACGGTTCGAACGCTCTCTCATTTCAATCTCACGGCAAACCTACGGTGGAGGGGGTACGGTTGTATCCACTTTACATGTAAGAAACTGAGGCTGATATCAAGTGGTGGAGCCAAGAATAGTGCCTCGTTGCATCTTACTCCAACCTCTAGCCCATCCGGCCTCCTCCCTTCACGTGCGCCTAAGAGGGCTAGGGGGCCTGGATAGGGGAGGTCAGCTCCACAGTTTTGAGTAAACACACACAGTCTCAACTCTGATGACAACTTAAGTGCCAGGCATAGTGGCTGGCATGGGGCACACACTCAAGTCATGTTGTGCAGCACCTAACAGTTTATCAAAGTATCAGCAAACTTATTGTCCTGTTTGACCTTCCGCACAAAGCTGTCAAGGAAGGCAGGGTACGGAGGGTGATTCCTACCTTAGAGATGAAGAAACTGAGGCCCAGAGACTGCCCAGCTACCAGAAGGTGGATAGAGCGCTGGCCTCCATGCCTGCCTGACCTGGAGTCTGTCCAGTGCCCACCCACAGAACAGCCTCGGCCCTTTCCCATGCCCAGACACAGATGGCACACTTGCGACGGCCCACTCATAGCAGCTTCTTGTCCAGCTTTATTGGGAGGCCAGCATGCCTGGAGGGGGGCCAGGCATGAGGTGGGGTAGGAGAGCACTGAGAATACTGTCCCTTTTAAGCAACCTACAGGGGCAGCCCTGGAGATTGCAGGACCCAAGGAGCTCGCAGGATGGATAGGCAGGTGGACTTGGGGTATTGAGGTCTCAGGCAGCCACGGCTGAAGTTGGTCTGACCTCAGGGTCCAAATCCCAGAACTCAGAGAACTTGTCCTTAACGGTGCTCCAGTAGTCTTTCAGGGAACTGAAGCCATCGGTCACCCAGCCCCTAAATCAGTCAGGGGAAGCAACAGAGCAGGGCATGAGAACTCCTCTGTAGGCAACCATGGGACCCACACCCATGTCCCCACTGGACGACACCAGTCAGGACCACACCACCCTCTCAACTTCACTGGACGACAGCCCTGAGACCTCAGGCAGGAATCCCCCACAGCTGCCACCCTGGGAGAAGAGATATCCTTGCAGGAACCCCAGCACAAGTCAAACCCTGCCATCTCCAGGTCACCTCAGATGTTTATGCCCCTGGGCCTGAGGCACAAAGTGACAGGGTGGGGAGATGTGAAAGGTCAAGGCTGTCATTGTTTTCTGTGCAAACAGCACCGCCTGGAGTTGCACAACCTGGTGGCTCTGAGCAGGGTAGGACAGAGGGAGGCAGCCTCTCATTTGGAAAGTCATTGGAGGATTGATTAGTTGTGTGATCTGGGGCAGGTCACCTAATCGCTCTGAGCCTCAATTTTCTCATCTGCAAAGTGAGAAAATAACACCTACCCCAAAGCCGGTTCTGGGGACTAAGAATGTTTATGAACACCTCTGCTATGCCAGCTAATGCCAGTCAGGGTGAGGTGGAGAAGGGAGTAGGGGAGAGGAGAGTACTGATGGGCAGGGGCAGGATGGGAGAGGAAGGACACACTTCTGCTCACACTGGCCCCAGGTCTTAGAACAAAGCAGAAGCACTCACGGGCTTGAATTGGGTCAGGTGGGGCCTCCCAAGGCAAACCCCTAGCCCAGGGGTCCCCAACCCCCAAGTCATAGATAGGTACTGGTCCATGGACTGTTAGGAGCCGGGCTGCACAGCACGAAGTGAGTGGTGGGTGAGTGAGCAATACCGCCTGAGCTCCGCCTCCTGTCAGATCAAGTGGCCTTACATTCTCATAGGAGTGTGAACCCTATTGTGAACTGCACATGCCAGGGATCTAGGTGGAGGGCTCCTTATGAGAATCTAATGCCTGATGATCTGAGGTGGAACAGCTTCATCCCAAAACCATCCCCGCTGGCCCATGGAAAAATTGTCCACCACAAAACTGGTCCCTGGTGCCAAAAAGGCTGAGGACCACTGCTCTAGCCAGACCTTCAGAAAAGGAAAATGGGGCCAGGCGCAGTGGCTCATGCCTGTAATCCCAGCACTTTGGGAGGCCGAGGCAGGAGGATCCCCTGAGGTCAGGAATTCAAGACCAACCTGGCCAACATGGTGAAACCCCATCTCTGCTAAAAATACAAAAATTAGCTGGGTGTGGTGGCGCGTGCCTGTAATCCCAGCTACTTGGGAGGCTGAGGCAGGAGAATGGGTTGAACCCGGGAGACGGAGGTTGCAGTGAGCCGAGATGGCACCACTGCACTCCAGCCTAGGTGACAGAGGGAGACTCCATTAAAAAAAAAAGAAGAAGAAAGAAAGAGAGAAAGGAAGAGAGGGAAAGAAAGAAAAAGGAAAGAAAGAAAGAAAGAGAAAGAAAGGAAAGAAAGAAAGAAAGGAAAGAAAGAAAGGAAAGAAAGAAAGGAAAGAAAGAAAGAAAGAAAGAAAGAAAGAAAGAAAGAAAGAAAGAAAGAAAGAAAGAAAGAAAGAAATAGAAAGAGAAAGAAAGGGAAAGGAAAGGAAAATGGAAATGAGGGCTAAAACGGCACGCCCTAGGACTGCTCCGGGGAGAAAGGAGGGACCTGGGAGGAATGCAGTCTCAACTCTGTCATCTCTCCCGCAGCAGCCTGACAAAGGCCCTGTGAGGAAAGAGGAGGCTGAAGAGGCACAGGCCCAGGGGAGGCTGGAGCACCTCCATTCCATTGTTGGGATCTCACCAGGGCAGGGGCGGGTGGGAATGGAGGCAGCTGGCAGGGGGGATGGGGAGGGAGGCCAGCGGGTGTACCTGGCCTGCTGGGCCACCTGGGACTCCTGCACGCTGCTCAGTGCATCCTTGGCGGTCTTGGTGGCGTGCTTCATGTAACCCTGCATGAAGCTGAGAAGGGAGGCATCCTCGGCCTCTGAAGCTCCTGAGGAAAGAGCAGGGCTGAGTGGGGTGGATCGGCCTCTGGACGAGCCCTGGGCTCCTGCTTGACCACCCATTGGGACTGGGATCCCCAAGTTGCCTCCACCCTGCCCCCAGCCCAGTCCCACCAAGTGCTTACGGGCAGAGGCCAGGAGCGCCAGGAGGGCAACAACAAGGAGTACCCGGGGCTGCATGGCACCTCTGTTCCTGCAAGGAAGTGTCCTGTGAGGGGCACCCCAGGTCCCCATGCCTCTGGACCCCTCCCTGGGGAGGTGGCGTGGCCCCTAAGGTAGAACCTTAGCTGGGTCTGCCAGAAGGAGTAGGGGCCGGCTCCCTGCTAATACGGGCTCTCAGAAGGGGGACTGGTGAGGGGCGAGGGATCGAGGCCCAAAGGGAGGTGGGTGGGATGGAGCAGAAAACCCACCAGACTGAACATCAAGGCACCTGCGGTCTGGACTGATCTCCGTCCAGTCCAGCCAACATGCTGTGTGTCTTTGGGTGATTTCTGGCCCTCTCCAGGCCTCAGTTTCCCTGTCTGGGGTAGGACTGGGCTGTCTAAGGCTTCCTCCAGCCCTAAGCCTGAAGAATGAGGGGGGAACCTGCACTTGGAGCCACTTCCAGCCCCACCCCCTGTGTAGCTTTGGGCAAGTGACACCCCTCCCGGGCCTCCATGTTCTTCAGGTTATGATGAGGGGTGGGGGGCACCCGTCCAGCTCCGAGGCTTCCTTAGCTCTAGCAAGTGCTTCTCCAGGCTTGCTGGCTGGGCTGGGCAGGGAGCTCCTCTTGCCCCTCTTCATCCTCCTCCCCTCCTCTTTCCCCTCCCCAGAGGGCATTACCTGGAGCAGCTGCCTCTAGGGATGAACTGAGCAGACAGGCAGGAGGGTTCTGACCTGTTTTATATCATCTCCAGGGCAGCAGGCACTGAGGACCCAGGGCGCTGGGCAAAGGTCACCTGCTGACCAGTGGAGATGAGGGCCTGAGGCAGGGTGTCCAGATGCAGCAAGCGGGCGGGAGAGTTGGGAAATCCCTAGGAGACTGAGTCCACGCTGCTGTCCCGCCAGCCCTGCAGCCCAGATGAGCTCAGGAACTGGGGGTGGGCCTGGGGAGCCCTCATTCCTTCCTAGCTGACTGGCTCCCCAGGGAGAGGCTGGTGAGAGGGGAAATGGCTTGGACATAGGCCAGGGGCCTCGGGCCCATCTCAGCCTTTCACACTGGAATTTCAGGCCCCTCCCTCCACCAGCCCCAAGCCCTGAACACAGCCTGGAGTAGAGGGGTGAGGGGCTTCTTCAGACTTGAGAACAAGTGGGTGGCTTGGGCTGGGGGGTGTTTGGAGTAAAGGCACAGAAGACCAGGCATCAGTGGCTCCGGCAAGGCCTGGTTACAGGGCTGAGCTCTCACAGCCCCTCCCAGCACCTCCATCTCTGGGTTTCAATCCAGGCAGGCGAGTGCTGCTCACCCAGCAGCCCCCCACCCGCCCCCACCCTGTGTGCCCCCCGCTGCCTCCCCCTTAGTGTAGGGCAGGGGTTGGTGGAGAAGGGCCAAGGCCGCTCAGAGCCCGAGGCCTTTGCCCCTCCCTCCACCAGGCTCCCTATTTTGCCCTCTGGACCCACTGATAACATCCCCTGGGGGAGGAGCTGGTCTCATGTCTGGGGCCCTCCCCAGCCCCCACCAGGACTGATTCTCTCGTTCACCTTCCTGGGTTCCTCAGTGGGGCTGGGGGAAGAGCAGCCCTCACTGCCCCCTGGCTGTGGGAGCAACTGGGAGGAACAAGGTCTGGTGAGGAGAGGGCACAGAGGAGTTCTGCGGGGAGTCGGTGGTCCAGGAGGGGCCGCTGACCCTTCTCGGGGCTGAGATGTCCCCTGGGCCCACAGTGAAGCCGCAGCAGGGATGGCAGGATGAGGGCGCCTGTCTTCCAGATGCTGACACCTTGGAGCCAGGACATCTTAGGCTTAAATGATGCCTTTGGCACGTAATAGGACCCAGGTCACAGAGATAACATCTCAGAGCCTCAATTTTCTGAGGATAAAATGGGGCTGGAATACTGATTGCCCAGAGTGGTGCTGAAAAGGAAATGAGATAGAGAAGTACAAAGCAGCGGGTCCATGGAGGGACTCACACCTCCCTCTCCCTCCTAACGCTGTGCCCTTCCCAGACAGCAGAGTCTGCAGGCAGAAGGAGCCTCTAACATAAAAAATAGAGCTCTGGCAGCAAGCTGTCCTCTCAGAAGTAACTAACACCACAGTATGAAATCAGAGGCCTGAGAAAGTGGCCCGGCTCTGCCCTCAGAATTCTTTATCGGTGGGTGAGACTTGGAATTCCTCTATTAGCGATCCATTCCTGGCTGGGCACAGTGGCTCATGCCTGTAATCCCAGCACTTTGGGAGGCTGGGACGGACGGATATCTGAGGCCAGGAGTTCGAGACCAGCCTGGGCAACATGGCGAAACCCAGTCTCTACTAAAAATACAAAAAATTAGCCGAGCATGGTGATGCACGCCTGTAGTCCCAGCTACTCAGGAGGCTGAGGCACGAGAATTGCTTGAACCCCGGAGGTGGAGGTTGCAGTGAGCAGAGATCGCACCATTGCACTCCAGTGACAGAGCTAGACTTGGTCTAAAAAAGAGAGAGAGAGAGAGAGAGAGAGATTCATTCCTTTGACTTAAGACTTTGTTTTCTGTTAAAATGCAAATAGAACCCTGTGAAGTAGACGTTAAGTCCATTTTATAGGTTAGAAACCTAAGGCTCTAAGGGCTCCAAGTGCACAGCCCATTAGTAGTAAGGCTGGGAACCTTAATCCAGGTCTTCACACACCCCAGGCAAATACCAGACGGCTTAGAGCACTGAGACCCCTATAGAGGCATCAGTCACACGCCCAGAACAAACCTGTCTCAAGTCTCCTGCAGACTTTGGTGGTGGGGTAGAAGGTGAAGAAGTGGTCACTGGAGGATTTGGTATTGGGGATGCCCTTTCCTCTTCTGCTGCGGCCTGCTCCATAGCCCCAGAGGCAAAGGCACAGTGGGGACCCAGATCCAGGCAGGGGCAGGCAACAAGGTCTATGGGCCCGGGTGTGCTAGAATGGGCTGGCGGGGTCCCGTGGCCCCAGACCCTCCAAGCCTTTCCATCTCTGCAGAGGGTCTGGAGGAGCCTGGCCTCTCTCTCCCGCATGGCAACGGACCCAGGGAGGTCAGGACATGTGGGTAGAGAGACCTGGCAGGGTGCTGAGCTAGATGTAGCACACCTCCAGGAAGCCTGGTACCTTGTCTCCTTCCAAGGGCTTGGTACCTGAGAATACCTGTGGCCCCTCACCAACAGTCCAACCTGCACCCCGGCAGGGGATCTCTTGGTGGCCAGCCTGCGCTGCCCCTCTCTCCCATCATGGCTCCCCTGGGATGAAGACTGCTCCAGGGAGAAGCCAGTGGTAGATGGGAGGAAGAGGGGATTTGACCATCCGGGGCCAAAAATGGTCCTCTGGGGTTGGGCTGTTTCACCTTGTGTCCAGGTGAGGTTTAGTACATGAGCCCCCATGCTCCATGCCCTTCCCACCAGGCTGGGCTGGGCAGCCCTGATTCAGACCTGTTGGCCAGAGGCCCTTGTTCATCACACATCATCATGCCGGAAGTTCCTCCTAGTATCTCACCCAGCTCCCTCCTATGGCAACAGGAGCTGTCCTTCAGTTCTGCCCGGGGGAGGGCCCCTTGAAGCATACGTGAGGCACATGTCCGTGTGACCTGCCTGTCCCTGGCTGGATCTGAGTTGTCTGCTCCTGACTCTGACCTCTGGACTGACCCCTGGTTTGATCCCTGTGTGGTTGGCCAGGAGGGGTGGCTGTAGCTAATGCTGAGCTATCAGCCTCATTGCCTCACCAATCATTAAGTCTGCCTGTTGCACAGATAAGGAGAGGCTTGGAGAGGCGATGTCTCCCTCGAGATCACACAGGCCTTTCATGCCCACTAAGATGGACGTCCCTGACTCACAGGACCAGGCCTGGCTGGAAGGCAGTCTGCTCTTCCCATCAGCTACTTGCACCCTCTAAGACTGAGCACAGGGGGCTCTCATTCTCTCCCTGCTCCCCAAAACAAATCCATCTACAGATTGATGCAAAACGTACCCTCAGACTTTGGGAAGTAAATACATTCATTAACAGGTCACGTCCCCGCCACGTTGAAAGGCAGCAGGTCCCCTCGCGAGCGTGGGTGCACGCATGGGCTGTGCCAGTCCCTTGGTTCTTAGTGATTTGCACACTTCTGTGAATCCACACACACTCTGGTGGATGCTCTCGGACATGCTCAAATGGTGCAGGCGCTCCCAGCATGGGTGCACCCAGGCGGGCGGGTGAGACAGAAGCGCCTCTGGACCTCTCACATGCTAGTGGCACCGGCTGCTAGGACTGTAAGTCCTGGAGGTCAAACTGCGGCTGAGGTGTCATTCGTGACTCAGTCTCCTCCTCCCCTCTGGCCTGGGGAAGGGACAGGGGCACTGAGTACTGACCTTTGCTCCCGCTGCAAGCTGGACTGTGCCTGATTCAGGAGCAGGGTTGGGACCGATGGGTTCCAGGGAGGTGAGCCTTGCAGGAGTAAGACGTGGCTAACATTTAGTGATCACTTTTCCTATGTGCCAGACATTGTTGCAAGCACTATAAGATCATCTCAGTGAATCCTCACAGCCTAGGAGGCAGGTACAATGGTTATGTCTCACCAAGGTAACTGAGGCTCAGAGAGGTTATGAGACTTGCCCAAGGACACACAGGCAGTACGTGTTGGAGCCTGGATGCCAAGCCAGGGAGTGGACTCCAGCATCTGACCCCAACAATCACGGAGAGATGGCACAGGCTGCATCAAAAAGGAGGCAGCATGGTAGCGTGGGGACCACTACAGGGCAGTGGGGACCCAGCAGAAGGGGTGCCAGAGTCAGGAGGTCATTTGACTGCCTTTGACCCTAGGAAACATTAAGCCACTTCTGGAAACTGAAAAAATGAACACAAAGCAAATTAGAGTTAGTACAATTGTGGTCTACTCTGATGGCGTTCATTTTTACAAATAAATGTAGCTCACTGTTGTCAGGCACTGCACTCACCGACAGGAGCCAATAGTGCAACGTGCCTGGATGTCACCTCATAGTCACTAGGAGTGGTGTGGTCCGGCAGAGGGACCCATGCTGACGTGGTGTGTCACCTTCTCAGTGGATGTTTGTGTGTGATTATGCATGCAGCCTCATTTAGAGATCCAATAGACATCTAAGTAGAAGACCTCCTGGGCACCACCACCATTGCCCTCCATCCCCCAATGGGAGGTCCCCTGAGAGCCTCAGGTCCCAAGATTCTGCTCAAGCCAGCTGCTCCTGCCCAGGGAGTGTGGCTGGGGGGCAAGAAGGGCAGGAGTCAGGCCTCAGGCTGGTCCCACCCATCACCCTGCCTCTGGCCCACCTGGCGCCCCTCAGAGGGCTGAGTCTCACTCTGCCACTCTCACTAGAGGAGGGAGCACTCTGCTACCCTCCCTGCTTTGCTCCAAATCAGGAACACAGTATGATTATTATACAGTATGATTATTATAATAACAGCAACTATTTTTCAGAGCTTACTCTGTGCCAGGAGCTCTATAGGCAGCCCTCTGTATCCTTGGTTTCTGTGTCCATGGATTCAACCAACCTTGGATTGAAAATAATTTTTTAGGCCGGGCGTGGTGGCTCACGCCTGTAATCTCAGCACTTTGGGAGGTTGAGGCGGGCGGATCACGAGGTCAGGAGATCGAGACCATCCTGGCTAACACGGCGAAACCCCATCTCTACTAAAAATACAAAAAAAAAAAAAAAAATTAGCCGGGCGTGGTGGCGGGCGCCTATGGTCCCAGCTACTTGGGAGGCTGAGGCAGGAGAATGGCGTGAACCCGGGAGGCAGAGCTTGCAGTGAGCCGAGATCGTGCCACTGCACTCCAGCCTGGGTGACAGAGCAAGACTCCATCTCAAAAAAAAAAAAAAAAAAAAAAATATATATATATATATATATATATTTTTTTTTTTAAATTGCATCTGTGGGCCGGGTGCAGTGGCTCATGCCTGTAAGCCCAGCATTTTAGGAGGCAGAGATTGGAGGATCACTTAAGGCCAGGAGTTGGAGACCAGCCTGAGCAACATAGCGACACCCCATCTCCATTAAAAACAATGTTTTAAAAAAATTGCATCTGGGCAGGGCGCAGTGGCTCACGCCTATAAGCCCAGCACTTTGGGAGGCCCACATGGGAGGATTGCTTGAGGCCAGGAGTTGGAGACCAGCCTGAGCAACATGGTGAAACCCCGTCTCTGCTGTAAATACACAAATTAGCTGGGCGTGGTGGTGGGTGCCTGTAATCCCAGCTACTCAGGAGGCTGAGGCAGGAGAATCACTTGAACCTGGGGGGCAGAGATTGCAGTGAGCTAAGATCGTGCCACTGCACTCCAGCCTGGGTGACAGAGTAAGACTCCATCTCAAAAAAAAAAAAAATTGCACCTGTACTAAACATATACAGACTTTTTTGGTGATTACCTCCTAAACAATACAGTATAACAACCATTCACACAGCATTTCCGTCGTATTAGGTATTATAAGTAATCTAGAGATTTAAAGTATGTGGGAGGCTGTGCTTAGGTTATATGCAAATACTATGCCATTTTATATCAAGGACTTGAACATCCATGGATTTTGGTATCTGCAGAGGGTCCTGGAATCAATTTCCCATGGAGACTGAGAGATGACCGTACTACCCACTTCGCAAGCAATGTCTTCTTTAATGTACTGAACCATCCCATTGTTCAGAGGAGAAACTGAAGCTCAGGGCTTTGAATAACTAGACCAAGGAGGCACAGCATGGGAGTGGGACATGAAGCACTCTACAATTAACCCTTTCAGGACAAGGCCCTGTCTCCCACACCCATCTGCCCAAAGGCTCTCCAGGGCCCCCTCCTCTTGGGTGTACCTTGACAAGAGACCTAGATTTTAGCTCACTATGCTGTCTGCAGTCCTGGATGGTCCCACTCCAGTGTCTGGTGCTCTGAGATGGAGTCAGCATTAGTGGCGGATGTGGAGACTGGGGGGACCTGTCTTCACTGGGGTAGACAGAGGAGATGTGGACTTTGCCCCCCATGAGCCCGGCACAAACCCAGAGCCGCCAGCAGGGCCTCGAGGCATCAGTCCCGGGCTCATGGGCTCCCTGAGGTGTTTCTCCTACTGTTTTCCGTTCCCCTCCTCCCTTCCATGCTGAGGTTGGTGGGGTGGGGGTGGGGGTGCCCACGCACGGAACAGCCACCACTTCTAACTATCGCCTGAGCCCTGATCTGCTGTCAGCTTCCACGTAGTCTCAGGGTCACAAAAGTCCAAGAGGCCTCTTGGGAATGTGTCACCTTCCAGCGTGGAGTCACACTGAGGAAGGAGGAGGGGAGGGCAGCCAGGGGGGTGGCGATAGGGAGAGAGTTTAAATGTCTGGCTGGCTCTGAGCTTCAGTCAGTTCCCACTGCAGCGCAGGTGAGCTCTCCTGAGGACCTCTCTGTCAGCTCCCCTGATTGTAGGGAGGATCCAGTGTGGCAAGAAACTCCTCCAGCCCAGCAAGCAGCTCAGGATGTTCCTGAAGGCCGTGGTCCTGACCCTGGCCCTGGTGGCTGTCGCCGGTGAGTAGAAGCTGTCTTTGGATGGCACTCCTGGGCTGCTGCTCTGAGTAGTGCAGGATGGAGGCTGAGCCAAAGCAAAAGGACACTTCTGAGTGCCCATCAGCCCCCAGCTGGACATGAGGTCTGCCTGGCTGCCAAGTGGCTCACAGGAGAGCTGGCCCAGTCCCAGTGGTGGGCCCATTGGCATTGGTGCTATACCAGTTTCACATATCCCTGTGGCTTCCAAAAAGCTAAGCTCAGACAGGGAAAATGGCAGGTTGAGGCACCCCCACCATCATCCAGTCTGCAGCTCAGAGCTGGAGCAGAGGGGCCACACAGGAGACGGGGCCTCATGAATTGCTCTCTGTTACCACCCAGGAGCCAGGGCTGAGGTCAGTGCTGACCAGGTGGCCACGGTGATGTGGGACTACTTCAGCCAGCTGAGCAACAATGCCAAGGAGGCCGTGGAACATCTCCAGAAATCTGAACTCACCCAGCAACTCAAGTAAGAGGGACTACAGTGTGCGGTGGTGACGGGGAATTCTTAAAGGCCATGCAATGTACTGGCAAGGGTTGAGCTTAGAGACAGGAGCCCTGAGCTTAGGATACCCACTGCCCTGCCACTAACTGGCCGGGCCTCTGAACCTAGGATCCACATATGTAAACCGGAAGTTTGGACCGAATAATCCCTGCCATGTCCTTTTGCTTTGACGTTCTAGAGTTTGACAAATGGCCACATCCTATCATTCAGGCTCATGGAAGAGAGGGAGGGAGGAAAATGTCACGTGAGCTGATTTCTAATACGTTTCAGAAAGACAGGCCCCAGTGGAATCAAGGGGAGGGAGGTGGGAATATTTGGGAGGCCCCTGGGCACAGGCAAGGAAAGCAGCACCTTGTGCCACTGGAAGACCCCAGCAGAGGTCAAGAAGACAACATTGTGTTACACAATGTGATCCTATGGCCCAGAACACTCCCTCTGGGAAGGACCTCAAAGTCCCACCCTCTGCAGACAAGGAGGGGAAAGCAAACTGCTGGAGGTGACATGGTGGGTAGATTCTGAGACAAACTATGTGGGAGATCCTGAGATAGAAATTCAGCATCGTAACTTAGTCTGTGACACCCATCCTCTCCAATCTGCACCACCATAGGGAGGGTGAACTCGGTACCTCTGAGCACTCACCTGTCCTAGCACGTGTGCATAAGGCGAGTGGTATACAAGCAGACAAAGTCTTGCCGTGTAAATGCCAAATGTAACGTGGCCTCCTTGTGCCCTTCCCCACAGTGCCCTCTTCCAGGACAAACTTGGAGAAGTGAACACTTACGCAGGTGACCTGCAGAAGAAGCTGGTGCCCTTTGCCACCGAGCTGCATGAACGCCTGGCCAAGGACTCGGAGAAACTGAAGGAGGAGATTGGGAAGGAGCTGGAGGAGCTGAGGGCCCGGCTGCTGCCCCATGCCAATGAGGTGAGCCAGAAGATCGGGGACAACCTGCGAGAGCTTCAGCAGCGCCTGGAGCCCTACGCGGACCAGCTGCGCACCCAGGTCAGCACGCAGGCCGAGCAGCTGCGGCGCCAGCTGACCCCCTACGCACAGCGCATGGAGAGAGTGCTGCGGGAGAACGCCGACAGCCTGCAGGCCTCGCTGAGGCCCCACGCCGACGAGCTCAAGGCCAAGATCGACCAGAACGTGGAGGAGCTCAAGGGACGCCTTACGCCCTACGCTGACGAATTCAAAGTCAAGATTGACCAGACCGTGGAGGAGCTGCGCCGCAGCCTGGCTCCCTATGCTCAGGACACGCAGGAGAAGCTCAACCACCAGCTTGAGGGCCTGACCTTCCAGATGAAGAAGAACGCCGAGGAGCTCAAGGCCAGGATCTCGGCCAGTGCCGAGGAGCTGCGGCAGAGGCTGGCGCCCTTGGCCGAGGACGTGCGTGGCAACCTGAGGGGCAACACCGAGGGGCTGCAGAAGTCACTGGCAGAGCTGGGTGGGCACCTGGACCAGCAGGTGGAGGAGTTCCGACGCCGGGTGGAGCCCTACGGGGAAAACTTCAACAAAGCCCTGGTGCAGCAGATGGAACAGCTCAGGCAGAAACTGGGCCCCCATGCGGGGGACGTGGAAGGCCACTTGAGCTTCCTGGAGAAGGACCTGAGGGACAAGGTCAACTCCTTCTTCAGCACCTTCAAGGAGAAAGAGAGCCAGGACAAGACTCTCTCCCTCCCTGAGCTGGAGCAACAGCAGGAACAGCAGCAGGAGCAGCAGCAGGAGCAGGTGCAGATGCTGGCCCCTTTGGAGAGCTGAGCTGCCCCTGGTGCACTGGCCCCACCCTCGTGGACACCTGCCCTGCCCTGCCACCTGTCTGTCTGTCTGTCCCAAAGAAGTTCTGGTATGAACTTGAGGACACATGTCCAGTGGGAGGTGAGACCACCTCTCAATATTCAATAAAGCTGCTGAGAATCTAGCCTCAACTGGTTGCCGGATGAATCCTCCTTGCAGCTGGGGAGGTGGGGAGGTAACCATGACTGGGCAGAGCTTAGCAGCGGCCTGGCAGGAGACACCCAGGATTGGGGAGATGAGACTGCAGGAGAGGTAAGGGCCTGGTGGACTGGAGGCGAGTACATGGGGAGTCCTCTAAGGGGAGGCAGAAAAAGATGTCACACATTATCCCAAGACAAAATATGCAACCTACTTATATTCATTTAGCCAACAAATATGCATTGAATGCCTCCGATGCGCCAGTCATTATTCTAGGCACCGGACAACCAGCAAACAGCTTTTGTGCAGCCATGTGCCCGACTCTGCCTCACACTGAGGGGGACACCTGGAGGCGAGCAGAACAGGGTCCCTGGCCCTGGGGGGCTCACAGTACACTGGGGGAGATGGTTCCTCCTTGCACGAGATCTTCAGTGCCTTTAACTTATTCATGTAGTGTCATTTAACCCACCCCACCCCAGTTCCATTATGAAAGCGATTCATGCTTATTTCAGAACTTTCTTGACTGCTAAACCTGTGGTCTCCATCCAGAATTGGGGATTGAGGCTTGGGGACCGAGACGAGTCTGGGGAGGAGGGGCAGAGCAGGTGCTGGAGCCTGCGGGGCCCTGGTCTGCTCTGTCCAGGGGCCTCCTGCCAGGTGGCCTGCCAGTTTGGGGCTGAGTTTGCAGCCACTGGGGTTAGGGGCAGAGAGTCAGGGGGCCTGAGCAGTCTCATCAGCACAGCCAGCTGTGGGCAGCTGCAGCCTTGGAGTGGTCTTTCACCCCACCCTTAGAGACTCGAAAACCTCACAAGGAAAGAGCCAGTTCAAGCGTTTGTCTCAAACGACTCCACAGCCTGTTACCCGTGGACCCCAGCCCTGCGAGTCTAGCCACCTCCCTTTCCTCGCCACAGGGGGATGCAGGCCCTTCAGGGCTTTCCTGGAAGAGGCCTGGAACATGCTAAGGAGGAGGGGGAAGTCCCCTTGGAGGGTGTCCTGGGGCCTCCTCCTTCCCTCTCAAGGTGCCCTCAGGGTAGTGGCCCCCAGCATGGTCTGGCCCAGGCCTATACCCCTCTGGCCCCTGGTGCTGGCCTGGTGGGAGGGATGTATGCTTGGGAATCAGACAAGCCTAGGTTTGAATCCTGGCTTTTTGACCGACTACCGGGTGATGTGGGGCGAATAATTGAGCTTCTTTTGGAAGACATGGGTAATGACAATCCTCTGCTTAGAGAGGAGTTGTGCTGAAGGTTTGATGGAGCAACGGAGTCAAGCACTTAACATCAGGCACAGAATAACCGTGCAATAGCTGGTGCTGCAGTAAATGTGACTTCCTCATCCCGCTCACCTCCAGGCCACACTCTATTAATGAGACCGCCACAGCTGGCCAAGGGTAGACCCCCGGGTCTCCCCTGCCCCAGCTGCTCTCGCTCCTGCATACCAGGCCAGTAAGGCTGCTGCGGCCACTTTGATACCTACCCCCACTAGAAGCACAGGAACCTATGGGGAAACACCTTGACAAACCCACCAGGCACCTGGAGGTTTACTGGATGGCTTTAGGAAAGGGCCAATGAGGCCAAACAGAGCAACGAGTCACCAAAAGGAAGTGAGATGCAGGGTGGGCCGGGTTCCAAGAGGGTCTGGAAGCTTCTGAGATGCTCTCAGACCTCACCTGAGGGCTGCCTGGTTTAGTGCTGACTCCAGAACCCCTGGGGGCCTCAGTGTCTCCCAGAACTTGGTTCTTAATATGAACCCTGGGCCGGGCGCGGTGGCTCATGCCTGTAATCCCAGCACTTTGGGAGGCCGAGGTGGGTGGATCATGAGGTGAAGAGATCAAGACCATCCTGGCCAACATGGTGAAACTCCGTCTCTACTAAAAATACAAAAAATTAGCTGGGCGTGGTGGTGGGCTCCTGTAATCCCAGCTACTTGGGAGGCTGAAGCAGGAGAATCGCTTGAACCCAGGAGGCGGAGGTTGCAGTGAGCCAAGATCGCGCCATTGCACCACTCCAGCCTGGGCAAAAAGAGAGAAACTCTGTCTCAAAAAAAAAAAAAAAAAAAAAAAAAATATATATATATATATATATATACACACACACATATATATTCATATATAATTCATATATATATTCATATATAATTCATATATATATTCATATATATTCATATATAATTCATATATATATTCATATATATTCATATATATTCATATATAATTCATATATAAATTCATATATATTCATATATATATTCATATATAAATTCATATATATTCATATATAAATTCATATATATTCATATATATATTCATATATATATTCATATATATTCATATATATATTCATATATAATTCATATATATATTCATATATATATTCATATATAAATTCATATATAATTCATATATATATTCATATAGATATTCATATATAATTCATATAGATATTCATAGATATTCATATATATTCATATAGATATTCATATATTCATATATATTCATATATTCATGTATATTCATATAGATATTCATATATAGATATTCATAGATATTCATATATAGATATTCATATAGATATTCATATATAGATATTCATATAGATATTCATGTATAGATATTCATATATATATATTCATATCTATATGAATATAGATATGAATATATCTATATATGAATCCTGGATTAGACCCGTGCACCTCTCCCACCACCCTTAGGGCCATCCTGCAGGTCTCTGAGGGTCCTGCCACAGTCCTCGTCCTCCTGGATGAGGAATGCCTTCTCTTTCCTGTACCAAGATGTCTCATCAATCCCCTGGGTCTGGCAGAGGTCTCTTGGTAGTAACTTTGCTTTTGGCTGCTGCAGTGAACTGAATGTTTGCGTCCCCCTAAATTCCTATGTTGCAATTCTAATCTGTAAGGTGATGGCATTAGGAGAGAAGGCATTTGGGAGGTGATCAGGTCATGAAGGGGGAGCCCTCATGAATGAGATTAGTGTCCTTATAAAAGAGGCCCCACAGAAATCCCTTGCCCCTTCCACGTGCGAGGACACAGCGAGAAGGTGCCATTTATGAACCAGGAAGTGGGCCCTCACCAGACACGGGATATGCTGGTGCCTTGCTCTTAGACTTCCCAGCCTCCAGGACTATGAGGAATAAATGTCTGTTGTTTGTAATCCACCCAGTTTTTGGTGTCTCGTTATAGAAGCCCAAAAGATCTAAGACACTTTCCCAGCCTCTGAAGCTCTCCTGTTTTGTTTCGAAAGTGTCTCGCTGATGAGTTTTGGTGGGAGTCAGAGGCTGCCTCCATTACAGACACTAACAACTCCAGTCGCCTGCCTTCTAGCCTCGCTTACCTCCAGCATGGGACATGGGACCTATGCTCAGCAAATCAGATGTAATTGCCCCAGACTGGTGTAAAGAAACAGAGACAGTGGAGAATCTTTTCTGGGGTGGGCAGGAACAGTGCGGCAGCAACAGGCAGCTTGCGGCCAGGCTAGAGCCTCAGGCCAGGGACCAGGCGTGGCAGTGGCTGGTGGGCAAACTGGGCTGTCCCCATCCTGGCTCAGTGGTGACAGCACAGCCGTCCCCATCACTCTAGTTCTGTGGCATGAGCATGGCCATGTTTCTCCCTCAGCTCCCCTTATTCTTGTTTATTTTCCAAACCAAGTACTCCAGCTTTCCTAGACATTTCCTTGAAATTCCTGGAAATATGTCAGTAAGTTCATCTTCTGATTATGTCTTCCAGAGTAGGTTTCTGTGGCTAGCAATTAAAAACCTTGATTGAGGCCAGGCGTGATGGATCACGCCTGTAATCCCAGCACTTTGGGAGACTGAGGTGGGTGAATCACCTGAGATAGGGAGTTCGAGACCAGCCTGACCAACATGGTGAAACCCCCGTCTCTACTAAAAATACAAAAATTAACTAGGTGTGGTGGCACACGCCTGTAATCCCAGCTACTCAGGAGGCTGAGGCAGGAAAATTGCTTGAACCCAGGAGGTGGAGGTTGCAGTGAGCTGAGATCAGGCCATTGCACTCCAGCCTGGGTGAAAGAGCAAGACTCTGTCTCAAAAACAAACAAACACACACACATCACTTTGATTGACACACCCCACACACCCCTTCCCTCTTAGGGATGTTTCTCTTGCTTTGGGCCTTGGAAGACACACCCTCATCTCTGGCCTGTTCCAGTTGGTCAATTGGTTTGTCTGAGATACACTTATTAGTCCTCATTAGGGTTGGTCCCATCTTCCAAGGAAAGCAGCCTTCCTCCTGTTCTGAGCTAGCAGGTGGACTTAGTCCCCCTGTGGCCAGTCAGTCCTCTGCTCCTCTCCAGCGGCTGAGCTGACTGGGGACCTGGGCAACAGCCTCTACCTGCCCTTCTCAGAGATTCTCTAACAGCTGGTCTCAGATCTCTCATGAGGTCCTGAGTTCAAGCAAAACACTCTGGTTTGGTTTGGGGAATCTGTTTATTTATGGGAAGATGTCCAAGATATTTTATGAAAAAAAAAAAAGCAAGGTTTCAACTATTATGTACTTTACAACCCGGTCAAGGAACACACATACATATTGGTATGTGAACGTGTAAGGAAGTGAAAATCCTGTTAGCTTAACAGTTAGACCTAGAATACCTCTGAAAGAGAGAATGTCATTGACAGTGCATGCTAGCTGTTGACCAGGACACCCAGAGGAACTGGCTGGAAAGAGACCACAAGGCAGAGAGATGGAGTCAATTGTTCCGTGCATTCCCTGCACTGGCATTTGAGGTGGTAATGAAGAGTAGGAAAGGAGGGGAGGTCACAGAAGGGAAAACAGGGAATACATGAGGAGGTGAAAGCCCCCTACAAATGATGGCCAATAAGAAATGCCCAGTGGCAACGGTTGTAGAGCTTTTCAATGCAAGGATGGCAATTCATTGCTGACTGCAATGCTGGTAGTGTGAGGTGCTTTTAAAAACCACCTTATATTACCATATTGGCTCATATAATTCTCATGATCGACCATCACATCAAAGACACAATAGATGAGGAAGAGGCACTTCAGAATGGTGAGGTACATTACCTAGCAAGTGGTGGAATGGGATTTTTTTTTTTTTTTTTTTTTTTTTTTTTTTACCAGCGCTTTGGGAGGCCAAGGCGGGTGGATCACTTGAGGTCAGGAGTTCAAGACCAGCCTGGCCAACATGGCGAAACCCCCTCCTCTATTAAAAATACAAAAATTGGCTGGGCTTTGTGGTGCGTGCTTGCAATCTCAGCTACTAGGGAGGCTGAGGCAGGAGAATCGCCTGAACTCGGGAGACGGAGATTTCAGTGAGCCGAGATCATGCCACTGCCAGCCTGGGTGACAGAGTGAGACTCTGTCTCCAAAAAAAAAAAAAAGAAGAGAAAGAAAAAAATATGCCATTTTAGGCCAGGTGTGGTGGCTCACACCTGTAATCCCAGCACTTTGGGAGGCTGAGACAGGTGGATTGCTTGAGCCTAGGAGTTCGAGACCAGCCTGGCAACATGGCGAAAACTTGTCTCTACAAAAAATACAAAAATTAGCCAAGTGTGGTGGTGCACACCTGTGGTCCAAGCTACTCGAGAGACTGAGGTGGGAGGATTGCTTGAGCCCAGGAGGTTGAGGCTGGGGTGAGTTGAGATCATGCCACTGCAGTCCAGCCTGGGCAACAGAGGAAGACCCTGTCTCAAGAAAAAAAAAAAAAAGAAGAAGAAGAAAAGAAAAAAATGCCACCACTTTAGTATTACTTTTATAACATAAAATTTACCATTTAAACTATTTATAGGTGTTCAAGTCAGTGGCATTAATTACATTTACAATGTTGTGCAACCACCGCCACCACTATTTCTGAAAATCTTTTCATCACCCCAAACAGAAAACTCTATCCATTAAGCAATTGTGAAAACTGCCGCTATGAATGGGGGTGTACACATATCTTTCCAGTCCTTGCTCTCAATTCTTCTGAGCAAATATCCAGAAGTGGAATTGCTGGGTCACACGGTAATTCTATATTTAAATTTTGGAGGAACCGCCAAACTGTTTTTTTATAGTAGTGGCACCATTTCACATTCCCACTGGTGACGCCCAGGGTTCCAATTTCTTCACAGCCTCTCCAACGCTTGTTGTTTTCTGTTATTTTTTGGTTTTGTTTTATTTTGTTTTTAACAATAGTCATCCTGAGAGTAGTACTTTTAAAACCAGAAATAAGTAAGAAAAGAAATATTCCCCAGAGCTTCTCCAGGCTACAGTCTATGCCACCAGGAAAGACTGAATCATTGAGACCCATAGGAGAGCGTGTGCTGGGAGGTCCCTGTGGGCACCAGGGAGGTGTGTTTGAACTCCAGCCCAGCCCACATTAGCTTACCCAACAGTCCCTCAGAGCCAGCACAATTTCAGGCCATTATCTCCCTGGTCACCACTGGCTCCTCAGGTGACTTGGAAGTAGATGACTCCTCTGTGGGCCTGGGTTAGTGCCTCAAAGGCATGCTGACCAGCACTGGTTTGGGCCAGGCTGAGATGCTAGCCACACTCCTATGCCCATCCCCAAGTTCAAAGGTCAGAAGTCCTCTGAGAACATCCAGGGTCACTACCCCTGAGGTCTCTGGTGTACTACGTGGCCCTGATTAGGGCAAAGGGAAGTGATCTGAGGGCCACTCTCTTCCTGTACATACAGGGCCTTGCTGCTCTTGAGGGATTGTCCTGGCAGGATCAAAAGCAGCTCCTGCATGGGGACGCCGTGTCCTCCTGCTGTTATCATAGTATGCCCTGTGCTCCCAGGAGGAGGCTGAGGTATGTCCTGGGGACAGAAACAACAAGCTTAGGGTTATTTGGGCACTCCCTTGTCTCCTGTCTGAGAGCGTGCAGGGTGGAGTCATGCTATCTTGCTGTGTGATGACAAGTAGCTGACAATGCAGGGGCACAATAAAAACCCCCGAATGGCCCACATCTGAGGAGCGAGGGTTTGGTGAGCTGCTGGTTCTGAGATAATGGATTGGTGATATGGGAACAAAAGACCTAGGACCTGGAATCATAAGATCACAGGGCATTAGGGTTGGAGGGAACAACCTTGTCTCTCAGCCCTAATTCCTTTGATATCATTTAAGGAATGATCTTAACTCTAGGCTAACAGCCCTCGAGCTCAGGCACACCATTTGTTTGTTCATCATTGTATTTGCAGGATGTGGTAGCTAGCCCTCACAATGGTGGCTGATGTGTGATCAATAGGCTATGTCATGGTATTTCACTTCTAAGTCTAGATCATAAAGGGCATTGTGGCACCTACCTTGATTTCTCTTGGATCACTCATTCTGAGGGAAGATAGCTGCCATGTTGGGAGGACGTGCAAGCAGCCCTGTGAAGAGGTCAACACAGGGGGGAACTGAAGCCCCTTCCAAACAGCTAGCACCAACTTGCCAGCCATGTAAAGTGATTCACCTTGGAAACAGATCCTCCAGCCTCAGCCAAGCCTTCAGATGCAACCTCATGACAGACTCTGAACCAGAAACACACAGCCAAGCTGCTGACCCACAGACTTTGTGAGAGATCATAAACATTTACTGTTGTTCTAAGACACTGTTTTAGGGTGCTTTGTTGTACAACAATAGCTTACTGAAAATACAGAGAGCCTAGCACAGTGCCTGCATGTGGTCATCACTCAATGGTTGAGCGAGTGAATCTTGCTTAGTATTGAACACTCCCACTGACAGCTAACTGTACCATCTCTCAAAACAATTCATTCTATCTTTGGGCAATTCTGTTAAAGATTATTAGAATTAAATTGGATCTTTCTCAATACAGCTTCCACATCTTGGTCTTATTTTTACTGCTCTTTCAAAAATCATTAAACTGGAATCTTTCTTAACATAGCTTCTACACTTTGATCTTACTTTTTTTCTCTTTCGAACCATAGAATAATTATTCCTTTATACATGCATTCTACGTACAGGAAATCTTCCCACAGACTCATTCATGGAACCCCAAACCATATGGAGAAAATTGAGCCAGAGATGTGTTATACTTCACAGCTGCCTTGGGTTGAAGAATCTTGGCTGGTTTCTGAAAGGGCAGAAGTCTTGTCTATGTTTATTCTTGAACAGTCAGTGCCTAGCATGATGACTAGAACTTAGTAGGTATTCAATAAATATTTGTTGACTGAATGAATTTAATAAATCTTTTTGTCTTGCTGAGTTGTATGAGATATATATATATTTTTATATTTATATGTATTTATATCTATATTTATATATAAATATATATATATCTCATACAACTCAGCAAGACAAAAAGATTTAAATATTTAATATATTTAAATATTTAATATATTTAATATATTTATATTATTTAAAATTATATTATTTAAAATATTTAATATATTTATATTAAATCCCAAAGTGCTGGGATTACAGGCGTGAGCCACTGCGCCCGGCGTGGATCCTCTCATTTTCTTATCTTTGTTCTTACTTCAATCTCTACATGCTCTCCCTTTCTGAACTATTTCTTTACTCTCTATTCAGTTTTTATTTCTACTATCTTTTTTTTAATTTCTAAGAGTTTTTGTTATTGTTATTCTGTGAAGGTCTTTTTATACTATCCTGTTCTTGTTTAATCAATGTAATCTTTTCATTCTCTGATGTTATTAATGGCATTTTTCAATGTTCTTCTTTCTGTATATTCTCAGTTTTCTCTAACTTCCTTTTTAAATATTTGTTTGTTTTGGGTCTCTATCTTTCATGTTAGAATCTTTCCTCAAATGACTGGTAATCCTTGGTTGCTTAAGTTTAAGAGTGGGAGATTTGGGCTGGGAGCGGTGGCTCACGCCTGTAATCCCAGCACTTTGGGAGGCCAAGGTGGGTGGATCACGAGGTCAGGAGATCGAGACCATCCTGGCTAACATGGTGAAACTCTGTCTCTACTAAATATGCAAAAAATTAGCCAGGCGTGGTGGCAGGTGCCTGTAGTCCCAGTTACTCAGGAGGCTGAGGCAGGAGAATGGCGTGAACCCGGGAGGCAGAGCTTGCAGTGAGCCGAGATCGCACCACTGCACTCCAGCCTGGGTGACAGAGCGAGACTCTGTCTCAAAAAGAAAAAAGAAAAGAATGGGAGATTTTAAAGGTGATTTGAAGCTCCAATACGTGCGTAGTACTTATTGACTATGAATGTCACTGCAGGGTGATCCACTGAGATGTTTAGCTGGGGAACCCCATTGTGAAAATCTTTGGGTCTTACCTCTTGAGCTGGACATATTCCCCTAAGAAATGTCTTTCACTCTTCTGCCTGGAGGGTAAAGGCCTGAATACAGTGTCCCTGGGGCCAAGTGGAAGAAGCAGGAGGGTGATTCAGCATTTCAGAGGGTATACTTTGATTTAATCCTCTTGCTAGTACAGGTCTCCTGCCCTCAACTCTGCCTGACGTTCAAGAGAATAAACTTCCAGTCTTCTACTAAGGTGAGACAGGGAAGCTAAAGCTCTAACTGCTCCTTAAATAGTTTCAACCAATCTTTCATGTTTTATGACAGCCTCCTCCGTCACCTCTACTTTCAGTAGAAACTGGTGTCCCAATTCAGGACAGTCATATATGGCTGTGCAAGCTGTGCACTGTATCATTCTGAGGCCACCTCCCTCACAGGGTAGACATGACAGATTTGTATATTTATCATGTCAAATTTCTGGCAGACGGCTGTAGAGTGTCTTGAGAAAGGGGAGGCTGTTTCTATTGCACACACAGGTGCAGCGTGGGCTGGCAGGAGCCCTACTATCATCTCTTCGCCTTTTGAGAATCCAGCGGTGTAAGTCAGGCTGGAACTCATCTTTTCTCACTGCCAGCTCATGACCAGCATTCCCAAGGCCGGCTAAATCAGTCACAACTGGTCCATTTGCTTTCTAACATCCAAAATTGTGCTGTGGTCTTTTCTTCCTTTTCCCGATCCCGTCTCTTTTTTTTTTTTTTTTTTTTTTGTTTTTTGAGACAGGGTCTCACTCTGTCGCCCAGGCTGGAGTTCAGTGGCACAATCAGGGCTCACGGCAGCTTCTACCTCCCAGGCTCAAGTGATCCTCACACCTCAGCCCCCTGAGTAGCTGGAACTACAGGTCTGCCATGCCTGGCTGATTTTTTGTATTTTTTCAGTAGAGACAGGGTTTCGCCATGTTGCCCAGGCTAGTCTCAAACTCCTGGACTCAAGCGATCTGCCCACCTTGGCCTCCCAAAGTGCTAGGATTACAGGCATAAGCCACAGTGCCTGGCTACATCTTTTCCCAAACATTTCTTCATTATAGTTTCAGGAGGATTTCAGGAAAAAAAAGTGAAATTAGATGCATGCATTCAATCTTCAATGTTTGTCTGGAAGTCTATACAAGTAGCATTGACAGAAGATTGCTGAAAGCTTTATGGTACATTCATTCCTTTGGAGTCTAAGCCATTGGTTCCAACCTCCCCAGGAAGTCTCCAGTGTTATGGAAAAGGGTTTGTGAACAGGAATGTACTTGGACAGAAAATGTTCTTCCCTTCAAAAATGTATCTTAAGGCCAGGTGAGGTGGCTCACGCCTGTAATCCCAGCACTTTGGGAGGCCGAGGCAGGCGATTGCCTGAGGTCAGGAGTTGGCGACCAGCCTGGCCAACATGGCGAAACTCTGTCTCTACTAAAAATACAAAATTAGCTGGGCTTGGTGGCTTGTGCCTGTATCCCAGCTACTTAAGAGGCTGAGGCAGGAGAATTGTTTGAACCTGGGAGGTGGAGGTTGCAGTAAGCCGAGATTGTGCCACTGCACTCTTGCCTGGGTGACAGAGCAAGACTCCGTCTCAAAAATAAATAAATAAATACACAAATAATAAGAAAAAAATTATCTTAAGAAAATGATCATGGAATGCATGCATTTAGCTATGTGGATGTTCATCACAGTGTTGTTTATAATAAAAAATTAAAACAAGCCAGGCACGGTGGCTCATGCCTGTAATTCCAGGACTTTGGGAGGCTGCGGTGGGCGGGTCACTTGAGGTCAGTAGTTCAAGAGCCTGGCAAACATGGTGAAACCCTGTCTCGCGTGTGACAGTCTCTACTAAAAATACAAAAATTAGCCAGGCATGGTGGTTCATGCCTGTAGTCCCAGCTATTCAGGAAGCTGAATCAGGAGAATGGCTTGAACCTCAGGAGGTGAAGGCTGCAGTGAGCCAAGATTGCACCACTGCACTCCAGCCTTGGTGACGGAATGAGACTCCATTTCAAGAAAAAATAAAAAATAAAAATAAAAGAAAGAAGGAAAAAAAATATGTAATTGACTGAATCCCTCTCTTCGCGGGTTTTCACGAAACCCAAAACCAATGGTGAAGATCTGGCAACCTTGTCATCTGTTAGTGCTTCTATGATTGTGCTCTTCATCGGGTCATGATTTTCTGCGATTATTTCTATTTTCCCCATCCTGTGGTCCTCTCTGCAAGCCCCTCTCTTTTATTACCATTTCAATTTTCATTTTCTGTAGCCTCAAATCTTTGGTGATGAAGAGGAGTACATATAAACAAAACCCAAACAAATAATAATGAAAATCTTTATCTGGAGTTGGCACACCATCACTATGTTGACTCAGAATGTGTTCGGTACATTTTGTGGCACTCAAGTCCACGTCACTGGTCCCACCCAGCTGTTGCACCACCGGCAGGCATTTTTGACACAAACATCTAGCAGTGGGGCATTTCTCGACCTGATGGATCATGGTCTGCGCAGGGTAAACAGGTTGTAGTGGCAAGCCTGAGGACCCGAGGACCTGCTGTCCTGGCTATCACTCAGAACTGGTTCTGCCTATGCAGGAGACAGGAGAAGAGGGAAACTGAGGGGGTTATGTTCGTGCTGAGACAAGGCATGGTGGGACAAGGAACGAGAGGTGATGACTTGGCAGCTGTGCCTCGGCTTGGCTGTTCTTTCCCTGGCTGGCCTTGAGTTACTGTTCTTGTACCCAGATCAGTTAACACATGGACCTGGTACCCCTATATTCCATCAGGCCTCTTTCTCCCAAATCCTAAACCCCCTGGGGTAAGGGGAAGAGCACCTGGCTTTTTACTTAGGACGGTGTTTTCTCCCAGTAGTTAAGTGTTGAGGCTCTTTGTGGTATGGGTCTGGTCTTAGGAGCAAAGTCCTCTCTTTGCTCCCAAGCAGGAGACAGTGTACTGAGCATGGACTTTGGAGTTAGATAGACCTGGAATTGGCCCAGGGCAAGACCTTGGGCAAGAATCTCTCTGAACTCCAGTTTCTCTGTAAATAAAATGAGGATAACAATTCCTACCTTAGAGTATTGACTTGAGCGTTACAGATAAGAAAGGTAAATACTGGGCACAAGGTAGGTCCATAGAGAGCTCATTGTCATTAAATCTTTTCAAACCCAACTGGGCCAGATTCTGGAAGGCAGAGAGCCTTGTGGGCGTGCCCAGGCTGCTTCCCACCCCAACGCGCTAGCCACACTGAGCCCTGCATCATTTCCCCAACCCAC
Organism: Homo sapiens; assembly: GCF_000001405.40. NCBI lineage: Eukaryota > Metazoa > Chordata > Mammalia > Primates > Hominidae > Homo > Homo sapiens. The sequence goes on along the minus strand of NC_000011.10, from coordinate 116,808,230 downwards.
TAGATGAGGGTTTGTGTCTTATTCTCTCCAAGATGTGGCAGGGTGCCTGGCACACAATATGTGTCCCACCTCTCTGAGTCCCAACCAGGTTGGCCTCAGTGCCAATTGCTGCCTTCATCAGCTTTAGAGATGTGCGATGCATCATTGATCTCTCTTCTGAACCCGCCATGCCTCACACTTCTGTCAGCCCTGGTCATAGCCCAAAACATAAGGCTCTCTAGCAAGGTCACGGCCTCCCACCCCACTCTTCTTCCTGCATTGTTCTTTGCTTATTCTCTCTATCCAACATCCCGAGAACTATTCCCTCCCAGTTTTCCCACTGCCTCTGGAACACACTCCTCTGCATCTTCAGCCTTCCTAGGTGCCTCCTTCCACTTCCTGTCCTCAACTGGGCTTGGCCTTGGCTCAGGCTGCCCTGCTCCCTGGCTTCCCCTCGGTCCTCCTGCATGGAGGCTGCTGACTCTCAGGTGGGGATGCTGTTCTTTCCATATCAAGTTTGCTGACTTGTTCTTATATTTTTTTTCTGTGATTCCATCAGTTTGAGGAAATGGTATTAAAATCTCCTACCAAATTTGTCAAGTTCTCTTTGGGACTCAGTGGCTTTTTGCTTTACGTATTTTGAGACTATGTTGTCAGGTTCAGAATTGTTTTATCTTCCCAGTGAATTTATTCTTCTTCTTCTTTTTTCTTTTTTTTTGAGACAGAGTCTTATTCTGTCACCCAGGCTGGAGTGCAGTGGTGCGATCTCAGTTCACTGCAACCTCTGCCTCCCCGGTTCAAATGATTTTCCTGCCTCAGCCTCCTGAGTAGCTGGGACTACAGGCATGCACCACCACACCCGGATAATTTTTTGTATTTTTAGTAGAGACAGGGTTTCACCACTTTGGTCAGGCTGGTCTCAAACTCCTGACCTTGTGATCCATCCCCCTGCCCCGGCCTCCCAAAGCGCTGGGATTACAGGTGTGAGCCACCACGCCCAGCCAAATTTCTTCTTTGATCATTAAATAATGATCTGCTTTATCCCTATCAATCCTATCTATCCCTATCAATCCAAATAAGCAAAGCTTATTTGTTCTGATGTTACATTGCATACCTGCTTTCTTTTGATTACTATTGGTCTGGTATGTCTTCTTAAATTCCTTCCCTGGCTCCACTTTTTAACCTTTCTCTGACATTATATTTTAGGTATGCCTCTTATAAATTGCAAATAAGTAGAGTTTTTATAAAATCCAATCTGAAAACAACAACAATAGTAAACTGATGTAGCACCTACTGTGTCAAGCATGTTTGTGTGCTTTTTAACCTACAGTAATAAAGCATTATTTCCCACAAGCCCTATGAGGCAAGTATTATCATTATTCCCCTTTTACAGAGTTTGAGGCTGGGTGCAGTGGCTCATGCCTGTAATCCCAGCACTTTGGGAGGCCAAGGCGGGAGGATCACTTGAGCTCAGGAGTCTGAGACCAGCCTAGGCAATATAGTGAGACCCAATCGCTACAAAAAATTTAAAAATTAGCTTGGCAGGGTGGCACATGTCTGTGTTCCCAGGGACTCAGGAGACTGAGGTGAGAGGATCGCGTGGGCCCAGGAGGTGGAGGCTGCAGTAAGTTGTGATTGGTGATTGCACCACTGCACCCAGCCTGAGTGACAGAGTGAGACTCTGTCTCAAAAAAAAAAACGAAAGAAAGAAAACAAAAGAAAGAAATGGAATCACAGAGAAGTTAATTTGCCAAAGGTCACAGAACCAATAAGTGGCAGGACTTCGACCCAGCGGACTAGTCCCAGAGACAATGCCTTGTGGGCTCACTTAATCTATTTAATTTGATAGTGATTACTGTTTTATTTATGTCATATTATTTTGTATTTTCATTTTACTATGATATTTCTTTGCTTCTTGTATCTTCCTGCTTGCTTCTCTGTTGGTTTTGTGTTCCTTTAAAGACTAATTTCACACCTTTTAAAAAATTCAGTTAAAAAGTTCAAACTGCACATAAAGAGTCAAACAGAGCCAGGTGTGGTGACTTATGTCTGTAACCCCAGCACTTTGGGAGGTCGAGACAGGGGGATCACTTGAGGCCAGGGGTTTGAGAGCAGCCCGGGCTACATAGCAAGGCTTCATCTCTCCAAAAAATTGTTTTTTAAAAAAGAGTCAAACAGATCTACAAGTTAGTTTAAAATAGCAGCAGTATCTCAACCCCCACCTCTATTTTTCACTCTACAAAAACAACTACTGTCAACTGTTTTTTTGTTTCGTTTTGTTTTGTTTTTTTTTGAGACAGAGTCTCACTCTGTCACCCAGCCTGGAGTGCAGTGGTACAATCTTAGCTCACTGCAACCTCTGCCTCTCAGGTTCAAGCGATTCTTCTGCCTCAGCCTCCCATGTAGCTAGGATTACAGGCATGTGCCACCATGCCCGGCTAATTTTTGTATTTTAAGTAGAGACAGGGTTTTACCATGTTGGCCAGGTTGGTCTCGAACTCCTGACCTCAGGTGATCCACCCTCCTCGGCCTCCCAAAGTGCTAGGATTATAGGCCACCGTGCCCGTCTGACATTGCCTCTTTAGAAAGAAGTGCAGTTCATCTTCACTGATGAGGGAGCTTTTCTTCATAGAATAACATCAGCTGAAATATATAAAAGAAATAGTAGAATTAGAACATTCTCATTCTGCAACTCTTCTAATGTAATAATTAATTCAGGCAAAAATCTTGAATGTATGCTATGTTCATCAGGTTGCCAAGGTATTTTAAGATGCCAAAGTATCCCAATTCTGTTACTTGTTAATTACAAAGGGAAATAACCTATCTTTCCAACCAAGAGGTCTGCTAGTGACCACCTCACGAAGTGAAAAAACTAAGGATTGCTATTAGTGGGACAAGTAGCCATTGTGTACCTCCTGATATGACATCATGTGAACTTCTCACTTCACCTTTAAGTATTCTTAGCCAGGCACAGTGGCACATGCTTGAAATCCCAGCACTTTGGGAGGCTGAGGCAGGGGGATCGCTTGAGGCCAGGATTTCAAGACCAGCCTGAGCAACATGTCAAGACCCCCACCTCTACAAAAAATTAAAAAGTTAGCCAGGTGTGGTGGTCATGCCTGTAGCCCCAGCTACTTAGGAGGCTGAGGTGGGAGGATCACTTGAGCCCAGGAGTTTGAGGCTGCAGTGAGCTATGATCACACCACTGCACTCCAGCTGGATGACAGAGCAAGACCCTGTCTCAAAAAACAAAACAAAACAAAAAACACCGAAAAAACCCCACAGTAAATTAGAAGAAAGCTGCATAAATTAGAAGAAGCTGATGTGAAATCCTGAGTCCATGGTTCAATTTAGGAGGGACCATCTGGAGAGCAGGGAACCCCCAAAAGTCAGTTTCTTTAGGCCTATTTCCTTGGGCCAGCCAAATTTCTCAGGGAGAATGTTGTTCCATTTTCAATATGGGGAAAGATGGTGAACTGAGGAGTCTTTTAAAAAAATTTATTTTTGAGATGGGGTCTCATTCTGTCGCCCAGGCTAGAGAGCAGTAGCATGATCATGGCTCACTGCGGTCTCTAACTCGTGGGCTCAAGTAATCCTTCTGCCTCAGCCTCCTGAGTAGCTAGGACCACAGGTGCCACCATACCTGGCTAATTTTTGTATTCTTTGCAGAGACTGGGTCTCGCTACATTGCCCAGGCTGGTATCGAACTCCTGGGCTCAAGCGATCCTCCTGCCTTGCCTTCTCAAAGTGTTGGGATTACAGGCATGAGCCACTGTGCCCAGCCTCAAAATTTAATGTATAAAGTTTTCCTTAATTTTTCTTAGCACAAAAACCCTGGCCCCCAACAATACCTAGTTTTCTCCAGGCCGGAGTCCCACTCTTTTACCCTTTTCAGAGAGAATAAGCATCTGGTTTTCTGCTGCTTTGGGGGTACCCAGCCAAGTAGAGTTGAAGAGAACAGCTGCTTCTCAAACAGACTCTCGACCAACTGCCATATTTCTAGTCCCACTGCCACCCACTCTTCCAGAAGAATGTTGACACTAATGTCAGAGCATTTGGAGAGTTTAGTAGTGAAAATCAGGGGCCTTCTTGGCTTTCTCCACTGCTGCTTCAAAATTCATGTCAGGTGTGCCTGTCACCACCGTTTGATCATTTGGAAGCTTTCCAGCTTCCCAAATGTTGTTATTTTTGTCTCCTTTTCTATTTTCCCTTTGGGTTTATGCATTTTGTAAAAAGTGCACTTCAATGCCACGTTATTGAGATTTCAGAGAACAGCAGAGGCTAATGCATGCAATTAATCCACCGTCCGTTACTAGAAGTCAATCGGATGCTCTTTAGTCTCTCTTCCCCATATACTAGTTTAAAAGTTATCCATTCTTTCTATTCGTTTTATGGGTTATCCTTAAAATTTTAATATTCTTGTCTGACCTAACAAAGTCTATAGATAATCAATATCCCTATCTTCCTCCCGAATAATGCAAAGGCTGCTGAATGCTTTCACTTTGATCTCTCCTTTCCCATTTCCAGGTTGCTTCGGTCTGATATTTTAGTTCCTCATTACTTTTAACACCTCCTCCAAAGTAGTCCCTTCATCAATAGATGTTTTTGAGCCCTCCCTACCATGTGATAAGCACTGGTCTAGGCACTGGGAGTACAGTAGGAAATGAGATAAACTTGGCCAGGTGTAGGGTGGCTTACACCTGTAATCCCAACACTTTTGAGGCCGAGGCGGGCAGCTCGCTTGAGCCCATGAGTTCGAGACCAGCCTGGGAAACATAGCGAGACCCCCGTCCCTACAAAAAAATATAAAAATTAGCTGGGCATGGTGGTGTATGCCTGTGGTCCTAGCTACTCAGAAGACTGAGGTGGGAGGATCATCTGAGCCCAGGGTGGTCGAGGCTGCAGTGATTACACCACTGCACTCCATCCTGGGCAACGGTGAGACCCTGTCTCAAAAAACAAACAAACAAACAAGCAAACAAAACCCCCACAAACTAAACTATGTGTAAATACATTTTTGTTAGGTAGAACTATATGAAATTGCCACTATTTGACCAATTTTTAGTGAAAACTAGTCTCATAAGTGTGTGTGTGTGTATTTTCACTAATGTTTTTTGGATTTACCTAAACGTTTACTAATTTCATTGCTCCCCATGTCTCCTTCTATCCTATTCCTTTTTTCTGGGTTCTGTTTCCTTTTCAGATTTTTAGTAGTTCTTTTCAGTGAGGATCTGTGAGTGGTAAACTCTCTTTCTCTGAAATTAACTTCTTCCTCTCAAATAATAGTTCACCTGAGTATAAGTCTTGGTTGGCCATTAATTTCCTTTCAGTCTTTAGAAGGTACATTGATGATAAATCAGTTGCCGGTTTAATCATGCTTCGTGTGTAGATCATTAGTCTTTCTCTTTGGTTGATTTTAAGATATCCATTGCCTTCAGTGTTCTGCAGATTCCTGCGATGTGTCCTCATTTGGTTGTGTGTTAATTTTTCCTACCAAGACTCAGGATGCTTCCTGTACCTGAGGATTCCGGTCACATCTTGCTTCAATGTTTGAAATTTCTCAGCCATCATCTTTTGAATATTGCCTCTTCCACAGTCCCTGTGTTCTCTTCGTGGAAATCCTACAGGCATATATTGGACCTCCCATTCTGTCCTCCATGTCTCTTACCGTCTATTCATACCCTCCTTTTTATATTTAATTTTTTTGAGACAGAGTTTTGCTCTGTGGCCCAGGACGGAGTGCAATTGCATGATCTTGGCTCACGGCAAACTCTGCCTCCCAGGTTCAAGCTATTCTCCTGCCTCAGTCTCCCAAGTAGCTGGGATTACAGGCATGCACCACCACGCCCGGCTAATTTTTGTATTTTTAGTAGAGACGGGGTTTCACCATATTGGCCAGGCTGGTCTGAAACTCCTGACCTCAGGTGATCCACCCACCTCGGCCTCCCAAAGTGCTGGGATTATAGGCATGAGCCACCATGCCTGGCCAATATCACCCGCCTCGGCCTCCCAAAGTGCTGGGATTACAGGCATGAGCCACCGTGCCTGGTCAATATCCTCCTTTTTATTTCTGTGATTCTTTCTGTGTGATTTTCTCAGATCTACCTTCTAGCTTACTAATTCTCTCTCCAACTGTAGCTAAATGTGTTTTATATTATAATGACTATATTTTTTTCACTTATAGATGTTCTATTTAATTCTCTTTCTTTTTGACAAATAGAACTTATTTCAAAACAAACAAAAGGCCAGGCATGGTGGTTCATGCCTGTAATCCCAGTGCTTTGGGAGGCTGAGGCAGGAGGATTGCTTGAGCCCAGGAGTTCAAGGCCAGCCTGGGCAACATAGTGAGATCCTTTCTCTACCAAAAAAATAAAAAATCAGCTGGGTGTTGTGGGACACTCCTGTAGTCCCAGAAACTACAGATTCTTGGGAGGCAGAGGCTGGAGGATTGCTTGAGGCAGAGGCTGGAGGATTGCTTGAGCCTGGGAGGTTGAGGCTGCAGTGAACTGTGATCATGCCACTGCACTCTAGCCTGGGTGACAAAGTGAGATCCTGTCTCAAAAACAAATAAACAAACAAGCAAAGAAACAAAAAAATGCTTACACAGGTTACTACTTTCTTGCTGGGATAGTTTTAACACTGCGTTAAGCATAAACACCTTTCTTTCTGAAATGTATTTGAGATGTATATTGATTTTTAAAAAACCCACACCTCCATTAAGGTCTGGTGATAGCAGTAGAAACAATGTAGAGTGGCTCCACAATCATATAGATGTTTTTGGTGCGTTCTGAGATGGAGTCCAGGAACACCAAGTAAAGACTGCTACCTCACAGTTTACATCTGAGTTCTTAGAAGACAAGACTGAAGGAGAACAATTTGTAACAAGATTTACTTGGCCCGGGTGTGGTGGCTCACACCTGTAATCCCAGTACTTTGGGAGCTTTGGGAGTCCGAAGTGGGTGGATCACCTGAGGTCAGGAGTTCAAGACCAGCCTGGCCAACATGGAATAACCCCCATCTCTACTAAAAATACAAAAATTAGCCAGGCACGGTGGCACACGCCTGTAATCCCAGCTACTCAGGAGGCTGAGGCAGGAGAATCGCTTGAACCCAAGTGACTGGGTTGCCGAGAGCCGAGATCACAGCACTGTACTCCAGCCACCCTGGGTGACAGAGTGAGACTCTGCCAAAAAAAAAAAAAAAAAAAAAAAAATACTTACTGTTCAGAAGGAGAAGTCATAATGTTGCTTTAAAGAACAGGTCACAAAAGAAAGACTCTAGAAGATCTTCTCACTTGGTGCATATCAAGTGTCTATTTGAGACCCATACACTTGCTTAATCCATGTGTTTAAGGCAAAAGTGCTGCTGCTGAGCAGTAAGGAATAAGGTACCTGCTAACCTTTACCAATCTACATTTTAAAATCCTTCTTACTACACATCCAGAATGAGTCAGCAATTCTTGTGTATTAAAAAACAAAAACACAAAACAAAATAGAGGGGCAACTCTCTTAAAAATGCAGCTATCCGCAAACACTGTGATACAAAACGACAGTCAAGGAAAGGGCAGCACAAACAAGTTCACCTGGAAGGAATCTGTTCAAAGTCTCTGGATTTAAGAACAAGTTCCCTAAAAGCTCTTACTTACAGAAGAAATCGGATAATAAATGTAGCTGGAATGATGGAATTCTTTAAGTTTTCATTTTGTTTTGGGCAACTCTGTGGCCCAGGCTGGAGTGCAGTGGCTTGATCACGGCTCACTGCAGCCTCAACCTCCCAGGCTCTGGTGATCCTCCCACCTCAGCCTCCTGAGTGGCTGGGACTACAAGCATGTGTGCCACCATGCTAGGCTAATTTTTGTATTTTATTTTTAGTTTTTTTTTTTTTTTTTTTTTTTTTTTTGTAGAGACAGGTTTTGCCATGTTGCCAAGGCTGGTCTCAAATTCCTGGGTTCAAGTGATCCTCTCATCTCAGCCTTCCAAAGAGCTGGGATTACAGGCATGAGCTACTGCACCTGGCCTAGAATTTTTTAAAAATCACTATCTGGCAACTCTCAGGATAATATTCGATTCAGGCAAGGATCATCAATGAATGCTAAAACCATTGGGTGAAAAATTGTTGCAGAATGGGATGCTCACATGGCTTCAAAGTATTGCTCCACAAATTACTTATCAATAACGTAAAAAACCAAACTTTACTAGCCATGGAGAAATCTGGTTGTTATCACTTTAACGGAGTGATCAAACTTAACATCACTAAATAGAGTGCAACCTCCAGCTAGGATACAGTAAGAATGGCCAGATATCACCTAGTATTTTTGCCAAAAATGTTTAACCTTAATCTAATCATGAGAAAGTAATCACTCAAATCCAGAATGTGGGACATTTTACAAGATGTCCTCCTTGCACTCTTCCAAAAAAAAATCAATGTCATGAAAACAAACAAATGGTGGGGTTGGGGAGAACGGTTCTAAATTTAAAAACTAAAGTGGGATAACAACCAGATGAGATGTGTTAGAGCTTGAATTTACAGAGAGAGAAAAACAACTATGAAAGCATTTTGGGGAAAATCTGAATATGTAGGATATGTTAGATGATATTAAGGAATTGTGTTAATTTTCAAAGGTATGATAATGTTTTTTTCTTTTGTAAAAGAGTCCTTATTTTTCACAATGTATGTTGAAGTATTCAGAGTGAAGTGTCATGTTGGCTATAATTATTTCAAATGGTTCCACACACAAAGCACATACCACATACACATATACATATACCTCCAACCAACTCAAAACATGTTCAACACTGAAACTATAAGATGCCACCAAACAGGGAAGCATGAGTGTGTGTTGCATCTACCCATTGTATCAATCCAGGTTCAGTCAGAAAAACAAAAGCCATTCCACGTATTTCAAGTATGAAAGGCTTTAAAACAAAAAATTAAAGGTTTATCCAACTCTTGGAAGGGCTGGAGGAGTGACCACCTTGGTTTGCAGTTCAGAAGGAGTGACTCTCAAACGCTCATTAGTAAGTGGCTACAAATGGGAAGCTCGCCTTATTATGCCTGCAATATCAATGCATGTGATTCCTGGGAAGGTCACCCAGAAGCTGCTTTAAACTCCAAGCCTGTCCATGCTTCTGTCTGCAACCGGCATTGAAACATAATGGCCTCTCCTCTTCCGTCTCACGCTGGCTGACTCTAACCTAGGCTCATATAGAGAAGGGATTCTAGAAAATGTATTAATAGTTCCAAGTGTCCCCTCTGCATCTCATAAAAGACCTTAGAAAGGGCACTGATAATGCTATTTGCAAAAAGACAATCCAGCGCAGTTGTATTTTACAGCACAGGCTCTTTAAGTTTGGGTTATCAGCAAAAAACCATTAGAGTATGAGAAATTCCTTTTTAAATTGTGGCAAAATATACATAACATAAAAATTACCATTGTAGCTATTGTACATTGTAGCTAAGTATATAGCCCAGTAGCACTAAATACATTTACACTGTTGTGCACCACTATCTAGCTCCAGAAACTTTTAATCTTCCCAAACAGAAACTTGTACCTATTAACCAATACCTTCTCCTTCCTCACTTCTCCTAGAAACCAGAATTATACTTTCTGTCTCTACAAATCTGACTATTCTGGATACCTCAGAATCACAGTATGTGTCGTTCTACGACTGGCTTGTTTCACTTAGCATCATGTCTTCAAGGGTCATCCACGTTATAGCATGTGTCAGATTTCCTTTTCTTTTCTTTTCTTTTTTTTTTTTTTTGAGACACAGTCTCGCTCTGTCACCCAGGCTGGAGGGCAGTAGCACAATCTCAGTTCACTGCAGCCTCTGCCTTCCAGGTTCAAGCAATTCTCGTGCCTCAGCCTCCCAAGTAGCTGGAATGACAGGCATGCACCACCACACCTGGCTAATTTTTGTATTTTTAGTAGAGACGGGGTTTTACCATATTGGCCAGGCTGGTCTTGCACTTCCGGCCTCAAGTGATCTGCCCGTCTCGGCCTCCCAAAGTGCTGGGATTACAGGCGTGAGCCACTATGCCTGGCCCCCGATTGTCATTATTTAAGGCTAAGTGATATTTTGTTGTCTGTATATACCACATTTTGTTTATTCATTCATCTGTCAATGGACATTTGGGTTGTTTCCACCCCCTGGTTATTGTGGATAATACTACTAGGAACACGAGCATACAAATATCTGCTCCAGTCCCTGCTTTTATCTTTTGGATATATGCCCAGAGGTGGAATTGCTGGGTCATAAGGTAATTCTAGATTAAATTTTTTGAGGGACTGCCGTATTGTTCTCCACCATAGCTGCACCATTTTACCTTTCCAGCAGCAGCGTACAAGCGGTCCAGCTTCTCCACATCTTCACCCACACTTGCTATTTTTGGCTTTTATTTTATTTTTTAAAATAACATTCTAATGGGTGTTAAGTGGTCAGAAATGGTTCTTTTAGGAGTAGAGATAGAGGCCAGGGGGATGGCTCACACCTGTAATCCCAGCACTTTGGGAGGCCTAGGTGGGCGGATCACTTGGGGTCAGGAGTTTGAGATCAGCCTGGCCAACATGGTGAAACTCCATCTCTATTAAAAATACAAAAATTCGCTGGGTGTGGTGGTGTGCACTCCCAGCTACTTGGGAGGCTGAGGGAAGAGAATCGCTTGAACCCGGGAGGCGGTAGTTGCAGTGAGCCGAGATCACACCACTGTATGGCCTGGTGACAGAGCAAGGCTCTGTCTCAAAAAAAAAAAAAAAAAAAAAAGAGTAGAGATAGAAAAGCATTGAAAACACAGCCTCAGCTCAGCTCAGTCTGCCATGGTGGGAAGCCATTAATTCTTCACTCTTGAAACCTTTTCGTCCTTGGTGTGGCAGAGGCTGCAAGTCTCCTCTGCAACTTTATTCTTCCCTTCTTTCTCAGTTATAAAATCCCTGATTTTAGAAATATCTTTATTGAGATATAATTCACATACCATAACATTCACTACAATTGAATGGTTTTTAGTATATTCACAGATTTGTACAACTATCACCACAAACTAAGTTTAGAACTTTTTTCATCATCCCACAAAGAAACCCCACACCCATTAGCAGTTATTCACTATTTCTCCCCAATCAACCTCCCCTCCCCTCAATAGCCCTAGGCAGCCACCAGTCTACTTTCTGTCTCTACCTATTTGTCTTTTCTGGACATTTTATACAAATGAGATTTTACAACATGTAGTCTTTTGTGACTGGCTTTTTTCCCCTAGCATAATGTTTTCCAGGTTCATCTGTGGTGTAGCAGGTATCAGTACTTCAACCCTTTTTATTGCCAAATAATATTCCACTATATGGATAGGTAACATTTTGTTTATCCATTCATCAATTGATGGACATTTGGGTTGTTTCCATTTTCTTGACTGTTATGAATAATGTTGCCATGAACATTAATGCACAAGTTTTTGTGCAGATGTGTATTTTCATGTGTCTTGGTTTTATACCTAGGAGTAGAATTGCTGAGTCATAGGAGAACTCCTCCATGTTTAACCATTAATGAACTGCCGAACTGTTTTCCAAAGAAATTGCACCATTGTACAATCCCACCAGCAATGTATGAGGGTAGAATCCCTGATTTTTAACTGATCATTGAGCTCAGGCCCATTCAAAACAAAGATGACATTTCCTAACCTTCCTTACAAGTAGTTCTGACCAGTGAGATGGGAGAAGAAGTTAGGTTTTGTCCTTAAAAGAAAGGAGAGTGGCTGGGTGCAGTGGCTCACGCCTGTAATCCCAGCACTTTGGGAGGCCGAGGTGGGCGGATCACCTGAGGCCGGGAGTTCAAGACTAGCCTGACCAACATGGAGAAACCTCGTCTCTACTAAAAATACAAAATTAGCTGGGCGTTGTGGCGCATGCCTGTAATCCCAGCTACTCAGGAGGCTGAGGCAGGAGAATCGCTTGAACCTGGGAGGTGGAGGTTGTGATGAGCCGAGATTGTGCCATCGCACTCTAGCCTGGGCAAGAAGAGCGAAACTCCATCTCAAAAAAAAAAAGAAAGAAAGGAGAGTACATTCTACACTCTCCTCTCCTCCACCCTGCCCCCTTTCCAGTGGCTGGATGTGGACATGGTGGTAAGCTATCTTAGATCATGTGGACAAGGGAAACACATAGGGATATTAGAACCTCCAGACAGAAGGAACTTAGGACCCTGGACAGCTTTGTGGAGCAGTGCTCCCATACCAGCGTGAAGTTTTGTATGGGAGAAAACATACATTTCCAGCTTTTGTAAGCCACTGTTATTTTGGGTCTCTCTCAGAGCAGCCAAATATATAATTTAACTAATATATTTTCTTTCTGTGATTCTTCTTTATTTTGATTATACTTCTACTTCTCTGCCCCTCTTTTAGGTGGGAGGTGCTGCTCCAAGCACTAACTCAGAATATAGACCCTCTCCCTCTTGTAATAGTGCCAGCTTGGAGTTCTTTGCTTCCACTGTAGGGGAAGGAAGGAAAAAATATGGAGAACTCACATCCACTCTTCATTGTCCTCAAACAGAAGTAACCCATTTTGTTCTGCTCACAGCCCATTGGCCAGAACTAACTGTATGGCCCCAATCTAATTGCAAAGGAGTCTGGGAAGTACAGCACAGCACATGGATCTTTGGAAAGCGTTAATTTTCTCTGCCAAAGGCTTCTTTTGTTGTTGTTGTTGTTTGAAATGGAGTCCCGCTCCGTCACCCGGGCTGGAGTGCAGTGGCCCTATCTCAGCTCACTGCAACCTCCACCTCCCAGGTTCAAGCACTCCTCCAGCCTTGGCCTCCCAAGTAGCTAGGATTACAGGCGTGTGCCATCATACCTGGCTATTTTTTTTGTATTTTTAGTAGAGACAGGGTTTTACCGTGTTGGCCAGGCTGGTCTCAAACTCTTGGCTTCAAGTGATCCGCCTGCTTCGGTCTCCCAAAGTGTTGGGATTACAGGCGTGAGCCACTGTACCCGGCCAATACTGGTGTTTTCTGACCTCAGCGTTTTTCTTTTCTCCTGCCATGTACTCTCCCTAGAGATTTCATCTACTCCCAAGTCTTCCACTGCTCCTATCTGCTGATGACTCCCAAAACTCAGTCTCCAGCCGAGACTTCTCTCCTGGGCTTGAGACATATGTATCCAACTGCCAGAACATCTCCAGTGGACAGCCTTTGGGCACAAGGCCACACTAGCTTGTGGGTACAAGTAATCACCCAAAGTCAATTTCAGTGGCTCTCCACTCCCACATTTTTTCAACCCCTGGAAATGTTCCCTTCCCAAATACTCTGAGTCTCTCTTCTCTTTTCATGACTGTGGTTTTGTGACTGGATGGTAGCTCCTGTTGCTTTTTTTCCTTTCAAATGAATTTTCTCTTAGGAGGCTTCTTAGCCATTAAGCAAATAGACCTCAACTGGGCTTGCCCTATGCCTATCTGAAACCCAGCTTAGGTTCGAGTTAGGACTCCTGTTAATCTGAGCTCTCACTTCCTGTCCCAACCTGCTTATTTTTTTTGGTGAAAGAAAATATCATCCCCCTAGTTGCTCAGAAACCTGGGAATCATTGGGATTTTTTCCTCTCCTTCACCTTCCTCATCCAATCAGTCACCAAGTGCTATCAACTCTGCTGCCTTAGTAGCCCTCAATATATACTTACCTATCAACCATCACTGCTATGCCATACTTCAGGCCTTCATTTCTCACTTGGATTATTAAAATATCCCTAAATAGTTCCTCTGCCTTCTCTCTGGCCACCCTCCTGAGTGATCTCTCCATCATGTACCTTTCAGTGACTGCTTGCACAAGCCCCTTTGTGACTTGGTCATAGTCTGCTCTCTTGAACCACCAGAGCCAAGCACCTGGGTTCTGATTCTGGTTGCAACTCTTACTGCGTGATGATGGACAGGCCACTTGATCTCCTCAAACCTCAGTTCCTAAATCAAATGAATGATTGAATTCAGTCACTTAACTTTGTATGTAGTAGGTAGGCACTGTGCAAAACATACTAGTGGATATAGAGATGAATAAGAAAAAGCCCCTGCACTCAAAGAGCTCTCGGATTCATCAACAAATTATTGTGCAGTTAGATAGTAAGTGCTATAATCCAGGAATATACAGTGTTGTGTGAATAATGTGGAATCAGTTTATCTCCAGAGCAGAAAAAGGTGAAGGCCGAAGAAGGCATTCAGAGTGATACTGGAGCTGTGTAGCAGGGGCTACTACTGTTCCCTCAAATCCTTTCTTCTCTTCTTCCTGAGTAATAGAGTCCTTTTTCAGCTAGGCATACAGCCATCCAAAATAAAAACTATATTTCCCAGCCTCCTTTTCAGCTAAGTGTAGCCATGTGACTAAGTTGTGGCCAATGGGATGTCAGTACAAGTGGTAATGGCAATATCTGGGATGTGTCTTTAAAAGGAAGGAACATGTCCTTCTCCTTTTCCTCCTTCCTGTTCCCTGGGAGGTGAACTTGGTAGCTGGAGGTGAAGCAGCTGGAACTTGGATATGAGCGTCTTGTTGATGATAATAGTGCAACAAGATAAAAGCAGCCCGAGCTGGCCTACATTTACATGAGAAGGAAATAAGACTCCATTTTGTTTAAGCTATTCTCTTGCATATATATATACACATATATATCAGCTAAGTGTAGCCATGTGACTAACTTGTGGCCAATGGGATGTCAGTATGAGTGGTAAGAGCAGTATCTTGTATATATATATGTGTATATATACACACACACATATATATACATATATGTATGCAAGAATATAAAATATACATGTGTGTGTGTATATATATACACACATATATATGTCCCTTGCAGCCAAGTCTAATTCTAACTAATACAAACTAACTCTAAAAAATGAATATATATTCACCAGGGGATAGGCTATTTCAAGCAGAGGGAAGCCTGTATAAAGGCTCAGGGAATGCCGTGGTTTTATGTGGCAGCAGATGAGACTGGAAATGAGTCAGGATGAGCCACAGTGGAGGATGAATTAAATGGGCAGGAGTGTGGTAGAAAGACCTGTTGGAGGCTATGAATGCAATCAAGGTGACAGACAACTGGTGCAATGATGGTAGTGGAAATGGAGGAGAGGGGATTGATTCAAGATGCATTTAGGACCAAGAATCGGGAGCTTGTGAACGTGTGTATGAGTACTGTAGACGGAGTGGGTGTGTCATCAGAGAAGATCTGAGCATTTGGGCTTGCTCTCCTCAGAGGCCCTGCGAGTGGAGTTCAGCTTTTCCTCATGGGGCAAATCTCACTTTCGCTCCAGTTCCTGGGGCTCAGAGTCCCTGGCCCAGATGCCTCTTGCCATCTCATCTTCACCCTGCCTGGCTTCCCTTGCTTGTTCCAGGATTGTTTCATAAAGAGGGATGTGGTTGGTCTTTAACCCTATGAATGCTGGCTGAGGATGCCTGCGGAACCTGTAGTGAAGCTTTCAGGGGCTGCTCGGGTTCTGGCTGGTAGGTGAACACTGTCCATCTTGCCGGCTGGGACACAGTGACTCTGGGTAGTTGTGTAAGAGAGGGGCCCTTGGCAGACAAACAGGTTCTTCTCTGTTGGTGGGCCAGCCAGCAGGTCAGTGGGAAGGTTAAAGGTCATGGGGTTTGGGAGAAACTGGGTGAGGAGTTCAGCCCCATCCCCCGTAAAGCTCCTGGGAAGCACTTCTCTACTGGGGCAGCCCCTGATACCAGGGCACTCATTAACCCTCTGGGTGCCAGGGAAAGGGCAGGAGGTGAGTGCTGGGAGGCAGCTGAGGTCAACTTCTTTTGAACTTCCACGTGGTATTTACTCAGAGCAATTGGTGCCAGAGGCTCAGGGCCCTGGAGTATAAAGCAGAATGTCTGCTCTCTGTGCCCAGACGTGAGCAGGTGAGCAGCTGGGGCAGAGGGATGGGGGTCACAGTCCTAAGGGAGGGCATTGCAGGTGGCCTCAGGGGAGAGCCTGGGGTGGCCCCTAAGACGTCCTCTTGGAACATTTTGGCAGAGTTGCCTCTTCGCCCTCATTATGGCTCAGTTTTTCCACCATGAAATGGGAGGGAGGGAGACAGGTGGGCAGGGGAGAGGTGGTAGAAGTGGCCTAGAGAACTGTTCCTGGGGTCTGGGACCTTTGCGAAGGGGTTAGAGCACCACGCTCCCTGCTATGTGACTGAGGTAGCAAGAGCACGCCCTCTTCCCATGTCTGAGGAAGACACCCTAGCCTCCTTGACTCACCTAGGTCAGTCCTCTTGAGCCCCAACAGCTCTGTGCTCCCCAGCCCAAGGAAGGGGTAACAGGATTTCGGGCAGTTGCCCCTGCAGAGGCCCCCTGGGCAAGTCCCCTGCGCCATGTCCCTTCGTCTCCTTCTTCCCCTAACCAGGCCTCCCTCCACCTGTCTTCTCAGAGCAGGTAATGGCAAGCATGGCTGCCGTGCTCACCTGGGCTCTGGCTCTTCTTTCAGGTGGGTCTCCGACCCTGACTTCAACGTGGGGGTGTGGGTGGAGGCTGGCCAGAGGGCCCTGTCCACCCTGGGGGAGGAGAGCCCAGGCCCTGATTACCTAGTCCCTCTCCACAGCGTTTTCGGCCACCCAGGCACGGAAAGGCTTCTGGGACTACTTCAGCCAGACCAGCGGGGACAAAGGCAGGGTGGAGCAGATCCATCAGCAGAAGATGGCTCGCGAGCCCGCGTGAGTGCCCAGGGGAAGGGGTGTAGGCGAAGGGAGGAGACAGCTGGGCCATGCCATGATGACCTGCCTCTGCTGCCTCAACCTCTGTGGCCGCTGCTGGGACAGAGGAAAGGAGCGGTGCTAGCTCTGTCTGCAGATCCCGGCCATCCTGGGCTCTTTAGCGCCCTCTGCCTGCAGCCCCCGCCTTGACAACTCCGTAGCTGTTGCCCCCTTGCTCACTGAGGCGCGGGACCTGGGATCAATCGGGAGGACGCCCGCTGCAGTCCCCAGAATCAAAGGATGATGTGGCGCATCTATGTTTCTTTGGAGAGTGTTGTAGGTCTGGATTTGTATGGGCAATGTGTTTGTGCTTCGTGCGTGAGTTGTTACTGGCCAGGGCTAGGACAAGAGCCCTCGACCCTGGGGCCAACGCCCTGCGTCCTTGGTTCCCCCAGAGGATCAGTGCGCGATGACTTGGGGACAAAGGAGATGATGGAGGCTAGCAGTCTGACGGCCTGGATATCTGTCCCCTTCTCCAGGACCCTGAAAGACAGCCTTGAGCAAGACCTCAACAATATGAACAAGTTCCTGGAAAAGCTGAGGCCTCTGAGTGGGAGCGAGGCTCCTCGGCTCCCACAGGACCCGGTGGGCATGCGGCGGCAGCTGCAGGAGGAGTTGGAGGAGGTGAAGGCTCGCCTCCAGCCCTACATGGCAGAGGCGCACGAGCTGGTGGGCTGGAATTTGGAGGGCTTGCGGCAGCAACTGAAGCCCTACACGATGGATCTGATGGAGCAGGTGGCCCTGCGCGTGCAGGAGCTGCAGGAGCAGTTGCGCGTGGTGGGGGAAGACACCAAGGCCCAGTTGCTGGGGGGCGTGGACGAGGCTTGGGCTTTGCTGCAGGGACTGCAGAGCCGCGTGGTGCACCACACCGGCCGCTTCAAAGAGCTCTTCCACCCATACGCCGAGAGCCTGGTGAGCGGCATCGGGCGCCACGTGCAGGAGCTGCACCGCAGTGTGGCTCCGCACGCCCCCGCCAGCCCCGCGCGCCTCAGTCGCTGCGTGCAGGTGCTCTCCCGGAAGCTCACGCTCAAGGCCAAGGCCCTGCACGCACGCATCCAGCAGAACCTGGACCAGCTGCGCGAAGAGCTCAGCAGAGCCTTTGCAGGCACTGGGACTGAGGAAGGGGCCGGCCCGGACCCCCAGATGCTCTCCGAGGAGGTGCGCCAGCGACTTCAGGCTTTCCGCCAGGACACCTACCTGCAGATAGCTGCCTTCACTCGCGCCATCGACCAGGAGACTGAGGAGGTCCAGCAGCAGCTGGCGCCACCTCCACCAGGCCACAGTGCCTTCGCCCCAGAGTTTCAACAAACAGACAGTGGCAAGGTTCTGAGCAAGCTGCAGGCCCGTCTGGATGACCTGTGGGAAGACATCACTCACAGCCTTCATGACCAGGGCCACAGCCATCTGGGGGACCCCTGAGGATCTACCTGCCCAGGCCCATTCCCAGCTCCTTGTCTGGGGAGCCTTGGCTCTGAGCCTCTAGCATGGTTCAGTCCTTGAAAGTGGCCTGTTGGGTGGAGGGTGGAAGGTCCTGTGCAGGACAGGGAGGCCACCAAAGGGGCTGCTGTCTCCTGCACATCCAGCCTCCTGCGACTCCCCAATCTGGATGCATTACATTCACCAGGCTTTGCAAACCCAGCCTCCCAGTGCTCATTTGGGAATGCTCATGAGTTACTCCATTCAAGGGTGAGGGAGTAGGGAGGGAGAGGCACCATGCATGTGGGTGATTATCTGCAAGCCTGTTTGCCGTGATGCTGGAAGCCTGTGCCACTACATCCTGGAGTTTGGCTCTAGTCACTTCTGGCTGCCTGGTGGCCACTGCTACAGCTGGTCCACAGAGAGGAGCACTTGTCTCCCCAGGGCTGCCATGGCAGCTATCAGGGGAATAGAAGGGAGAAAGAGAATATCATGGGGAGAACATGTGATGGTGTGTGAATATCCCTGCTGGCTCTGATGCTGGTGGGTACGAAAGGTGTGGGCTGTGATAGGAGAGGGCAGAGCCCATGTTTCCTGACATAGCTCTACACCTAAATAAGGGACTGAACCCTCCCAACTGTGGGAGCTCCTTAAACCCTCTGGGGAGCATACTGTGTGCTCTCCCCATCTCCAGCCCCTCCCTCTGGGTTCCCAAGTTGAAGCCTAGACTTCTGGCTCAAATGAAATAGATGTTTATGATAGAAGTTTGCCTGGCGTGACTCTCATTTGGACCATGTCTGAAAGCAGTGGCCTCACCACTATCCCCAAAGCACACCCATCACCCACTCCATTCCCTTGCTGCTCTTTCTCATCCACCCACTCCCAGTCCAGGTCTGTCAAAGGGGGTCTGGCTGGGCTCTGCTTCAGGGATCCTGGCTAGACAACGGCTGTCTGTCACACCTGGCAGGAGGGCCTGGGTTACGGGCCCTTCCTCTGCACCTGCACTGTTCACTAGCCTGCTCCCCCACAGGACACTGTGCATGGAATGCAGGCTGTGTCTGGAAGAGCTGTGGCCCTGGTGGACCTAAGATTCCTGAGGTGGGCTGCCTCCTTTGTTCCTGCTGTTCTAGAGTTTGAATGGCCTCTTTTTATGCCGGACTCTCTTCTGGGGACTCCCCTCACTCAGGGGCACCAATGCTCCCTATAGATCCCCTGGGAACTGAAACTGGGGTGTGGTGGAGGACGTGGAAAGGGTAAACACAGCTCCTTGTCTTTGGACTTCCCTGTCCGGCCCCCTTTCCTCCCAGCTCAGCCTACTGTCCCCGGGTTCTCAGCACCTGCCTGCTCCCCAACCCCATAGCACAGACCCCACACATATGTAGGCTCATCATGCCTGCAGGCTGGTCTTCCCTGACACCGTGGATTTTGACAATGTTGGCAACAGAACTGGGTTGTGGACCCAGCACCTGGAGAGAGGAAGTGCTAGAAAGGTAGAAATAATAAAAGGTGTTTTTGTTGTTGTTAGGAAACTGGAAAAGCATAGGTCAAGGGCTATGATGGGGATGAGGAGGTAGGAGTGAAAATGAGGGCTGTGTACTTGAGGCTGGGATTGGGGAAGGTAGTGATGAGGACAGAATAGGGAGTGGGAAGAACAGAAAGGGACAGAGGGATTCAGGGATTGTGAGAGAGGGGAAGAGGCTGAGCCACCCGGAGGGGCGACCTAGCACGCAAGCAGTATGTGGCCCAACACTGGAACCAAGCAGCCCGGCTCCGGGCGCACCTTCTCAGGGATTCCTCAGGGACAAGTCCAGCCCCTTGTCGTCAAGGCTCTTGTAGACCGACGTAGGGACCAATAGAACCCCGTGCGGTGGAGCTATTGTGAAGGAGCAAAAAAGTGCCCTGGTTCTAAGAGGACGTCTTAGGGGAAGTGACGGCTGAGTTGAGGTGGATCCGGCTGGCGATGTAAGGTTCGAGCCATATAAACCCGGGAACCGGGAGCCCTTGACGACATTGTTCCCCGAGTGCCCGGAGTCTGCGGCTTTTTTTGGGGTGGTGGCAGCTGGCGGAAGTGACGGGAGAGGGGTGGGGCCGCGAGAGCGGCGGAAGTAGGAAGCCGAGGTCTGAATTGCGCGTGGTGGCCATGGCGGCCAGCGGGGCTGTGGAACCAGGGCCCCCGGGGGCTGCCGTCGCCCCGTCGCCCGCCCCGGCCCCGCCGCCTGCCCCTGATCACCTGTTCCGGCCCATCAGCGCCGAGGACGAGGAGCAGCAGCCCACCGAGATCGAGTCGCTATGCATGAACTGTTACTGCAATGTGAGGCGGGGGCGCGGCCGCGAGCGGCGGGTGGGTAGGGCTTGTGCCGGGACGAGCCGGGGGTCAGACCCAGCCAGGTGGGCCCGGCCGGGGACCCCGAGGAGCGCCCGGAGATAGTAGGGCGGGGAAAGGGAGTTTCATTGATTTTTTTCCTTAGCTACTTTCTACTTCACCAGGGCATGACGCGCCTCCTGCTCACCAAGATTCCCTTCTTCAGAGAAATAATAGTGAGCTCCTTTTCCTGCGAGCACTGTGGCTGGAACAACACGGAGATCCAGTCGGCAGGCAGGATCCAGGACCAGGGAGTGCGCTACACTTTGTCTGTCAGGGCTCTGGAGGTGAGAGGACCTCAGAGCAGGTACCTCAGTATTCTAGAGAGAGATTCGGTACTGGGGTCAGAGCTCTGGTCCAGGCGGTCGGATCTTAAATAAATCCCCCTATGTCTCCTAGCCTTAGTTTCTTTTGTAAAATGGTACTGGTGTTGTCATCAGCTCAAGTGAGATAAGATTTGTGAAAATGCTTTGTAAATGTTGTCTGAGGGTATGAAATGAGCAGTAGTTGTTATGAATAGTATTCTCACCATTTGGACAGCCTGGCTCACACCACCTGTACTATTCGAAAGGAGCAGTCTGGACCCTGTGGAGTGGCGAGAGGGAGAGACAGCTGGGCTGCGGTCTGATGGAAGGGGACGGTCTGGTTATTACTTGAGGAGAAGCTGTTCTGCAGTCTCTTTGTACTGAACGTATTCTTTTCTTCCCAGGACATGAACAGAGAAGTGGTGAAGACTGACTCTGCTGCCACAAGGATTCCTGAGCTAGATTTTGAAATTCCTGCCTTTAGCCAGAAAGGAGGTAAGTTTAAGATCAGAGTATTTGGGCTGTTCGCATGTAGCTAGAATCTTACCCTCTTTCTTGCAAAACCCCCTGGTGCCAGGTCTAGTGGTTTGTGTATGGGTTCTACCATGTAATCATTGTGATCTTCATTAGTTAATCATGAGTGGAAAGCTTAGGTAAAACAGCTCGAGATGGTAGAAAGTAATGGTAATACCATAGTGTGTTTATTGTAGAATTTTAGCATCACTATTATCAGACATGAATGGAACCTTGCACCTGGCCTTCTCATTTTACAGATGAGGAAATTAAGACCCAGAGAGTTCAAGTGAATTGCCCAGGGTCATACAGGGACTTGATAGCAGAGCTGAGGCTAAGTCACACTTGTCTTTTGTTCTTGTTCACAAGCTCTGACCACTGTTGAAGGATTGATCACCCGTGCTATCTCTGGCCTGGAGCAGGACCAGCCTGCACGAAGGGTAAGCTGGGGTTTTCTGATTGTAGCAGCTCAAGGAATAATTGCTTATATAGAGTGTCCCATGTGTCTGAAGAGTCTCTGACTAAGTGTTGGAAACTTGCTGGGTAAGCATATGGTGGTGCTGGAGCTGCTAGAATGTTGCATATGTTATAATTATTGTCTTTTCCACTTCCCTCCCTCAGTATATATTCAGGCCTCATCAGACAATATAACATTACCTCTGAAGAGCCTTTCCTAATCCCCTTGGGTTATCTGTGTTTCCTGAGTATTCCACTGCATCTTATATTTATTATGACAGAAGTAATATATTATAGCTGCATCTTTAGTTATTTGTCTCCTTAATTGGTTGGGGAGTCCCATGAGAGGACTGATATATATACTATTATATCTCTAACGTGGCATGAGTGCCTGGGCTAAATGGTTGAATGAGTGAGAAAAAGGAGGCTCACCTGTCACCACCCGTCAACTTCAGGCTTGTTTGCTACATCTCATTGTGAAGCCTGAGTCACTCTGTTTCCACTCACACTGAGATAGGTGGTGACTTCCTAATGGAAGTAACATGGGCATGACAAGGGGCAGGGCATAAGGTACACCACCAGGGCTGATGCTTTACTCTCTGTTCATGGCAGGCAAACAAAGATGCTACAGCTGAAAGAATTGATGAGTTCATTGTCAAACTGAAGGAGCTAAAGCAAGTAGCCTCCCCTTTCACTCTGGTGAGTATTGAGAGGCTGGAGTTGCCCTTGATTAGGGGAGGAGGGACCATTAAGACTGCTGGGATTTTCCACTGTGATGCCTGCGTGGTCTGATAGTAGGTGATGTAGGATTGTTTATGATTTTCTTTTGCAGTGACTCTCTCTTCTCCCATTTGTTAGATCATTGATGATCCCTCAGGGAACAGTTTTGTGGAAAACCCACATGCTCCTCAGAAAGATGATGCCCTGGTGATCACACACTACAACCGGACCCGACAGCAGGAAGAGATGCTGGGGCTTCAAGTAAGTGGACTGAAGGATCCAGAAGAATGCTCTGGAATTATCGCGCACTCTGGATTGCTTGGAGTCAGTGGAACTTATTTTGCTGCTGCTGCTCTGTGTGCCCTATCTCAGCTTGTTTGTGCTTCTCATCTTGCTTATGTCCAGGACTTGGGTAAACTTCACAGAAAGGATGGCAGTGGCTGTGATCCTATCTTAAGTCCTGTTCTTCCTTTGGTTGGGGCTTTACTTTGTGGTTTCTCTAACTGATGAGGTGGCACCTGACATAACTGATGAGGTGGCACCTGAGCATTTCTCCCACTCCAGGGCAGGGTGTTGGGGACACTGAGGTATACCTGCCAACTTGCGACCTGCATCTTTGCTATTTTAGGAAGAAGCACCAGCAGAGAAGCCAGAAGAGGAAGATCTCAGAAATGAAGTGAGTCACATTGGCTACTGGTGAGGAAGGAGCAGAGTTGTGGGCTGAGACTGATGCTGTTCAGCATCTGTCTTCCTTGTCACCAACATAGATGACCACTAGCATACCAACTGAGTGTCTTTAGCCTGAACATCCCATCTGGGAGGGCTCACCCTTTGTCCTCATGTTGTGTTCCAGGTGCTCCAGTTCAGCACAAACTGCCCAGAATGCAATGCCCCCGCTCAGACCAACATGAAGCTAGTACGTATCTTTTGCCAAGCAGTTGGGTTGCTCTTCATCTGACTCAGGCATGAAGATTATAATCAGGCTGGGAGCATCCCTTTCAAGGAAAACACATGCTTTATACCCAGTGATAAGGAAGATATTATCTTTGATTAGACTGTGTACCTTGGGTTTTGTGTTCAAAGAGAAAATT
Organism: Homo sapiens; assembly: GCF_000001405.40. NCBI lineage: Eukaryota > Metazoa > Chordata > Mammalia > Primates > Hominidae > Homo > Homo sapiens. The sequence goes on along the minus strand of NC_000011.10, from coordinate 116,784,683 downwards.
AGGCCATGGTCACTAGGCTGTGTGTGTGTGACCTGAGCCATGCCTTCAAATGTGTGAACAGGGATTGCCATGGGTTGGGAACTTGCCCTCTTCTGGAGGACTCTGTGGGCTGCCTCTTGTGAATATTTCCTGCAGTTCTGGGACCAGCATATGTTTGTGTGGGGTTTGGCTTTGTTTTTCCCCAGATGGTGGTCTTGTTCGCCTGGAAGTAGATTTCCTTAACTCCGTTTTCCAGAAATCCCTCACTTTAAGGAGGTTATCATCATGGCTACCAACTGCGAGAACTGTGGGCATCGGACCAATGAGGTGGGTGGGCGCCATTATTTGGGAAGAAGACTAGCTTAAGGGTAACCCCCTTTTAACTATCATTCTTCCTAAGTACTTCAGTACTCGGGGGCAGGGGGTGTAGAGTAGCTTGGGTCTTTTTCTTAGGTCTAGTGCAGGGTGATGAGCCCTTGAAGGAATGGGAATTAGCCTAGAGAAGAAAAGTTAGAGATTCTATAACTTGTTTAAGACATATTAAAGGTTGATGATATGGAAGAGAGAAGTCTTTTGACCCACTCCTCAGAGGTGTGGAAGTTCAGGGAGGCAGACTTTGACTTCACAATGAAGAACTCAATAGAGCTGTCTGAAAATAGAATGAGCTGCCTTAGAGAATTATAAATTCCCTTCCCCTGAGTGTATCTGAGTATAAGCTAATTAAATTCTTTAACCAGAATATTATAAAGGAGACCCACACATTGGATGCAGTGGATGAAAGGACTGCAATAAATGCTTAAAAGTCTCTTTCAACCCCAAAAGTCTTTTTTTTTTTTTTTTTTTTAAGGTAAATTCAGAGTTTATTGGCAATTTGGGATAAGTTTTGGCACGTTACCAGGGTTGGGCACTGTTCCTGGCCAGCTCTTGGTGTTTTTGGTTTGGGCGACTGCTGTTTAGAAGGCTCTTTCTTTGGTAGCTATTAATGGCCCTAACTGATTGGATGTCCAAGCCTACACTCCAGGTCTCCTGGGTACCAAGTGAGGCTCAGGTCTTCTCTCTGTTGCTCCTGACTGTTATCGATGCAGGTGAAATCTGGAGGAGCAGTAGAACCCTTGGGCACCAGGATCACCCTCCACATCACAGATGCCTCAGATATGACCAGAGACCTCCTCAAGGTAACAGTCTGCTTGGGAAAGTCACTGTTGTCCTCATAAGTTAGATAAACTGTCTCTATCTAGGGGAAGTTGTCTTTTAGAAATAATGTTCAGGGACATGAGGTATCTCCTACTTCCCTGGCTTTGAGGACCCCTGAGCAGAGGGAGTTAATCTAAGATTGGAATTGCAGGTTTAGAAGGTGACCCTGTTAGCTCTTTCTGATGACCTGGTAGCTTTTTGGCCTCCAGTGTCTATCTGGGTCCTCTTCTCTGTCTGTCCCCTAGTGACAGGATACCTGACAGCTCGAAGCTATGACTGAGTTTCCCTTTATTAAGTTGGATCTATTCCCGTGGTTCAGATGGACAGGAGTGAGTCTCAAGCTTTAACAAGGGAGTCAGAGAAAACTGAGACAGCTGCCCTTGTCCGCAGTCTATCACTGCTGGTATTAATTGGGCAGGAGGCCTCTGGTTGGCTTTCTTTGCTTCTGACTTAAAGCTTAAACTGACCTCTCATTTCACAGTCTGAGACTTGCAGTGTGGAAATCCCAGAGCTAGAATTTGAACTGGGAATGGCAGTCCTCGGGGGCAAGTTCACCACACTGGAAGGGCTGCTGAAAGACATCCGGGAACTGGTGAGTCACTTGAGTAGTGTGTAAACCACCTTTGAGCAATTTGGCTGTGTGAAGAGGGACTGGAAGACTTCAGACATCCTAATTTTCGGTGCTGGTAACTGTGGGTTTCTTTGCCTTAAAGCTGGTTTAAGAGACTTAAATATTACTTTGGATGGTGAAGACAAGTTTATGGGAAATGTTGAATGGAAATTCCAGGCCTAACTTTGGGACTTTATAGTTATTTTGTGGTCTTGGACAAGTCATTTATTTTACTGTAAAGTTAGGGGATGAGGGTCCTTCTAGCACCTAAAACTTCCCAACATAAAAAACATACATGTATGGGTTGACTTAGCCCAAATGTTTATCTCCTTGATGAATTATTTCACTTGATTCTCTGTTGGGCATTTTGTATTTGTAAATTGTACTTTTTCTTTGCATTTCTTCTCCAAATTAGTATCAGAGATCATATTCTAAGAACATGTTTCGATTTTGTTTTACATTGCCAGTTTTGTTATCTTGGCACATTATCCCATAGACTCCTAGGAGTGACTGCCTTGGTCAGAAAGGTGGTGTGGGCTAAATGGAAACCAAGTTTCCCTGACAGGGCACCCACTGTCACCCCCTGCCTAGTTTATGGTCAGGCCTAACAAATATAAAGCCAGTATTCACATAGTTTGGATTATCATTTATTGCAGGTGACCAAAAATCCTTTCACACTGGGCGACAGTTCCAATCCTGGACAGACGGAGAGACTACAGGAGTTTAGCCAGAAGATGGACCAGGTAAGAGGTCACTGGCCAGTCAGTACTTAGAATCCTGGGGCTCCAGTGAACAGGAGGCTGCATGCTCATGTCTTGCCACTTTTTGAACATCTAACCATCATGTTGGGGATTCTTCTTCTGGTTTTCTTTTCTTTTTTTTTTTTTTGGAGACAGAGTCTCGTTCTGTTGCCCAGGCTGGAGTGCAGTGGCGTGATCTCGGCTCACTGCAACCTCTGCCTCCCGGGTTCATGCGATTCTGCTGCCTCAGCCTCCCGAGTAGCTGGGATTACAGGCGCACACCACCACGCCTGGCTAATTTTTTGTATTTTTAGTAGAGACAGGGTTTCACTATGTTGGCCAGACTGGTCTCGAACTCCTGACCTCGTGATCTGCCTGCCTGGGCTTCCCAAAGTGCTGGGATTACAGGCGTGAGCCACCGCACCTGGCCCTCTTCTGGTTTTCTATATTCCACGTCTTCTTTCTTGTTTTTCTCCCTTATTTTGTTAGAGCATCTTCTCCAGTAGCTTCCTGGGAAAAAGTGCATGGGAAATAAAATTTCTGGGACCTTCCACATCTGAACATGTCTTTATTCTGTTATCACACTAGAGTGATTATTGGCTGGGAATACGATTCTAGGATAGAAATAATTTTTTATCAGAATTTCGAAGACTGCACTATGGTCTTCCAGTTTGGTAAAGACATTGTACTATAGTCTTCCACTTTGGCTATTGAGAAGTCTGAAGCCATTTGATTCCTGGTCTTTTATATGTGACCTAGTCTTGTGATCTCTTCGTTTCCTTTGATGTGAAATTTCAGGGTGTGCCTTGGTGTGGGTCAGTTTTCATCCACTGGGCTAAGCACTTGGTAGATGTATTTTTTCAGTCTGGAAAACTCATGTGGTTCAGTTCTAGGAAGCTTTCATGAATTATTCTATTGAAGATTATCTTTTTTCTGATTTTTTTTTTCTGTTCTTTCTGAAAACTCCTGGGTTTTAGATATTAGACTTACTTGTCTGGTCTTCTATAATTTACTCTTTTTTTGGTCCTATTTTTGGTTTCTTGGTTTTTTTGTTCTTCTTTGGGAGATTCCCTCAACTTTATTTTCCAACCCTTCAATTGAGGTTTTCATTTCCACTAAAACTTTTATTTTCCAAGGAGCTTTTTAAAAAATAGCATCCTGTCTTAAGGATGTAGTATTTTTTCTTCTTGAGGATTATTATTTTTTAAATTTTTTCAGCATGCAGTTTATATAGCACTTATTGATACTGATGTTGGATCTTTTTTGACATTTTATTCTCCTTGCATCCTTTTTTTCCCCATTTGATTTCCCATCTTTCAGTGTTAAGGGCTTTGCTCAGATGTCTGATAATCATTGATTGTCTTCTTACAAGTAGCGGGCTAAAGACCTGAGTAGGGGGTGAGCCTTGTTGACATGGGGCTTATTACAGGGGAATTTAACTTAGCTGTTTTGCTGAGGTGGCCTCCAATGCCAGAATTGTTAGGTCTTTCCTCTTGGGCTAGTCAGACAAAGAGGCTATGCCTGCCAGACAAGAACCAACCCAATTTATATTACAGAATCCTCCAAAGTTTTAAGAATTGGTGAAATTAGGTAGCTCTGAAAGTAGAGGGGAAAGGATCTAAAATAAGGACTGTTAGAAAAGCCAACATCAGCAAGCTGTGGACCAGGGGGTGCTGGCCCAGTTGAAGGTAGAGGGAAAGGACTCAAGAACAAGGAGGTTAAATGACTGTGGCTGCTCCATTTCCTGGCCTGAGGGTAAAGGCTTGGCTGGCAGTGTTCTGAGAGCTGTGGGAAGGGGGCTGGGGTGTGTATGTATTCTGTTTCCCATAAGCTTACATTCATTTAACCTACTTGTTCTTGATTCCTTTCCCTCTACCTTCAACTGGGCCAGCACCCCCTAGTCCACAGCTTGCTGATGTTGGCTTTTCTAACAGTCCTTATTTTAGAACCTTTCCCCTCTACTTTCAGAGCTACCTAATTTCACCAATTCTTAAAACTTTTGGGGATTCTGTAATATAAATTGGGTTGGTTCTTGTCTGGCAGGCATAGCCTCTTTTTTTAAAAATTTTTCTTTACTTTCATTTATTTCATTTCTTTTTTTATTTATATATATATTTATTATACTTAAGTTCTAGGGTACATGTGCACAACGTGCAGGTTTGTTACATATGTATACATGTGCCATGTTGGTGTGCTGTACCCATTAACTAGTCATTTACATTAGGTATATCTCCTAATGCTATCCCTCCCCCCTCCCCCGACATAGCCTCTTTTTACCAGGGGTTATGTAAAATTTACTTGCTGTGTTCTCTCTCTCCTTTAGATCATCGAAGGTAACATGAAGGCCCACTTTATTATGGATGATCCAGCAGGAAACAGTTACTTGCAGGTATAGTAGACCTTCCCTGATGTTTCATAGAGATACATTTTCTGATCTTCCTTGAATATGTATCATTTCCCTAGAAACTGAAAGACTTGATTCTAAATGGACTGCTTTTTACCAAGGAGGCAGAAGTTAGAAGATACATAAGGGAGAAAAGAGGGGGGTGTGGGAGGGGATTTTTTTTTTAAGTGTATGTAAAGAAGGAAAAAAAAAGGATACTCTGAGGCCCCTTTTTTTTCTGTAGTCAAGCTCTTGTCCCAGTTCTGGAGTTTTCATTTTGCAAATCTGATTATGGATTGAGGAGAAATGGTACCTTGTCCGGAGGCCAAGATAGGAAACTGATAGGCTTTAAGTTGACTGAGGAGAGAGTCTGGTGATTGATGTACCTTTACCATTTATTGGATACTTACCATGGGTCAGGCAAAACTCTTCTAAGTTCTTTCCAAGATTAAGACCATTTGTCATACTTTTCATAAGAAGGTGCAGATATAACAAAATAGGTGGATTGTTCCCTGATTCTGGGGCTGGGGTCTTCTACCCCTGGCCCATGTGGGCTCTGTTGCTACCCACTAGTTCAGTCTAGCCATGGGAAATTGGAGGCCAATAAAAAGAAAAAAACCCAAAACTCATTCTGTTCTTGGGAAGGTGGGAATTGGAAGCTGCCTGCAGAGAGGGGGAGTGGCACAGCGGCACTGATTGTCTCTCCTTGACCTTGCAGAATGTGTATGCGCCTGAAGATGATCCTGAGATGAAGGTGGAGCGTTACAAGCGCACCTTTGACCAAAATGAGGAGCTAGGGCTCAATGACATGAAGACAGAGGGCTATGAGGCAGGCCTGGCTCCGCAACGGTAGCAGTGGGTGGCTCAAGGGCCAGCCTCCAGCGCTGCTCTTTCTGTAGGTTATTTATTAGTATTGGATGAAGGCGAAGGCTGGGAGTGTCTTTCCCACCAGCCCTTGCCCATGGTGGGGAGGACATCTGGTCTGAGTCAGAGATCTGTGCACACTTTCTAAACAGCTTGTGATGCAAGTGTGAGCCTATTGTGTTACTTGACCTTATTTTGGAAGTTTTGAATTGGCCTAGGAGGAAACCCAGAAATGAACCAGGGGTATGTCATCACTTTTTTCATATCAAGTCCTCACCCTCCTTCCACATAATGCTCTATCCTCTAAGGTTGGAACTCTGAAGTTGGAGAAGGTGGAATAAAGTTACACCTGGAGTTTGTTGTTGGTTTTGAGTATATAAAATACTGACTTTGAACAGGAAAGGAGTCTCCTGAGGGGAGACCGAGTCCAGCACAAGTGAAGGAGTTACCATTGAAATGATGACTTTCAAACAGCACTGGCCTCTGTATTGACCCTATCCTTGTTTGATATCATGCTGTTAGAATTCAGCCTCCTAAAGAAAATTTTCCCGTGTATCTACTGTAATTTGGGGATTGCAGCTGGCATTTAATTCATTCCTTCAGCAGATGCTTGCTTATCTACTTTATGCCAAGCACACCACAGAACAGAGGACAAAATAAATCTCTTTCATGGAACTTGAAGTCTAGTGGGGAAAAATGACAATAAACAGATCAGGAAAACAGTACATCAGATGGTGATTAGTGTCATGGAGGAATGTAAAGCAGGGAATGGGGCTGGGTTGTGCAAGGAAATGGGGAGTAGGGAAGATCTTCTGAACAAGAAGGTGATAATTTGACATTTGGGCAAAGCTGAGGAGGAGGTCAGGGAGTGAGCTGTGTGGGTATCTGGGGGAAGAGATTTCCTGGCAGAGGGAACTGCAAATGCTAGAGCTGTGAGGTTAGAGCCAGTGGGGGTACCTGATCAGTTAGCCCTACTCTCAGTTAGAAATGTTGAAACACATTCATCCAGAGAGAAAGGAGGCTCTCTGCAGTTCTTCTGAAAGTTAAGGACCAGTGAACACTCTGCTGCTTGGGCCCTGGACTTCCCAGCCAGTGTTCTTTGCACTGTAGTCTCCTGCCTCTCATAAACAAAAGGTGACTCCTGTGGTGCAGACTGCAGGGTATTTGTTCAATAAAGACCAGTTCATTGATTAAGATGTTATCACAAACCTTATTGCTTTGTGTTGCAAACTTTTTTTTTTTTTTTTTTTGGTAGAGACAGAGTCTCGCGCTGTTGCCCAGGCTGGAGTGCAGTGGTGTGATCTTGGCTTATTGCAACCTTTGCCTCCCGGGTTTAAGCAATTCTGCCTCAGCCTCCCGAGTAGCGGGGACTACAGGCGCACGCCGCCACACCCAGCTAATTTCTTTTGTATTTTAGTAGAGACGGGGTTTCACCGTGTTGCCCAGGCTGGTCTCGAACTCCTGAGCTCAGGCAATCCGCCAGCCTTGGCCTCCCAAAGTGCTAGGATTACAGGCGTGAGCTACCGCGTCCGGCTGTGTTGCAAACTTAACTCTGAAGAATGAGTTAGAGATGATTTAGCAATCAGACATCTACTCTCGTTGCTCTGTTAAACTACTCTCAAAGGTCACAAGTGATTTTCCACTTGGAAAGTGTTATCTATTTCTGTCACATTTGATAGTGGACCATCTCTTCTTAACCCTTCTTTTGGCTCTCGAGATACTGTACCCTTGGTTTTCCCTTCACTTTGAATATTTCTTATTTGGACACTTTGCCTCCTCCCCTCTTACTAAATTTGTTTCTGAGAGTTCTGCTTTCAGACATCTCTCCATATCAGATTCTTTGGCATCTTACTATCATGTGGGACTAACTTCCATACCTGTATCTCTAATTTCTGTAAGTGAGGGCGAGAGTAAGGTGTTTGGAGACTCAGGTTAGCAAATGACTCATTCAAACTATAAAGCTTCAGTACTTTGGGCAAACTTCTCACAGGCAACTATTCTACCCTAAGAGATTATCTCTAGGTATGTTTCCAGCTGACTTGGGAATCTAAGTTTACCAGACAACCCTCTGATCTATCATTTGGTCTCTTAAGTAGACTTCCCCATAGTGTAGGTGTGCTCTGTTAAGATAAACTGCAGTATCAGGTTCATTTTCCATTGTGAAGGAAAAAAAATGGCACTCTGGCTTATTACTGAATCTCTTGTGAGTTTGGTTGGTGTGAGGCAATCTCCCAGAATCCACCCAGTTCCTAGGAAATGATGACCTGAGTTTCTGAACTTGAAGACTGAGGACCAGGTGCCAGACTGGGATAACCCAGCTAAGGTACTTCCTGCCCTTTGATGACAAGGCATTCTTCAGTTTCATACCCTTCTCTTGAATTATCTTTCAGCTCCTTTCTCATTTCATAAAGTGTGTCAGGATGGGAGCTTACATATAGTTAACTGAGTCTTGCTCCACAGCACCCAGCATATGACACATGGTTAATAAAATCTGTTAAAATCCTCCATCATAGATTAAACCCTATTAGGACACTAGGGATAACATCTATAGGTAAAAAGATAGGGAAAGGGTCTCGCTTTAAGGCCAGGGTAGGTGAGTCAAAGTGCCAGGAACATGTGGATTCAGTTTCACAGCCATGAGTAACATTTAAGTGGAAAAGGTTTGTGATTGTGTTAAAAAAGGAAAGTGGTTCATGCATGAGGGCACGCCTCCTACTTTCATGGGTCAAGTATGTGAAATGCAGCCATGTTCGGTCATTAGACGTGTGGACGAACATACAGGTAGGTACTGAATGTACATCTGTGTCATGATGAGTGGAGGAGGGGAGGTGAGTGTTGGGAGCAAGTATGAAGGGCAGTTGACTTGGCCAACTGAAAACTTTAATGATGGCAACACTTTCATTCTAACATCAGTATATTTCCTTCTTTGTACACCTGTGGTATGTGCCTGATGCACACTGCAGAAAATGGTGTCTCTGCTTACATTTAGGGCAGTGGTGGCTAAGACTACTTGGCTTTATTCCTATTAAAAAATGTTTTTTACACACTTCTTTTTAAGGCAAATGGCAGTGTTTCCAACTGTGGAGAGAAAAAGCTGCTTATTTTGTGCGTTCACCTCAGTTTAGTATTGGCACTTCCAATGCTTGTTTTCCTAGTCTGTAAAATGGGGATAATTAGGATAAACAAAATTATCCCCATTTTACAGGTGACAAAACAGCCTCAGAGAGGTTACTTCCAGAAGGAAGCAGAGCTTTTTTTTTTTTTTTTTTTTTTTTTTTTTTTTTTTGAGACGGAGTCTCACTCTGTTGCCCAGACTGGAGTGCAGTGGCGTGATCTTGGCTCACCACAACCTCTGCCTCCCAGGTTCAAGCGATTCTCTTGCCTCAGCCTTCTGAGTAGCTGGGACTACAGGTGCACGCCACCATGCCTGGCTAATTTTTTTTTTTTTTTTTTTTTTGGAGACAGTCTTGCTCTGTCACCCAGGATGGAGTGCAGTGGTGCGATCTTGGCTCACTGCAGCCTTGCCTCCTGGGTTCAAGCAATTCTCCTGCCTCAGCCTCCTGAGTAGCTGGGATTACAGACGCCCACCACTGCACCCAGCTAATTTTTGTATTTTTAGTAGAGATGGGGTTTCACCATGTTGGTCAGGCTGGTCTCAAACCCCTGACCTCGTGATCCACCTGCCTTGGCCTCCCAAAGTGCAGGGATTACAGGCGTGAGCCACCGTGCCTGGCCAGAAGTAGAGCTTCTAAGAGGCAGGTGTCAAACCCATGCCAGTCAGACTCTGAAACCTGAGGTCTGAATATTTTAAGCTCAGCTCCACAATTACTGTATTTGTTCTATTAGATACAACTGCAGAGAGAGGCCAAAGCTCAGAGCAGGCCATTGGCACGGCATCTGATCCTGCTTAACTGCCCTGCAGCACAGGGTGGAGACACTTGGGCCTTGTCAGGCTAAGGGACTGGGGTAGGATGGGTAGCAGTGGAATTGAAGACAAAGAAAACAAATGGGCAGAAGATGGGTGGGTGGAAGTTCAGAGGGCTATCCTGGCAGTGTTCACTGGAGCAGAAGTGTGAGGCTTTCTGAATGCCTGCTGACACCAGGGTGGGGCAGGGCTGTGTAGTGTGAGATGCACCAAATTGGACGAGAAGCCAAGGCAGGCTTGTGTATGGGGTACCCTGGGGCCCTCCGCCTAGTGAAGCCCTATCTTCTCAGCCCAGCGTCCTCGTCTCACAAGCCCTCAGAGCCCCAGCCTGCTTTCCTTTCTGGGCCTGTGCTGCAACCCCCTCAACATGGCCCACTGGGTAAAAATTCATGCTTCAAGACTGATCCCCAAGCCTGTTTTGTATTATATGAGTAAAGAATTTTTTAAACACTTATCCCCAGATAATGTGTATTTATTTATAAAGTATAGCCCTGTCTGCTTGACTAATATATTAAAAAAGTGACCTTTTTGACTCTTGGTCCAAGAAACTATTGTTTGCACTTTTGTGTAGTTGTGTATAGCATCCTGCAAATTCTGTCAGAAGTCTGTGATTTCAGTAACACTAAAACTTCTCTCTCAAATGGTACAAGTTTTCAGTTTTAAGACAAGTTCTGGGAATCTAATGTACAACATGTTGACTATAGCTAATAATTCTGTATTGTTTACTTGAAGTTTGCTAAGACAAATTTGCTTAAGTGCCCCCCCACCGAACTACTACATAAATTAGTGAAGGATGTTTTACTTAATTTGATTTTGGTAATCATTACACAATGTATAATTATATCCAGTCATCACATTGTACACCTTGAATATATATAATTTTTTGTCAAATAATAAAGCTGGGAAGAAAACGATAAAACTGACAATCTAACATATATGATGAGGTAAAAAGATCTGGTATTTCAAGAAATTTGGATGACCTCTTGCACCCCACTTCGCTAGCCTCTACTCCCTAGAGTCATGTTCTGACTATGTGAAGTTGAGCAACTTCCTTAATCTTGCCACGCTTCAGTTCTTATCTGTAAAATATGATAATGAAACGATTTGAGAATTGTGAGGGTTAAATGAGATAATTCAGGTAAAGCTCTAAACCCCCTGCAAAGAATAAAGTCTTTTCTTTCCCCCCAAAACTTGAGTGTTAGAATTCATTCTCTCTGGTTTCTCTCTTTTACTATGCTAAAAAATGATCCAGGTCCGTCCTTCTCATTGGCAAGATTGTTTTACAGTTTCCTTCAAGAGATAACTGGGGGCTACTTGTAATAGAACACTAGAAGAGTTACACAGGTCTTAGAAACTACGTTTTTCATAGTAATTATGTTGGTTTGCACTTCCTGGCTTCCTTTCTTGGACGGTAGGTACCTGGAAGCCTAGTGGAGCAGATTCCCCCCACTTAAAGATACTTATAAAAATAACGAACATAGTTCCGATGACCATGTGCCCAACACCGCTCTGCGCACTTCACACAGTAATATCATCTCAGCCTGTGACCGTTCCGAGTTAGGTGCCGGGATTCTCCCTGTTTTGTGATAACTTGCCCGAGGTCGTACAGCTAGCCAGCTATGGAACCAGTATTCAAACTCGGCTACGCTGCAGCCCGTGGCCCTCCACTTTCTTGCTCGTGCTCTGGAGTTTAGGCGGCCGATGGGGGCGGGGTCCTTTGGGTCAGGTTGTGGCCTCATAGAACAGCGCTTGCTGCGGTTGGATGGATGGGTGGGTGGGTGGGTGAGTGAATGAAGAGAAGAAACCTGGTGGCGTCGTCCCAGGGCTGTGGAGCGCCCCGAAGGTGCGCACGTCCCTGGCTAGCCTGCGAGCGCGTCCCGGTGGCCGCACCTGCCAGCCGCGCGATTCTTAGCACTCTCCGCCACTTCCGGCCGTGGCCCCGCCCTGTCGGGTGGCTGGCGTCCGTTACGCGTTGAGGCATTTTGTCCCCAGCGCCGACCCGTCTCTCTGCCCCCGCCGCTGCCATGGCGGCAGCTCCGCCGCTTTCCAAGGCCGAGTATCTGAAGCGTTACTTGTCCGGGGCAGATGCCGGCGTCGACCGGGGATCTGAGTCCGGTCGCAAGCGTCGCAAAAAGCGGCCGAAGCCTGGCGGGGCCGGCGGCAAGGGGTGAGTTGGTACCGGCCGGGGCGGGGCCTGCGACGTCTAGCCACCCCTTCCCAACTCCGCCCTCGGCCGCCCGGCAGTTCCTTCCCTCTTGGCGGGTCTCTCGGCTTCTCCGCCGACCCCTGCTCATGCTCAGGGCCCCACTCACATCGCTTGAGGCCCCCCGCCTTGCCTCTGCCGCCCCGCTTACATCTCGAGCCTCTGAGCAGTAGCGTCAGTGCGTTAAAGCCGGGGTGTAACTTTGATTACTCTTTTCCCGCCTTGGTAGACTTCCGTCCTCTCCCATAGAGAATGAATATTGTGCCTCGAGAATAATGGAGCGGATTCAAAGCCTCTGTGCTTGGATCTTTAGGGCCCGGTACCTGCCTGTGGGGATTCCCAGATCCCAAGGACTTGGTTCTGAATCAGAGACCTTTGATCACCTCCTGTTACTCTTAGTAATAGTCCTAACGTGAGAAGCTAACATTTATATAGTTATACTTTTCTTGCCAGGCACCATTATAAGAAATTTAAACATATATAAGTTTATTTAAGCCTCACCACACTACCATGAAGTGGGTATTATTTTCATATGGGACAACTTTGTGGCCCAGTGTAGTGGGCCCTACCAAATCGTTTTCCACCCAGAACCACAGAATGTGACATTTAGAAATAGGGTCTTTGGAGATGTAATCAGTTAAGATGAGGTCATACTTGATTAAGGTGGGTGCCAAATCCAAGATGACTGTTTGCCTTTTAAAAAGAGGGAAGTATGGATACAGACACAGCAACAAAGGAAAAACGACCATGTCTAGATGAAGGCTGAGATTGGATTGGATTTATGTTGCCAAAAGCCAAGGTATGCTTGGGGCTACCAGAAGCTGGGAGAGGCAAGGAAAGATTCTCTGCTAGAGACTTTCCAGGGAGGATGGCCTTGCAGACACCTGGATTTCAGATTGCTAGCTTCCAGAACTGCGAGAGAGTTTCTGTTGTTTTATGCCACGCAATTTGTGGTACTTTGTTACAGTAACCCTAAGGCACTGAGATACCCAGTGAAGTCACATTGTTCTAAAGAACTAGTCCAAGTTCTTTTCTGGTTTGGTGCTTGCCTTATTATTGTCTTCGTCTTTCTGCCTCGCTGACTTGTGTGGATCCTTTGGAGGCAGTGCCATGTGATGAAAGTAGCTTGAGTGTTGGAGCAGCACTGGTCAGAGTTCGAATCCTAGCTGTGCCACTTTATAGGCTGTGTACCCTTGGGCAAGGTGTTTCATCTCACTGAGCTGCAGTTTCCTTATCTTTAAAATGAGAATAATAATAATAATGGTTTTATTAAGTGGTGGTTGTGATTAGAGGGATTGCATTAAGTGACCCTGGCTTTTTGAATAACTTCACATCATGGCAGTCATTGTTATTATTTGGGCTCAGCTATATAGTTTATCCACGTAACAAACATTTATTGAATATTTCGTATTCCAGTTACTGTAGGGTGTTGAGGATGCCTCTGTGAACAAAAAAAACATAGTCCCTGTTCTTGTGGAGCTTATAGATTAATGGGAATACAGGCTTTAAGCAACTAATTACACAACTAATCGATATATTTTCTTTATGATAAATGCAATGAAAGTATTCCAAGAGTTTTTAACAAGGGTTCTTAGTCTTGAGTGAGTGTGGGATGGTGAGGGAATTGGGTGAAGCAGTCAAGAAAAGTTTGCCAAAGGAAGTTAAATTTGTGTTAGGACCTGAAGAATGAGGAAGAGTTTCCTGGAATGAGAAAGAGTTTCCTAGCACTTTGGGAGGCCAAGGCGGGTGGATTGCTTGCATCTAGGAGTTTGAGACCAGTCTGGGCAACATGGTGAAACCCTGTTTCTACAAAAAATACAAAAAAGTAGTCAGGCACAGTGGCACATGCCTGTAGTCCCAGCTACTTGGGAGACTGAGTAGGGAGAATAACTTAACCCCGGGAAGTCAAGGCTGCAGGGAGCCATGATGGTGTCCCTGCACTCCAGCCTGGGCAGCAGTGTGAGACCCTGTCTCAAAAAAGAAAAAGACTAGGGCCGGGCGCGGTGGCTCACGCCTATAATCCCAGCACTTTGGGAGGCCAAGGCGGGCGGATCACGAGGTCAGGAGATCGAGACCATCCTGACTAACACGGTGAAACCCCGTCTCTACTAAAAATACAAAAAATTAGCCAGGCGTGGCAGTGGTCGCCTGTAGTCCCAGCTACTCAGGAGGCTGAGGCAGGAGAATGGTGTGAACCCGGGAGGCAGAGCTTGCAGTGAGCTGAGATCGTGCCACTGCACTCCAGCCTGGGCAACAGAGCGAGACTCCGTCTCAAAAAAAAAAAAAAAGAAAAAGATTGAAAAGAGTAGATCAGGCAGAGGGAAGGAACTGCATATGTGAAAACTGATGTGATAGGAACTTGGCTCCTTTCTAAGCACCAAAGGATGACCAGGGAGGTGTTCAACCAAGGAAGTAGCAGTAGGAGATGAAGTTGACCTTGTAGACAAAGACTGGACCATGCAGGATCCTGTAGGATTTTGAACTTTATTTTAAAACCAATAGATAAATGTTTTTATGCTGGTATCCTAGAATGACTCTTTTTGATCTTCTTATTCTCATTTAGAATGCGGATTGTGGATGATGATGTGAGCTGGACAGCTATCTCCACAACCAAACTAGAAAAGGAGGAAGAGGAAGATGATGGAGATTTGCCTGTGGTATGTATCTTTGGGGCTGTCAGGATTTTGAAATGAAGCAAGCTTCTCAATTTCCTTTTTTTTTTTTTTTTTGAGACGGAGTCTCGCTCTGTCACCCAAGCTGGAGTGCAATGGCATGATCTTGGCTCACTGCAACCTCCGCCTCCCGGGTTCAGATGATTCTCCTGCCTCAGCCTCCTGAGTAGCTGGGATTACAGGCACCCGCCATCATGCCTGGCTAATTTTTTTTTTTTAATTTTTGTAGAAATGGGGTTTCACCATGTTGGCCAGGCTGGTCTTGAACTCATGACCTCAGGTGATCCACCCACCTTGGCCTCCCAAAGTGCTGGGATTACAGGCGTGAGCCATTGTGCCAGGCCAAGCTTCTCAAATTTATTTTTCCAGCTTAGGGTAGATTTGTAGGGGGGTTAGTTGAGAACAGAAAAGAGGTGACAGTTTCCAAAGAGCTGTTTAAAATAGTTTTCTTTGCTGATGCCTATACACCAACTTGTCTCTTTATGGAGGGTCCATCAGCCTAGAAATGAGATGGATCACAGAGAGAGGACTTCTCGACATCAGTGTTAGAGTAATGATGAGACTTAGCTGTGGTTCATTTTGTTGGAATCTTTCTTAAAAACAATGCTGAGGTTCAGTTATAGGGAACTTTTTATTTGCTCCTTTTTTCAGTGCTTTAACTAAGCTTTCAAATTGTATATTCTTGCCTAAGTACTGGAGATATGTAGATTAATAGAACATAGCTGTATTTTAGAGATTATACCCTAGAATGAAAAACTGAATTTCAGATAAATTTCAACAGTATGGTAAATGTTGGGGATGTTTCACATACGTACCAAGTACCATTAGAGCCCGGGGAGGTAGCATACTTTGTATTCTGTTGGGAGATATCCTGAAAGATGTAAATACTGAGTTTTGAAGGGTAAGTAAGAGCCAGGTGGACAAAATCATAGGCAAATGACCTCCCAGTGGTTCATGAAACCATTGCTGAGAATTTCTGAGAAACAAAGTGGAAAGGAGAGCTGTAGATAGGCTGAATTCCACTAAAGTTGGTAAAGATGGATTCCAGTGAGTATTTAATATTAATTCCCAGCAAAATTCTTTTTTTTTTTTTTTTTTTGAGACGGAGTCTCACCGTGTTGCCCAGGCTTGAGTGTAGTGGTATGATCTCGGCTCACTGCAAGCTCTGCCTCCTGGGTTCACACCATTCTCCTGCCTCAGCCTCCTGAGTAGCTGGGACTACAGGGGCCCACCAACACGCCCGGCTAATTTTTTGTGTTTTTTTTTGTATTTTTAGTAGAGACAGGGTTTCATCATGTTAGCCAGGTTGGTCTTGATCTCCTGACCTCGTGATCCGCCCACCTCGGCCTCCTGAAGGGCTGGGATTACATGTGTGAGCCACTGCACCTGGCCAATTCCCAGCAAAATTCTAAAATAGATTATTTAAAAGAGGGCTTGCTAGTAATTAGAAGGGAAATAGTGATCTTAGGGAGCCAATTTAGTTTTGGTCAGAAGAAGTAAATATTAACAATGTTTGTTGTTTTTTTTTAATTTTATAAAAGCAATGCATATTTATTACAGAATATTTGGGAATTAAAAAAAGTTTAAAGTTTTTAAAAGAATAAACACTTGCATGTTACCATCCAAAGATAACTGCTAATACTTGGATGCATATCTCTTCAGGTTTTTCTCTTTAGAGATTATACACGCTTGTATTTTATTTTTTTGAACATAATTGGGATCATATTGTACATAGGGTTTTGGAGTCTACTCCTCTGCTAAATAATATGTTGTGGATACTCTGGTAAGACCTTAAAATATTCTTTGAGTGTATGATTTTTAACGGTTATGTAGTAGTTCAATATATATATTTTATCTGTTCTGTTACTGGATACATGGATTGTTTCCACTTATAAAATATCATACATCGTTGTACATAAATCATTTGTAGAAATCAGTTTATTTCTTTATTCCCATAAAATGAAATGAGTGGATCAAAGGGTATGGTTCGCTTTAGTTATATTCCCATGTTGCTTTCCAAAAGGTGCTACCAATTTACACTCCCACTAGAGGTGATGAGAATGCCAGTTTGCCTACGTCGTCAATATTAGAGCACTATTATTATTATTATTATTATTATTATTATTATTATTATTATTTTTGAGACAGGGTCTTGCTCTGTTGCCCAGGCTGAAATACAGTGGTGTGATCATGCCCCATTGTAGCCTCTACCTTCCAGGTGCAAGCAATCCTCCTACCTTAGTCCTGCACGTAGCTGGTACCACAGGTGCGCACCTCCATGCCTGGCTAATTTTGGGTATTTTTTGTAGAGATGAGGTCTCTGTGTTGCCCAGTCTGGTCTTGACCTCCTGGGCTCAAGTGATCCTCCTGCCTAGGCCTCCTAAAGTGTTGGGATTACAGGTGTTAGCCACATGCCCCACCAATATTGAAGGATTATTAACAAAACAAAACCAATAGCAAACCTATGCTGATTTAGCAAGTGAGTAATGGTATCCAGTTTCTTTTTTTTTTTTTTTTTTTTTTGGTGGAGTCTCACTCTGTTGCCCAGGCTGGAGTGCAGTGGCGTGATCTCGGATCACTGCAAGCTCCGCCTCCCGGGTTCACGCCATTCTCCTGCCTCAGCCTCCCGAGTAGCTGGGACTACAGGCACCTGCCACCATGCCTGGCTAATTTTTTGTATTTTTAGTAGAGATGAAGTTTCACTGTGTTAGCCAGGATGATCTTGATCTCCTAACTTCATGATCTGCCTGCCTCGGCCTCCCAAAGTGCTGGGATTACAGACGTGAGCCACCGTGCCTGGCCCAGTTTCTTTGAACACTAGTGAAATGAATCATTTTTTATATGTTCATTAGGCTTATGTTGTGGGTGTATTTTATCATTTGCCTTTTCACTTAGTTCATAATTGTTTTTATTATTTTTTTTTTTTGAGACATATTCTCACACTGTCACCAACGCTGGAGTGCAGTGGCTCAATCTTGGCTCACTGCAGCCTCTGCCTCCCAGGTTCAAGTGAACCTCCTGCCTCAGCCTCCCAAATAGCTGGGATTACAGGCGCCTGCCACCATGCCCAGCTAATTTTTGTGTTTTTGGTAGAGACGGGGTTTCACCGTGTTGCCTAGGCTGGTCATGAACTCCTGGGCTCAAGCAATCCACCCGCCTCAGCCTCCCAAAGTGCTAGGATTACAGGAATGAGCCACCGCACCTGGCCATTTTCTTTTATAATATTGTCTTGCTTTTATGATGGCCCAAAAACCTAAACAAAGGAGGCTTTAGTGCCACTGCTCTCTGCATTGGTTAAAACAGATCTTGATTACTGAATTCATTTTTGTAACTGCAAGATCACCACCACCACCAGTAATAATGGTAAAACGATTATGATGATTACGATAGCAGTGGCAGCACAGGAATAATTAATAGGTGTCATTTATTGGGCATTTATCATGTACCAAGCATGGCTAAGCTTACGTGAATTATCTCATTCAATCCTTATAGCAATCCTTTGAATCCCACTTTTACAAATGAGGAAATTGAGGCTTAGAATAATTTACCAAAGGTTACACAAATGCTAAGTGGCCGAGCTGGGGTTTAGATCTTAATTCATCTTGCCCGAAACCTGTGCTTTTAACGCTCAGTGAGAGATCTCAAAACTGGGTTATATGAAGAATGATGGTAGGATTTTGGGAGAAGTAGAGGGCTATTATGACCTGGATTTAAATTCCAGTTCTGCCACTTGTTAGCTTGTGACATTGAGAAAGTTACTGAACTTCTCCGAATCAGTTTGCTATTCAGTAGTGTGGAGCCTTTCTTTACAGGATTATTGTGAGAATCGAGTTAGATTATATGAGTAAACCACAAAACACAGTACCTTGCACATAGTTGCTACTCTGTAACTAGGATTTATTATGCCAGCAATCTTGAAAGTTTGTCATGTGGACTTACATCACAGGTCAGAACTAGAATGAATTCAAAGAAGTTATAGGAAGGCAGATACGGTACTAGTAAAACTAAGAACTTTCTAACATTTTTGAAAAATGCAGTGGACTGTGTTGTAAGATAATGAGTTCCTTGTCAGGAAGGGATTGGGCGAGTGACCACTTATTAGGAATACTATAGAGAAGATTCTGATTTGTTCAGAAGTTTAGAAGATATGAAATGTGGTTTTAGCTCTTAAAGATTAATGATTCTGTGTACATCTCAGTGGCTCTTTTTGGTTGTATTCAAGAAAACCTATCACTGTGACTACCTACAACAAGAAAGGATTCATAGAAACCCAAAGTCCTTGATTAGTGCTAGGCATGATGGGGGGAGCCACCTATGTTTCCACTGTTAATGTAGAAGTAAAAGTGTAAAAGGAATTTAGTTGTTAGTTTACAAGTGGCTGTTGTGTACCTAGCAGGTTAATAAAAAGGTTTGTAATGAAAAAAATTAACCTTTGCAGGGTAATTGATTAATTAGAGAAGGATCTACAATTAAACCAATACAGTGACAATCAGATGTTTATGGAGCAAACATAACTGAAGACCCCTACTTACTTCTTCATGACCATTTTGGATATATGTACGCCCTTGTGTTAGGAATCGGAATGGTTGTAACTTCAGGTTCTTGAGACAGTGCTTCTTGGCTGGATCCTGTGGATTTCCTAAGATAGGAAATCTTTACTCTCACAGGTGGCAGAGTTTGTGGATGAGCGGCCAGAAGAGGTAAAGCAGATGGAGGCCTTTCGTTCCAGTGCCAAATGGAAGCTTCTGGGAGGTGAGTTCCAACAATAGATAAATCTAAATTTCCATTAGTAGGGGAGATCTTTTTTCCTTTTCTATACTTTTCTTTAGAGGAATGCATAGTTTGTTTTAGCATGTCATTGATCCTGAAAAATAAAGCAGGAAAAAGGAAGTTGGACTTCTTCAGAGGTAGTAAGACATAGGAACTTATAGACCAGATATTCCTCTTTCTCTTATATTTTGGCATTAGGATTACTGAGGTTGGTGACTAATTTGGAGGCCTTTGAGCACCCATTCCTCTTTGACTCAGAATAGGAGAGCACTTGGTGTATAGGCAAGACTTTGGGAGGAGTTTACAAGAAACAGGAGCAGAATTTGGGGACTTTAGCTACCACTATCCTCTTCCACAATGAAGCAACTCATTTCTGGGGGGTCAAGGACCAGTGTATTTTGTTCTGTTTGTGTTAGTAAATTTCTCTCTTCTTTCCTTAAGTATTGGTGTTTTATAGTGCATTACCCTCCACTTGCCCACTTTGGACTCTTCCTAAGCTAATAATCTTAATTTAACTCTCTTTAAAAAAATTTGAGTCCTTGAGAATTGGATAAAAAGCATTTGTTTGTCACATCTGTTTGAGCATAGACTAGTCTTATTTGCCATGATATTCCCCTATCTAGCACAAGGAGCTACCTTTAATAAATATTTGTAGAATTGTTTAATTGCTAGTAGGTATTTGATTTTTGTAGCCTAATCAGAATTCTTTTCCAAAGAGAATCTTTTGGTCTCCATGTCTGTTTGTCTAGGAAGACACACAGACACACACATACACACGGTGCCTTTTCTTGTGTATCTGAATGTTTAGAAGGTCAGTCACACACACACACAGTCACACTCACACTCACTCACTCCTTTTCTTCTGCCTTGCTTTCACTCCCCCATCCCAATTTGTTATTGGAAGTACGCTTACCAATCTCTGACCCTTGCTTCCTTCAGATTTACTGTTAGGCCCCCCACAGACATCATACTTTTCTCTGTGGAGTGGATTCCAATCAGATAGGGCTGTTCCCCAAAGTAAAGGAGTTGACTTGGTTTAATTCATCCATTTAACAAGTATTCATCAGTTCCTACCCAGCTTTTATTTGTATTTGGGCTGTGGAGCTCAATGACAAGAAATAGAGGTAGAGGAAGAACTGGATTTTGAAACTGTTCCAGTTGCTATAGATATTTCATTCTGTGGTGCCTTTGAATATGGAAGGTCTCAAACTATGTATTTTAACTTTAAAGCTTTACATATTTTAAAGATTGCACATGGACTCTGGAGTCAAATAGAGCTGGATTTAAATATTCCTCTACCACTTATTAGCAATATGACTTTGGCAAGTTAATCTTTCTGAGTATCAACTTCCTCATCTATAAATGAAATGACAGTATTTATGTCCTAGGCTTGTTGTGAGAATTGAATCAGGTAATCTCTATGAAACACTGGCACACAGTAGGTGATTGGTAATTACTTGCTCCTTTCTTTTTTATGGTGATTTTTCCCCTCTCTAAGAAAGAGCACAGTGAAATGGATTAAATAGTTAACAGCATTTTATTTTGATATTCACCGTTTTAGTCAATTTACCTATTGAAAGAAGAGTGAGTACAAACTATAAAGTATCTAGGCAAAATATCAGTAGGAGCCACTAGCTGGGAACTCTGCACAAATGAGGTTTTAGAAAGAACATTGGACTGGGAGTTAGAAGACTTGGATTCTAGCCTGTGTCTTCATTTTAGGAGCTGTGACCTTAGGTAAGAAATCACTCAGCTCCTCAGCTGAAAACAGAGGCTGTGGCCTCTGTTTTCATGCTGTAATACAAGGGTACCTGCCCTGCTTACCTTAAAGGGTATAATATGAAAAATGTGCTGAAAATGCTTTGCAAATTTATGACTTGGTAGGCGGAGGGGTTATTCTTAAGATATTCATGAGTGGTGGTTTGCTGCCCCTAAGCAAGAAAACTGTGCAGGCCTTTTGGGCTTTCTGAGCAGTTCTGAGGTATGTGCTACTGGAGCATCTTTTGAAACTGGGTGTGGGGGTGGACAGAGGGACAGAGCATTTGTGGGAATCTGACTCTTTGTTATTTGTGTTTAGGCCACAACGAAGACCTACCCTCAAACAGACATTTTCGTCACGATACCCCGGATTCATCTCCTAGGAGGGTCCGTCATGGTACCCCAGATCCATCTCCTAGGAAGGACCGTCATGACACCCCGGATCCATCTCCTAGGAGGGCCCGTCATGACACCCCGGATCCTTCTCCCCTCAGAGGGGCTCGTCATGACTCAGACACATCTCCTCCCAGGAGGATCCGTCATGACTCCTCAGACACTTCACCCCCAAGGAGGGCCCGTCATGATTCTCCAGATCCTTCTCCCCCAAGGAGGCCTCAGCATAATTCTTCAGGTGCATCTCCTAGGAGAGTCCGTCATGATTCACCAGATCCCTCTCCTCCTAGGCGAGCCCGTCATGGTTCCTCAGATATCTCTTCCCCCAGAAGGGTCCATAACAACTCCCCTGACACATCTAGGAGGACTCTTGGCTCTTCAGACACACAGCAACTCAGAAGGGCCCGTCATGACTCCCCTGATTTGGCTCCTAATGTCACTTATTCCCTGCCCAGAACCAAAAGTGGTAAAGCCCCAGAAAGAGCCTCTAGCAAGACTTCTCCACATTGGAAGGAGTCAGGAGCCTCCCATTTGTCATTCCCAAAGAACAGCAAATATGAGTATGACCCTGACATCTCTCCTCCACGAAAAAAGCAAGCAAAATCCCATTTTGGAGACAAGAAGCAGCTTGATTCCAAAGGTGAGCATATGACTGTCCATGAGAGGGATGTATGTATCCCTGGGAGCTTTCTTTTGGCCGTTTAGTTGATTTATTAGGTATAAGAATGGAATTTCTTTGGGAAAGTTTTGAAAAGTGAGAGGCTGGGTTTGGGAGAGTTGAACAATTATGGTGGCAGGGAGGAAGGTTTTCATATGTCTTTTTATGTGCTCGCTCCACCCCATATAAAAGTACAATTTATTTGTTGCAGAAGCTTTGGAATGTACAGAAGTATATAAAGATAAAATGTGACACAAAATTCTGTCATTCAGAGGCAATTATTGTTAGTGTTGTGGCCAGGGTCATCTTAGTCTTTTTTGGTTTGCATTTTTTATATAGTTGAGCTCTGGCTGTGTAGAACATTTGTATTGCATGTGCAATCTTGCCTGCTGTCCTTTCTTAACGTAGTCTTCCTCAGGCCATAAAACATCTTTATGTTAGTATAATTTTTAATAGTGTTTAATTACAAATTTAACCATTTTCCTAATAATGAATGTTTTTGGTTATTTCTAAGTTTTTTCTTCTGTAATTCTATAATGAACATCCTTGTACATAAACTGTTGTCCCCATTTTGGATTATTTCCTTATCTACTTCTAGATAGATTTCCTCGAAATTCAACTACTTCTATATAAGTTTCCTAGAAAGCTGAGAAGTTGATGTACTGGGTCAGAAGATGTGGGCGTTTTAAAGACTGTCGATACATATTGCAGAATGCCCTTTGGGAGGTGACTTGTGATGCTTATACAGTCGCTAGAACTTAGGCCTGTGCAGTGAAATTTTTTACTCCCTCTTTTGTTCCTAGGAACTATTTTAATTTTAAAATTAAAGTACTTTGTTATCCTTTAGTCCAAGGATATCAGACTATATTCCAGGTATTTCTGACTTTTGCCACACTATGGAGAGCTGACTACAAGTTATTTTGTCTTTCCATGGGTGGGGTTACTGACATAGAGGAGTGTGTGGAGATTTTACACACCAGTTACAGTCAGTGGTCACTTGGGAATAGAATGCCATATTCTACCTGTTGGTCTTAAAAGTTGTTTCTGACTTTGCTCTTCTCCTGTGCCATCCATACTTATGTTTAGGTTAATGATAATTCTTCATAGGAAAACTAAATAAATATTGTACATTAGCTTGGTAAGTTATCTTTTTAGATTCTTCCAAGGGGATTAAAGAACTCTTTGGCCAGGCATGGTGGCTCAAGCCTATAATCCCAGCACTTTGGAGGCCGAGGTGGGCAGATCACCTCAGGTCAGGAGTTCAAGACCAGCCTGGCCAACATAGCGAAACCCCATCTCTACTAAAAACACAAAAATTAGCTGGGCGTGGTGGCACACACCTGTAATTCCAGCTACTTGGGAGGCTGAGGCACAATAATTGCTTGAACCCAGGAGGCGGAGGTTGCAGTGAGCTGAGATCATGCCACTGCACTCCAGCCTGAGACTGTCTCAAAAAAAAAAAAATAATAATAATGTAAGGAATTCTTTAATTTCTAGGTTCTTCTCCCAGCCATAGGAGATTTCATGTAAGTTCTTCACCTAGAGGACATCAGAGTCACACAGATTCTTTGCTCCTATCCAGGTGACTGCCAGAAAGCAACTGATTCAGACCTTTCTTCTCCACGGCATAAACAAAGTCCAGGGCACCAGGATTCTGATTCAGATCTGTCACCTCCACGGAATAGACCTAGACACCGGAGCTCTGATTCTGACCTCTCTCCACCAAGGAGGAGACAGAGGACCAAATCTTCTGATTCTGACCTGTCCCCGCCTCGAAGGAGTCAGCCTCCTGGAAAGAAGGTCAGGATTTTCAGGAGCCATGTCCTTCTTTTCGTGTGACTCTTCTCTCTCAGCTTTATATATGTCCCAGAGAATCAAGCCAAGAAGAAGGATGTAGCTCTGAGAAGTGTAGTAAATCTTAGTTAAAAGGACCTTTGGAGGTCTTTCCTTCTGAAGGCAAACTGGCTATAACCCATCCCAGATGGACTTACAGATACCAGATTTCCCAAGTAGCTTCTGCGTTTATAGCCTCTTAATTCTACAATCTCATTTTAACAGGTCTAGAAAAACTTCCTATTTTCTTAGGAATAAACCGAGGACTGTAATTTGCAGAGTGAAGTTTGGAGCACAAGCATTGTGTCAAACGGATCACATACAGAAATTCTCCTTCTGCCACTTACTGTCTGTGAGATTTGGGCAAGATGCTTAATATCTCTAAACCTCAGTTTCTTTATCTGTAAATTGTGGATAATAGTAGTACCTACTGTGTAAGGTTGTTATGATAATTAAGCCAGTGTAAGTAAAACTCTTAGCACAGTGTCTGGGACAAAGTAAGCATCTAGTGTTAGTGATTTACTAGTATAAATTGGACTATAGGTCTCTGTATCCAGAGCTTAAGGAGAGGCACTTAAAATATGAAACCACTTTTAGAAATCATGTTGTCTGAGAAGTCAATGGTTTGTTTTAAATTCATGATAAGGCTTGATGAATTAGCCAAAAAACCCCAAAATCCATATGAACCTTGAGTAATTATATTGTAAAGAACATTGGTAGTAGTAAAGGAATCTTATTTGTAAGTGGTTAAGAAACAGAATGATAGAGCCTGTGATGTGCATTTTTCTCCCCAGTGCAGACTTATCAGGTAAATCTTGTCTGTAGAAGACTCTGAGAAGACTGGTCCTGGCAGGGTAGACCAGCCTGTTCTTTACCCAGGAAGTGAGATTCTTCTTTTTTAGGGAAAAAAGAGGTCTCTGTTTCAGCTGGACCTCTTGGCATTTTATATATCCATTTAGTTCATGGACAACTTAATATTATTCCAATTTCGTTGCTGAAGGATATCAAGATATACTGTGTGCTTCATTCGTGGGCTGATTTGCTATCTTGATGCTAAGTGGAAATTAGCAAAAAGTTTTCATTTGTTAGATCTTCTGTTATTACCATGAAATATATCCACAATTTAAGGATCTTAGGTTTGCTTGAGTTTGTACTGTAAATGGAATATTTTATCAGTATGGGTCTCTAATGGAAGGCTTAGTGCTTTATACTGGTTTCTGATCAGATGACCTGAGATAGTCTTCATGTGTGCAGTTTATATACTGAAAAGTCAGAAATACAAATGCGTAGCCCTCCATTTAATATATTGTTAGTGTTTCTGCTTATTCTTAAACTTGATGGTTTTGATGATGGTTTTCTTTTATAGTTTTTGAATCCTATGGTAATTATTGAGAATATAAAGCTAGAGTTTTAGGTTTAATTATTGCTGGTCATTAGACACAAATGCAACTAACTGTGTACCCATGGAGCCTACTGTCACATCATCTCATTAATGTTGGATGCTCCCTTTTCCGTTGCATAGGCTGCACACATGTATTCTGGGGCTAAAACTGGGTTGGTGTTAACTGACATACAGCGAGAACAGCAGGAGCTCAAGGAACAGGATCAAGAAACCATGGCATTTGAAGGTAAAAATATGAAAGTGCAGAGACCAATTTAGGCTCATACTGTTTTTTTTTTTTTAATTTAGCTTATTGTACCTGATATTTTGAACTTTTAATTGCTATCAAATTTCAGCTCTGGTTTTATGCATTGTTGTAATTTCTCAGTGAATCCCAGTGCTTCTTTCCTTCTTGAAAAATGCCATTTCGCCCAGGCGCGGTGGCTCATGCTTGTAATCCCAGCACTTTGGTAGGCCGAGGCGGGTGGATCAGCTGAGGTCTGTAGTTCAAGACCAGCCTGGCTAACATGATGAAACCCTGTCTCTACCAAAAATACAAAAAAAAACTAGCCAGGCATGGTGTTGCATGCCTGTAATCCCAGCTACTCAGGAGGCTGAGACAGGAGAATCGCTTGAACCTGGGAGGTGGAGGTTGCAGTGAGCCAAGATCGCGCCACTGCACTCCAACCTGGGCAACAGAGTGAGACTCCATCTCAAAAAAAAAAAAAAAAAAAAAAGGAAAATGCCATTTCTTGGGCCCAGTGCCAATATGCACCAAGATGTTGGTAGGAACTACTTTGGTCTGGCTGCAGAAGTTCTTATCTAGCATTAGAATCCCAAGCGGTTGATTTGATCTCTTAGAATGTTATTTCTGATTTTGATCCTGATATTTGAGTATAATTTTCCTTTGCAGCTGAATTTCAATATGCTGAAACCGTATTTCGAGATAAGTCTGGTCGTAAGAGGAATTTGAAACTCGAACGTTTAGAGCAAAGGAGGAAAGCAGAAAAGGACTCAGAGAGAGATGAGCTGTATGCCCAGTGGGGAAAAGGGTAAGGGAACCACTGAAAGGGTAAACAAGATGGCAGTGACTGGAACAAGTCATTTCTCTGCTCTTCTGATCACTCACTTTCTTATTATGCCTTCAGAGCTGTTATCAGTAATGGGAAATTTGGTGTGCTGAATCTTCTTCCTAGGATATTGATATATTCCACGCTTCTAGTGGGTATTCTGGGAATTTTACCCTGCTCAGTATTTGCCCTAGGGTACTAGAAAGAGGAGATTGTCCAAACTTAGCAGTATGGTCCATCTCGTGTAGAAGTGGAAATGTCATACAGGATAGCAAACACTCTTGGTTCCTTTTTGCCCAGGCTTGCCCAGAGCCGGCAACAGCAACAAAATGTGGAGGATGCAATGAAAGAGATGCAAAAGCCTCTGGCCCGCTATATTGATGACGAAGATCTGGATAGGATGCTAAGAGAACAGGAAAGAGAGGGGGACCCTATGGCCAACTTCATCAAGAAGAATAAGGCCAAGGAGAACAAGAATAAAAAAGGTGGGACTTCTGGGAATCATCAGCTGGAGGTGACTTGTGAAGAGAGAATCATTAGGATGCTGATACATAGCTATATGCAAAGAAGGATTTCCCAAATAATTTAAATTCATTGTATTTGTGAGTTTAGATTCAACTCAATTGGTCTTTCTATATAAAAATTTTTCCAGGCCAGGCGCAGTGGCTCATGTTTGTAATCCTAGCACTTCGGGAGGCCGAGGTGGGTGGATCACCTTAGAGTTCGAGACCAGCCTGGCCAACATGGTGAAACCCCATCTCTACTAAAAATACAAAAAAAAAAAAAAAATAGCCGGTCATGGTGGTGCACGCCTGTAATCCCGGCTAGTTGGGAGGCTAAGGCACGAGAATTGCTTGAACCCAGGAGGCAGAGGTTGCAGTGAGCTGAGATCGTGCCACTGTACTCCAGCCTGGGCAACAGAGTGAGACTCTACTAAAAAAAAAGGAAAATTCCACATTGCCATCCAGCTCTGAATTAAACTATGTCATTAACTGAATACTTTTTTCTTACTCCTCTCATTAGTGAGACCTCGCTACAGTGGTCCAGCACCTCCTCCCAACAGATTTAATATCTGGCCTGGATATCGCTGGGACGGAGTGGACAGGTAAGCCTGGGTATTTCTTACATTTTCTACCTGACTGTAACCTTCCCTAACCACTCGTAAGTTGCTCCACACTTTATTTCATTCTCTGCTTTAATCACAAGGTGAAAAATATGCACTTTGCTTGCTTCTTTTTCTGAGGTCCACAAATCCTATTTCTCATGCTTGGAACACTCCTCCTTCTGTTTCCTTTTCATAATACTTTTTAAAGCTCTGGACAAACACCTCAGGTGGTTCAGATAAGACACCCTTTGTTTTGGACATTGGTTACTTTTAATGATATTTTGTAAGGTTTAGAGGGGTTGAGTGATGAGTTGTAGTCTGGAGCCTTCTACCTGATATATCTTTAAAATGTAGCCTCTGAATCTTTATTCACTTTATGGTTTTAGGAGGCAGTCACTTTTAATGTCTTCCAGTCCTCTACCCCACCTCATCTGTCTACCTACCAACATCTGTACCCACGTACTCTAACTTCCTGTTATGATGGATGAATATTTGCTTCCATCCAAAGTCAGTTTGTATACTCACATATTAGATCCCATCTCCTCTTGCCTACTAAAGGACATTGTTTTAGTATCTAGCACAATAATTCTTAAACTTTTTAATCTCAGGACCCTTTTACAGTCTTTTTTTTTTTGAGATGGAGCCTCGCCCTGTCGCCCAGGCTGGAGTGCAGTGGCGCAGTCTCGGCTCACT
Source organism: Homo sapiens (assembly GCF_000001405.40). Taxonomy (NCBI): domain Eukaryota; kingdom Metazoa; phylum Chordata; class Mammalia; order Primates; family Hominidae; genus Homo; species Homo sapiens. Next base: position 116,756,452 of record NC_000011.10, on the reverse strand, counting down.
GCAACCTCTGCCTCCTGGGTTCAAGCGATTCTCCTGCCCTAGCCTCCCGAGTAGCTGGGATTACCGGCGCCCGCTGCCACACCCAGCTAATTTTTTGTATCTTTAATAGAGACGGAGTTTCACCATGTTGCCAGGCTGGTCTCAAACTCCTGACCTCAGGTGACCCGCCCACTTCAGCCTCCCAAAGTGCTGGTATTACAGGCTTACAGGATTACAGGATTACAGGTGAGCCACCATGCCCAACCACTCTTATTTTTTTTTGAGGCAGAGTCTTGCTCTGTTGCTCAGGCTGGAGTGCAGTGGTGCAATCTCCACTTCCCGGGTTCAAGCAATTCTCATGCTTCAGTGGCCTGAGTAGCTGGGATTACAGGCATGTGTCACCATATCCAGCTAATTTTTGCATTTTTAGTAGAGACGAGGTTTTGCCACATTGACCAGGCTGGTCTTGAATTCTTGGGCTCATATGATTGTCTGCCTCGATTTCCCAAAGTGCTGGGATTACACGCTTGAGCCACCGTGCCTGGCCTACGCTCTTAAAAATTACTGATGACCTCAAAAAGCTTTTGTTGATGTGGATTATATATATTGATATTTACCATATTATAAATTAAAACTCAGACATTTAAAAAGTATTTATTCATTCAAAAAAAAATAAACTAATTATGTTAACATAATTACTGTATATTTAAATGAAAAATAATTACATTTTCCAAGTGAAAAAACAGAAGGATGGCATTGATTTACATTTTTGCAAATCTCATTAATGTCTGACTTAATAATAGGTAACTTGACTCTGTATTTGTCTGTTGTGATTTGTTCAGTTGAAGTATAGAAAGAAAATTTAGCCTCACACATAGGTAGTTAGAAAGAGAAGGCATATTATATTTCTTAATGTTACACAAAAACTCAACAAGTGCTGGTTTCTTAAAGGTGAGCTATGTGGAACCTGAAACCAGATCAAAGAACTTTCCTTACTGTTATATTAATTTTTTTAATACTTTGAGTGGATCTTTTACCCATGCATGATTTTATAACATCATGCATTGGTCATTTGTAAAATATTGGTTTGCTGAGTTGTTCAGACCTTCCAAATGTTGACATATTTCCACTATACAATATCAGAAAATCACTTTTGTTAACATCACTTCCGGTCTTATCACAAAACTCTTTAAATAATGGGAAGTTAAAGAGTTCACAGTTTTTCAGAATTCTAATTTACACTTGAAAGTTTAAATGTTATCACTGGCATTTCCATTGCTTGAGCTATTTCCATTTAATAGCTTAATTTCTCTGCTGAGATTTCCCATCTGTTCATTATGAGATATTTTCCTCTTCTTGAAAATATTTGTGATATGTAATTGGTGCTTTGAAGTCCTTCCTGTCTGTTAATTGCAACATTGGATTCACCACAGGATTGGTTTCTATATTGGCAGCTTTTTCTTCAGTGTGTATTACATTTTCCTGTTTATTTACCTGTCTGGTCACTTTTTTAAATTGTTACTGGACATCATGAATGATATACTGTAGAGACTTTGAGTTCTGTTACACTGTATTGTCAGTTGTTTTCCTTCAGGTAAAGCTCACTTTGTACAATAGCTTTTTATAGATTCCATCAGATTTTGTACCTAGAGGGTCTTCCATCTTTGCATACAGTTTAATTTCTTACTTTACAATCTAGATGCTTTTTGTTTCTTTTCCTTGCCCTGTTGCATTAGCTAGCACTTCAGTGCAGATGTTGAATAGAAGTAGTGAGAGCAGACATCTTTGCTTTGTTCCTAATCTCAGGAAGAAAACATTTAGTTTTTACAACACATTTATTAAATGTGTTGTAGCTGTATAGGTTTTTTGTAGATATCCTTTATGGAGTTAAAGTTCCCTTCTATTCCTGTTTTGCTGAGAGTTTTGTTTTCAGGAATGTATGTTGGATTTTGTTCAAAATATTTTCTAATTATCCTTTTGGTTTATTCTTTGCTCCATGGGTTATTTAGGAGTGCATTAATTCCAAATATTTGGACTTTTCTAGATATCTTACTGCTATTTACTTATAATTTAATTCCATTTTGGTCAGATAATATACTGTAATATTTTGATCTTTTGAAATTTGTTGGCCAGGCACAGTGGCTCATGCCTGTAATCCCAACATTTTGGGAGCCCAAGGCAGACGGATTGCTTGAGCCTAGGAGTTTGAGACCAGCCTGGGCAACATGGCAAAACCCTGTCTCTACAAAAAAATACAAAAATTAGTCGGGCATGGTGGCACACGCCTATAGTCCCAGCTACTGTGGAGGCTGAGGTGGGAGGATCACTGAGCCCAGGGAGGTCGAGGCTGCAATGTGCTGTGATTGCACCACTGCACTCCAGCCTGGATGACAGAGTGAGACCATGTATCAAAAAACAATAATAAAAATGAAATTTGTTAAGGTGTGTTTTATGGCCCAGTGGATAGTCTATCTTCTGAATGTTTCCTTTGCACTTGAAGAGAACGTATATTCTGTAGCTATATAAGGTAGTGTTTTATAAAAGTCAGTGAGGTCAAGGTGTTTAGATCTTAGATCGCCTGTATTCTGGGTTTTTTGTGTTTGTATTTTTCTATCAGTTACTATCAATTGTGGATTTTTTGTTTTAGCTGGTTTATTTTGTTTTTCAACTCTAAAATTTCCATTTAATAGCTTACATTTCTCTGCTGAGATTTCCCATCTGTTCATTATGAGACATTTTCCTCTTCTTGAAAATATTTATGATATGTAATTAGTGCTTTGAAGTCCTGTCTGCTAATTGCAACATTGGATTCACCACAGGATTGGTTTCTATTGACAGCTTTTTCTTCAGTGTGTATTACATTTTCCTGTTTATTTACCTGTCTGGTCACTTTTTAAAATTGTTACTACGCATCATGAATGATACACTGTAGAGACTTTGAGTTCTGTTACACTGTATTCCTCTTAAGTGTGTTAGTTTTTATTCTAGCAGGTAGTTAACATAGCTGAACTCCAAACTGTCTCCTTTGCAGTGGACGGCAGCTACAATCTTTGCTCAGTTCTTTTAGTTTCTAGCTGCCATTTTTTTAATTGGCCTGATGGTATTTTCTCTGCACATGTGTCATTTAACAGTTAGCCAAGGATTTGACTAGGGTTTGTATGTAGATTTTGAGGTTCATCTCTTTTGTAGTTCCTTCTCTTCCAAGATTTCCCCCCTAATTTCCTAGCTGTTCTGCCCACTTTGCACTAATTCCTCAAGCCAGTAAGCCTGTGGCTTTCTGCCTTCATGAGCCATGCTGTTTGGGAAGTTGCCCTCCAGCAAATCTCTTTTCACATATAGACTTCATCCAGTTCATACTTACTTTTGGTCACTCTTCCACACCTTCAAATACCTATTTTTTTTGTTTTGTCTAGGTTTTATAGTTGCTAACTGAGGATAGGTTAGTCTGTTCGGGTTACTCTGCAATGTCTAGAATCTGTCTCCCCACCTTATATGGGCCTAAGGCGTTGTCTTCTGTCCCTCGGGGTGCCGTCAAAATCCAACAGCCAGGTGTGGTGGCGTGTGTCTGTAGTACCAGCTATTTGGGAGGCTGAGGCAGGAAGATCGCTTGAACCCAGGAGTTTAAGTCCAGGCTAGGCAACATAGTGAGACCCCAACTCCAGAATAAAAAAATTTAAGGCTCTTCTTTCTGATATTGGCAGATATCTATAAGTTGACTGTAGTTCCTCATCTTGGCAGATATCTTTAGGGTAGCTGTGGTTACAGGCTAGCTTACTAGTTCCGTTTGCAGTTCACTGTATGTAGGCTTTTTGGTAGAAGGAGGATTTTTCAGAACACTCATTTGCCATACATACAGCCAGAAGTAGATCTTTTTATAGCACAACCCTACAGATGTTCCCTGCTACCGAGTTTTTGTTTTTTGTTTTTTAATTTTTGGACCCAAAACTTAGAATTCTCCCTGACCTAGTTTTTTTTTACTAGTATTTAATTTGTCTTCATTTTTCTCAGTTGCTTTTTTCCACTTCTTGTTCTGATTTTATCCTAGATTTCTTCTCTTATTTCCCTTTGTCACCCTTGCTTTCTTTTTGTTATTCATCTTTCATCATCTTTTCTAGTTTTGTCTCTTTTCGGCCTGCTGCAAGGGAATATTTCCGGAACAGATATATAGTATCTGTTGGAAAAACCCATAAGATAATTACCCAGCCTCTCTTAATTGAAAGAGAAACGGGGCCGGGTGCGGTGGCTCATGCCTATAATCTCAGCACTTTGGGAGGCCGAGGCGGGCAGATCACGAGGTCAGGAGATTGAGACCATCCTGGCTAACATGGTGAAACCTCGTCTCTACTAAAAAAAATACAAAAAATTAGCTGGGCGTGGTGGCGGGCGCCTGTAGTCCCAGCTGCTCGGAAGGCTGAGGCAGGAGAATGGCGTGAACCCGGGAAGCGGAGCTTGCAGTGAGCCGAGATCGTGCCACTGCACTCCAGCCTGGGCAACAGAGCAAGACTCCGTCTCAAAAAAAAGAGAAACTGAGGCCCAATAAATAAGCAGTTTGCCTAGAGTCATGCAATTTCCCTGAGAAAGCTGGAATTAGAACTCTGCGTTCCTGATTCTCTGGTCCAAAGCTCTTTCCACTGTGAGTTCTCCTGCAATTTGTTTTCTGATTCTGCTTAGGATTTGGTGTTTGTTATTCATATGTCCTTTGTATTATCATATTAGTGTAACTCTCTTAAGACCTTATTTCCAAGGTAAAAAACAGTGGTTTCCTTGGTGCTTTGGAATACCATCCATGCTTCTAAGGTTGGAGAGGATGCCATTTATAATAAGCTTCCCTTCTTTTTTTTTTGAGACGGAATTTCGCTCTTGTTGCTCAGGCTGGAGTGCAAAATGGCACGATCTTGGCTCACTGGAACCTCCGCCTCCTAGGTTCAAGCAATTCTCTTGCCTCAGCCTCCCGAGTAGCTGGGATTACAGGCGTGAGCACCACGCCCAGCTAATTTTTGTATTTTTAGTAGAGACAGGGTTTCACCATGTTGGCCAGGCTGGTCTCGAACTTCTCATCTCAGGTGATTCACCTGCCTCGGCCTCCCAAAGTGCTGGGATTACAGGCGTGAGCCACCATGTCCGGCCAAGCTTCCCTTCTTAAAGCCCTCTGTTACTCACTCCACTCATCCCTTAAGGGAAAGTCTTAGCATACATGTTATAAGTGTAAGCAGCTAGGTAGTAGGTACTAGGGATTCCATGATTAAAGAGAGATAGCCCCTGAGCCCAGGAGCTCACTTTCAATCTAGAATAGAAGACAGACAGTTTCAACGCTGTTTGGTTAGTGTTACTATAGAAGATTTTCAAGATGTTTTGGGAGCACAAAGGAAGAGTAAGTTGAGCCTTAGGAGGATGTGAGTGATCAGGAAGTGCTTCCTAACGGATGAAATGTGGGAGCTGAGTTTTAAGGGATGTTGGTAACCAGCCAAGATAAGAAGGAAAGGAAGGATATTAAAGGAAGAGGGTCCTATATGTGCAGAGTCATAAGGCTATGAGACACCATGGTGTTACCAGGTGGTGGGGGTCCCTAAGTAATTTGCTGTTGTTGGATAGCATAAAGCGTGAGATGGATGAGAGAGGTTGGCAGACCGTGATCACAGAAGGCCCTGGAAGCCTATCTGAGGAGCTTGGTCTTCACCCTAGAGGTAAAGGGGAGACACGGAAGGATTAAAAACAGCTCTGCATTTTAGATAGACAAATCCATTATAGCAGTAATATGAAGGATTTGAAAGGTACAAGATTGGAAGTAGAACAGATACAAGGCTTTTGCAGTAGCTCAGGCTGAAAGTAATGAGTGTCTGAACTACGACTTGCAGGCAGTGGTAGTAAGGATGGTTAGTAAGAGAATAGGAAGTGGGGATGTGGTCAGGGGTGAGCTGGTGGGACCTGTTTGCTGATTTGGGGAAGAGGAAGGAGGAGTCATTGGATTTGGCAACAAGGAATGTCAGTGATGACCTGAAAGGGCTAGTTCCGTTGTGTAGTGAAACAATGGCCAGGTTCTAATGTATTAAGGAGTGAATGAAAAGTGAGGAAACAAATAGTGAATACAGGCTTTTTAAGAAGTTTAGATAAGAAGACCAAGAGAATGCATGGTAATTAAAGGGATTTGAGGTCCACTCACTACCTCCTTGAAATTCACCCCTGTATTGTTTTCCATGACACCCTACTCCTGGTTCTTTTCTCTGATCATTCTTGGCCACCTTTGCAAACTCCTCTTCCTCTGTGCACCTCTTAAGTCTTTCCCAGGGCTCCATCCATAATTTTTAGCTGTTCTCACTCTATGTGCTCCCTCTGGCTGATTCTTACCTAGTCATGTTTTCAACTATGACCTATATGTACATGATTTCCAAATCAGTATTTGCATCTTGGTCTGGTGTATTTAGCTGTTTGTTGGATTTCTCTATTGATTTAGACTTGAGAGATTTCAAATGCATTGTATTCAAAGCTGAACTCATCAGCTTCTACTGTAAGCCTGCTCCTACTCTTGTGCTCTCTAACTTGCCTCCTCCTTCTTTGTCCTTGTGTACCTAATCAATTAGTGCTGCTAATTAGTCTTACTAATTTTGCCTCCTGTGTCTTCTCTCTTCCGTCCCTCTTTATCATTGCCTTCATCATCTGTTGCCTGGACCATTGCAGTGATTTTCCTGCCCCAGATCCCCTCCAGAGTGATCTCTTTGAAATGCAGTTTAAGTTCTTGCTTTAAACCCATCGTTTCTGGATGAAATCTAAGCTTTTTACCATGGCCTACGCAGCTCATTATGCATTGGCCTCTGCGCCTTTCCAACTTTGACTCATGGCTGTTCCCTTTGTCATACTTCAGGTTCCAGCCATACCAGTTTGCCTTTGGTTTGCTGCACATACCAGGCCACTTCTTATTTCCGTGCCTTTGTTCTTGTTGCTCATTCTGTTCTGAAATGACCTCCAGACCCTTTCTGGCCCTTCCATCCCCAGTGCTGTAGTTAACACAGAGCCTTTACTGATCATTCTTGCCCAACCCTCATGTCACCTTTTTATCATACCTCCCCCAAGCTGATTAAGATACCCATTCTGTTTCCATGACACCCCATGCGTATTTCTACCAGAGTTTATGCTGTTCTTTTAATTTATTTGTTTAAATGTCTCTCTCTTCCACTAGTCTGGGAGTTCATCAGGACAGGTGCTGTGTCATACTCATTTTCATGTAGTGTCTACCATGGTACCTAGTATATAATGAAAATTCAATAAATGTTTGTGTAATGAATGGATAAAATATAAGATGTGGACATCAGCTGAGAGAGAACCAGGCTTTTAGAGTGGCAAACGTTTGAAATAGCTGTCAGAGTGGGGGAAGGGTGTGAACAAGGACTAAGAAAAGGATGAATGATATATTTTGTCCCTTTGATTCTATTGCATATGCCTTAAATATTTTCTTTTCTTTTTTGTTTCTTTCTTTCTTTTTTTTTTTTTTTTTTTTTGAGACAGAGTCTCTGTCACCCAGGCTGGAGTGCAGTGGCACGATCTCCGCTCACTGCAACCTCTGCTGTCCAGGTTCAAGCGATTCTCCTGCGTCAGCCTCCCGAATAGCTGGATTACAGGCACCTGCCACTGCACCTGGCTAATTTTTGTATTGTTAGTAGAGACAGGGTTTCACCATATTAGGCAGGCTGGTCTTGAATGCCTGACCTCGTGATCTACCCGCCTTGGCCTCCCAAAGTGCTGGGATTACAGGCGTGAGCCGCCGTGCCCGGCCATGCCTAAAATATTTTCATATGACTCCTTACTTTCCCCCCTTTTCATTATATTGTGAACTCTTCCCTTTCTTTTGAAACAAATGCCCCTTTCAGGGTTCTAGCTGAATAGTATGTCTCTTTTGATTGCAGATCCAATGGATTTGAACAGAAGCGCTTTGCCAGGCTTGCCAGCAAGAAGGCAGTGGAGGAACTTGCCTACAAATGGAGTGTTGAGGATATGTAACTTTCCTGAGGCTGTGGGGGTGGCTGGGCTGTGGTAGTGGGCATAGGCAGCGAGATATCCAGTGGTAACAGTTGTCTGTGCTAATAATTGGAGCCCACACAGACCAGCAACTTGTTGAATGCCAGTTTTGACCACAGAAGAATATTCGAGACCTGATGTTTGGACTGAGGTACCTGTACTTCTTGGGTGTGACAGCACCGGCTGTTGCTGGCTTTCAGAGGAAGCATTGATTTCTCATTGACCAGGGTTTGTTCTTGGTAGGGTTTTTCTTTTTCTTTTTTAAATAAACATGTATTTATTTTTTTAAAATTATCTTCTTAACTGGGTATTCTGTTTTGGGAAGAATACAGGCTAATATTGAACCTGTGGGGATTTGGGGGGTGGTGGTTGAATTTTTCACTAATCTAGAAAGCAGTGTGAGTAAAAACTTTCTTAGTGATAGATCCTTCCTCTGAGAAAACAGGAATTAGTACTAAACTAGACTCAGGAATAGACACACAGATATTTGGAGACATGGTGTATGATAAAGATAGTGTCACAAGTTAGTAGGGAAGAGATGGATAATAGTGCTCAGAAAATTGGCTTATTATATGGACAAAAATAAAGTTGAACCCTCATACCATATAAAACAAAAATCCCAAAGTGATTAAAGACCTAAATGAAAGATAACGTGATATACAGCTAGTAGGAACAAATGGCAAATGTTTTTGTGCCTTGGGGTAAAGATAAATTTCTTAAATAAGATCCCAAAGCACAATGCATAAGATTTGATAGCTTTGATTACTTTGTAATTAAAGGTTTCTATTTAGCAAAGCATCCCATAGTCAAAGCTAAAGATGGATACGGATTAGGAGAAAATATTTGCAGTGTCTAAAACTGACAAGGATTGCATATACAAGGGATAGAATATAGAAAGAGCTTCTGCAAATCATGAAGAAAAAGACAGATGAAATAAAAATATGCAAAAATATGAATAGGTAAAATCTAAAGAGAAAACCAGAGTGGCTCATAAGTATATTACCTCACTAGTAATTACAGATACGCTAATTAAAACACTGAGTTTCTACCTTACATCTTAGTTTGGCAAAAATAAGCAAGAGACTGATCTGATGGGGAATCAGAACTCATGGAATATTTTCTCTTCTTTTCTTTTCTCTTTTCCTTTCTTTCTTTTTTTTTTTTTTTTTAAAAAGACAGAGTCTTACTCTGTCATCCAGGCTGGAGTGCAGTGGTGCCTCTGCCTCCCAGGTTCAAGCAATCCTCCCACCTCAGCCTCCTGAGTAGCCAGGACTGTAGGCATGCGCTACACAATTTTTGTTTTTTTAGTAGAGATGGGGTTTCACCATGTTGGCCAGGCTGATCTCGTACTCCTGACCTCAGGTGATCCGCCCGCCTTGTCCTCCCAAAGTGCTGGGGTTACAGGCATGAACCACTGTGCCCGGCTACATGGAATATTTCAGCTGGTGTATTCATTTTGGAGAACAAATGAATGAAACTTACTGAAATCAAGTAATACCTAGGGAGCGATATTGCAGTTTTTAATAGTGTGGCTCTGGAGCTATACTGCCTGAATTTGAATCCCAGCTATGTCGTTTGCTAGCTGTGTAACCTTTGGTAAGCCAGTTAACTTCTCTATGCCTTAGTTTTTTCGTCTGTGAAATAGACATAATAGTACCTACCTCATAGGTTTATTGTAAGCTTAGAACAATGCCTGGCACACAGTAGTGTCACAGAATTATTAGCTGTTATTATTATCATTGTCATCATTATCATCAAGTAGGGCAGCCAGCTTCCACGATGGCCCCTAATGATCTCTGCCCTCTGGTATATAAACCCTTGTATAGTCCCCTCCCACAATAAATAAGGTTGACCTGTGTAACCAATAGGATGTACTAGAAATGTGTGACTTACGAAGGTAGGTCATAAAAGGTATTAAAATATCTGCCTTGTGCTATCTTGGATCCTTGCTCTGGAGGATGCCAGCTTCCATATCATGAGGACACTCAAGCAGCCCTCTGGAGAGGCCCAGGTAGAGAAGCTCTGAGGCCTCTCACCAACAGCCAGCACCAAATTGCCTTCTGTAGGAGTGAATCACCTTGGAAGTGCATCCGCCAGCTCTACTCAAGCCCTCCCTCAGGCTTGCAGCCCTGATCGACCTCGTGAGAGATCCTGACCCAGAACATCCAGCTCCAGATTCTTGAACCAAAGAAACTCTGAGATAATAAATGTTTAGTATTTATTTATTTATTTGAGGTGGAGTCTTACTCTGTTTCCCAGGCTGGAGTGCAGTGGTGTGATCTTGGCTCACCACAACCTCTGCCTCCCGGGTTCAAGCAATTCTCCTGCCTCAGCCACCCGAGTAGCTGGGACTACAGGTGCCCATGCCCAGCTAATTTTTGTATTTTTAGTAGAGGTGGGGTTTCACTATGTTGGCCAGGCTGGTCTTGAACTCCTGACCTCGTGATCTGCCCACCTCGGCCTCCCAAAGTGCTGGGATTACAGGCATGAGCCACTGCGCCTGGCCATGTTTAGTATTTTTTAAAAACTGCTTTATTGAGATATAATTTACATACTACACAATTCACCCACTTAAGGTGTATGATTCAGTGGCTTGTAATATATCACAGAGTTATGCAACCATCACCACATTTAATTTTAAAACATTTTTATCATCTTGTGGGTACAAGAAACCTTGTACCCATTAGCAGTCACTCCCCACTTTCCCCTAACTTCTCCAGCCTTAGGCAAACACTAATCTACTTTCTGCCTGTATAGTTTGCCCGTTCTGGACTTTCATATATTAATAAGATATGAGTGAGACTGTCATATAATATTTGGCCTTTTGTGTCTGGCTTTTTGTGCTTAGCATAATGTTTTCAAGGTTCATCCATGTTGTAATATGTATCAGCCCTACATTCCTTTTTAAGGCTGAATAATATTCCCTTGTGCGGATATACCACATTTTATTTATGCATCATTTGATGGGCATTCGAGTTGTTTCCACTGTTTGGGTATTATGAATAATGCTGCTGTGAACAATTCATGTATAAGTTTTTGTATGGATGTATATTTTCTTTTTTATATTCCTAGGGGTGGATATATTCCTAGGAGTGAAATTGCTGGGTCATATGTAACTCCATGTTTAACTTTTTGAGGAACTGCCAAACTTATTCCAAAGAAATGTATGCGCGTTCCAATTTCTCCACATGCTTGCCAACACTTATTATTTGTCTTTTTGATTATAGCCATCCTGATGGGTGGGAGGTGGTATATCATTATGGTTTTGATTTGCATTTTCCTGGTGGCTAGTGATGTTGAGCATCTTTATATATCTTTTGGAGAAATCTTTATTCAAATCCTTTGCCCATTTTTCATTTGGGTTATTGGTTATATATACACATACACAGGCACTCTCTTACGTAAAGGGTTCTTTATATATATCTTGGTTATAAGTCCTTTACTAGATACATGATTTGCAAATACTTTTCTCATTCTATGGGTTGTTATTGTTTTAAGCTGCTCAAGCATTTAGGGAAGGAAGTTTGCATTTAGGGTAGGTAAGCAACAGCAGTTACAGTTATAACCATAACAATTGTTATACAGCAACAGATAACTAATACTTTATGTACATACTTCAAAGTAGTTCCACTCCTGGCTATATCCTTCGGAGAAATTTGCATAAATCCTTGAGGAGTAGATACAAGGATGTTTTTCTATGTATAGTTTGGGTGGCAAGAATTTGGAAAAAACTTAGATGTCCATCACTAAGGAAATTGATAAGTAAAATGTGGTATATGCATATAATGGAGTTTTTTTTTTAAGTCAAATGCAAGCTGTTAGGAATTTCGTGAAATGGTAGACTTCAAGTGAAAAAATAAGGAACAGTGAAATTTAAAGCAAAAATCAGCTATATAAACACATGAAGTGATATTATTTTATAAGGAGGATATACACCTTAATCAGTAGAATAGGTTTGTGGGAGGGAACAGAATGAGACTAGAATGGAGAATGAAGCGGGGAAAGGGAAGCAAAGAGGGCTTTGCATGGATGAAAGTGATCGTGTATCATGAACTCAGGCCTGTGATAACTCAGTTCTGTGCACCTGAAGCCCTAAGTGCAGCTCCAGAAGCAAGGTCTGGTTTCATGGAATTGACATTTAGTACCCATATTAGTTAGGGTAGACTAAACTGCTAAAGCAGACTCCAAATAGACATGTGTTTCCCCCCTGCTCACTCGTGTAACATGCAGGTCGTTTCAGGTTGAGAAAGTAGGAGTGAGATACTCTATGAAGTTGTTTAGGGATCAGGCTGATGCCAGCTTCACTATGGCTTCCAAGGTTGTGTTGGGCATTACCATTTTAGTGAGTTGAGCAGAACGTGAAGGATTGCTTGGCAGATGTTACCGGCTAGCTCTAGAAGCGGCACACACTTCTACTCATATTCTGTTGGTAAGAACCTAGTCACAAGGCTCCCTCTTAATGCAAAGGAGCCCGAGGCATATAATATGCATCAGGAAGAAGGGATAAATGGATGTTGTTGGACACATAACATATTATCTTTGCCACATTATATACTTCTCAGACTTGTAAAGAAAGGCTGTCCATCCCCCAGCCATTTGAGACATACATAGATTTTTAAATAGTTTTGAGACCTGAAAATCCCGAAGGGAGTATCAGTTGGGGTCACTACCAAGTTAGGGATGTCTCTTCCCTAACTCTGGCCAGTGATTGTCAGAGAAGGGCTTAGGTAGGGAGATAAAATGTAAACTGGAATTGTGTCGAGAATCAGCATTTATGAGATGGAAGTACTTTATTTATTTTTACAGCTCAGATCTTGCTGTGTTGCCCAGGCTGGAGTGCTATGGCATGCTTGAAACTTGTGGGCTGTGATCCTACTGTCTCGCCTTCCCAAGGTGGCAGAGGAGGCATTCAACTCCTAGCTCATTGTCACACCCCTTCTGCACAGCTAGGTTTTGTTTCTGTATGGGTTCGGGTTTTAACTTCATTTTTGTGGGACCCTCACGCTGTTTCTTAGGAACACCTCACTCTTAAGAGGCTCAGAGGCTTTAGAAATCTGAAATCACTTTTTTTCCCTTAACAAAGGAATGTATTATTTATTTATTTATTCATTTTTTATTTTTTTGAGACCGAGTCTCGCTCTGTCGCTTAGGCTGGAGTGCAGTGGCACGATCTCGGCTCACTGCGACCTCCACCTCCTGGGTTCAAGCAATTCTGCCTCAGTCTTCCGAGTAGCTGAGATTACAGGCATGCGCAGGAATGTATTATTTATTTTTAAGCAGAGATTAAGGTGTAGGGAAAGCAGTTAGATTCTGTTTCAGGTGAGCTCTATGTTTATTTAGTAGGCATTAGTGAACATTTAAAAACTCCACCCCCTCCAATTTCTCTGCCTGTAAGTGTGAGAACACAGCACATCTTGTAGGGCAGAGATCGCAAGCCTGTCCAGTCCCTAGCTGACTGTCATTTCCTAGGCTGTCTACTAGAGGGCAGTGTGATATGCCTTTTCTAGACTGGCGAAAGCGGAGCCCTGGGTCTATACACACTTAATAATAGTAGGCCTTAGATCTAGAACATAATCCTGTTTCCAATATGGAAAAGATTTTCAAGAGAGAGACCTAGTATTTAGGTTTTGACCAGAATCTCCCTTACTTGGGCTTTGGAAACCTTTCTCTACGTGGAAGATTTTTTTTTTCCTTTTAATCAAATCTCCTTTCTTGCGCCTCCTCCACTTTCAAGTTTAGACTTAAGAAGCCATGAGCAATGTGAAAAACCTCTGAATTGTACATTTTAAAAGGGTGAACTTTATGGTATGATAATTATATCTGAATTTAAAAATATTAAAACAGGCCGGGAATGGTAGTGCATTCCTGTAATTCCAGCTACTCAAGAGGTCAAGTGGGAGGATCACTTAAGCACAGGAGTTCAGGACCAGCCTGGACAATGAGACCCCATCTCAATGAAATAAATAAAATTTAAAAAATGTAAAAACAACAAAAAAGAAGAATCACTGAGCAGACACTCTGGCTCAGATAGAATATAATAGTAGTAATAGACGTAGTAATAGACTGGAATGACTCAGTCTCTCCTTTATCTCTCCTGAATGATTCAAACTTGATGGTGTTGATCTTGGCCTTATACAGCTTCACCCTTTCAGAAAACAAGGGCACGTGGGCGATCTTGGTGGTAGGTTGATACTCAGGCAGTACCTGTGAACCCACCCCCTTGGGAGGGGACAGAGAGCAGTCTGCTGAAAAAGGAGTCAGTCTTTCCCTCCGCATATCACATCCAGCGCCCTCTGTCAGCTAAGGAATTACAAAGTGTGTGACTTTATCCTGTCACACGTAAAAATGCAATCTCTAGTGCTTAGTAAACAGGGCCTGTTTTCTTTATTTTCCTTTTAGTAGGAGAGGAAGCAATTGTGCAGAGAGGTTAACTTGCTCAAAATCGCTCTGAGTTGGGAAAGAGTCAGAATTTAAACAACAGATTCCTCTCCCTGCAGTTGTCACCCCCACCTATCTTCACTCCAGTAGCAAGGTAAGAGGTGAGGGGGCAGTCCAAGGGACTGTTTCCTGTCCAGAGCAGTTCTTACCAGGGGTTCTCATAGCCTCTGCAAGGAGGTCCTAGTGTACTTGAAGCTGAGTTCCCCAGTCCTGGAAGAACTGCTTGCTGGTAGTTTCAGTTTGGAACTCGGCTTTGAAGATCCTAACCAAGTGTGTTAGAGGGGCACGTGCCCTTGACTCGTGTGTGTGTGTGTGTGTGTGTGTGTGTGTGTGTGTTTTGAGACAGTTTCATTCTGTCACCCAGGCTGGAGTACAGTGGCGCGATCTCAGCTCACTGTAACCTCTGCCTCCTGGGTTCAGGCAATTCTTCTGCCTCAGCCTCCCCAGTAGCTGGGATTACAGATGTGCGCCACCACACCCAGCTGATTTTTGTATTTTCAGTAGAGACCGGGTTTCACCATGTTGGTCAGGCTGGTCTCAAACTCCTGATCTCAGGTGATCCGCCCACCTTGCCTCCCAAAGTGTTGGGATTATAGGCGTGAGCCACTGCGCCTGGCCCCTTGTCTCTTTTTGCCAGGGGCTTGGGAGGTGGTAGACAAGACCTCTGGGAAGAGAGGAATGCCTGTCTGGGAAAAAAATTATTGTTTTAATTGCTCTCTTTCATTAAGTACTTACTGTGTGTCAAACGTGTATGTTCAGTGCGTACTTACATTACCTCTGTTGTCAGGGAGAGATCAGTCTGTGAATGGTTGTAGATTAGGGAGAGCCACATTTCTGGGTCTCCCAAGAAAAGGGGGGTTGGGATATCCCAGCAGGATAAACTCTTCCTTGTTTTCCCCCATACATCCTGAAGTTATAGGACCTTCATGCTGATTACTTGTTGACAGAGAGCTTGGGCACTTTACCCTGGTCACTGTGTCCCCATCAAATTTGACAGTGCTGTTGCCAGCCAGGATGGCCGTCTCCTGCTTTGGCCAGCTCAGCTCTTCATGCAGATTAAGTAGTGGGCTGCCAGCCGGGGGCAGTTTCCTTCTGCACATGCTGGATATGTTTGCTGCCCGGGGTAAAAATAATGCTGCAGGATGGAGCCATGCCAAGGGGCTTCAGGTGGTATTTAACATCTCCTGGGGCTATTTCCTCCTGGGCTTCCAACTGCTGAAAAGCAGCTCCCTTCTGCTGCTCCCCCCAGTGGGAAGTTCAGTTTGTGGGGGGTTGAGGGGGGGCGAGGGGGGGTCCTTCTGACCTTCCCTTCATTAATTGGGCTTAGTAGGGGAAGTCAGTGGTGGTCAGTCTCCTAGAGTGAGAGGTCATCAAAAAGTAGTCCATGTTACCTCCTATCAAGTTACTTAACTTCTCTGAGCCACAGTTTCCTTATTTATTTATTTTTTGTTTTTTTTTTTGATACAGAGTCTCGCTCTTGTCCCTCAGGCTGGAGTGCAGTGGCGCAATCTCAGCTCACTGCAACCTCCGCCTCCCGGGTTCAAGTGATTCTCCTGCCTCAGCCTCCTGAGTAGCTGGGATTACAGGCTCCTGCCACCATGCCCGGCTAATTTTTGTATTTTTAATAGAGACGGGGTTTCACCATGTTGGCCAGGCTGGTCTCGAACTCCTGACCTCAGGTGATCCACCCACCTTGGCCTCCCAAAGTGCTGGGATTACAGGCGTGAGCCACTGCACCTGGCCACACAATTTCCTTATTTGTAAAATCAGGGTAATACCTCCCTTTCTGGTTATTGAGAGGATCTGAAATAAAGTTATCTAGCATAGTGTCTGGCATGTAGTAGGTGCTTAATAAATAGTTTCTTAAAATAGATACTTAAAGAGCATGTCTGCTGCCTCAGTGGCACATGTCCCAGTCTCTGTTGATCCTTCTCTTGTCTTATTCCTGGCTTTACCTGAACACCAGGGTCACAGTTCTCTGGCTGTGTTTGGAGAGCCAGTGTCTCTTGCTGGGTGGGATTGAGGGATGTACTATTTGAAGAAGAGTAGTCAAACAGGTGGGGATCTTCTGTCCCCTGGAGAGGGGGTGTCTAGAGGCGGGGGAGAAGTGATTGGCTTGTTCCAGTGATTCTTGCCTGTCTCATGGTAGCCTTCTATTACCCATTGCCCCTTGTCAGGGGAGAGGTGGGTGCTGGTGGTGGTGTCCAGACAGGACCCAGTTTGAATTTATTTGAAGCTGGGGACATAAGAACTAGTGGTGGGGGTGGGGAGGGGTGAGGAGTTCTCTGCATTTAACATTTAAGGGCATGTGGAATTTCAAAAGCAGTTTTCACCAGCATTTCATGTTTGTTTGGTTGTTTCTTTTGCCTTTGAGCATAGTGCTGGTTGGGGGCAGGGTGGCTTATGATGAAGATAGTCAGTGGTGGACTCCTGCATAGGTGGGTGGAACTCCATATAGGAAAACACATTACCGCTGGGCTTAGTGCGGTTGCTACGGTGTCTGTGTCTCCTAAGGGGCAGGAAAAAGAACAGTCTCTAGGAGCAAAAGAGGAAGAGAATTGAGTCAGGGGTTTTGTTCTCTCTCTGCTTCCAAAGCTGCAAGGCTGTGTCCATGAGACCTTGAGGAAGCCCCTCCAGTTCCTCAGTGGGAGGGAAGAAGGTTGGCCCTCTGCACTGGCTGTGTTTTGACAGAAGTAAAACTCTTGACTCAGCCTTCAAAGTTCAAGGGTGGGATATTGGGAGAGGATGAGCAGCTTTTTGGCTTGTTAAGAAAGTCACGTTTTTGGCCAGTATAAAGTGGAGGAGGCAGAGTGGGGTGAGGTGTGTGGGAGTCCTGTGGGATGGAGAAAGCAGTCTGCCAAGGGCCATGTTACCTGTGGGTGATGCAGAGAGGCTGTGGTCATAATGGGGAGCAGGTAGTGAGAACTCTGTGGGGAGGGCTGTGTTTGAACCACTGAGGTCTGAGCAGGGCCCAGGGCAGGAAGCGTCCTGTGTTCTCTGCCTATCCACCCTGCATTAAAGGGAGGGAAGCAGAGAGCAGGAGCTCTGGGGACAGGGAGGGGAGTGAGAGGGGGATGCCAGGTAGTGGGTGACTAGAGGACTCTTATCCACAGTCTCAGAGCACACAGAGATGGCTGAAGGATGCCACTTTAAGTGATACCTTCTGGTCATGCTGGCAGTAGCTTCTGTGCTCAGCACCATCTTCTGTCCCCCAGCTTTTGAGGGGGCACCTATGCTTTGGCAAATGGACTTTGGTTCTGAGGTTTGGTGTCTTAGGTTGCCTCAAGCCTGCACTGGTTTTGGGAGAGGAGGTAGAGGCAGCTGTGTCCCCAACAATAGATGACTGTGGCCAGCAGCTAAGGGAAGGGTCCAACTCTGGATCTCCACCGTGTGTGTGTGTGTGTGTGTGTGTGTGTGTGTGTGTGTGCCCAAGCTCTGGCCCTGCAGATGTCTATCTTTTCCTGCCCTCATCTCTGCTTCCCACACCCACCCCCCACCCACGTGCACACACCAGGTGTTGTCCTGAGACCTGAGACAGAGGGGTGAGCTGCATCTTGTCAGCTGTGTAGATCTGCCAGTAGCTCTACAGTGGCTCCCTTTCAGAATCTGGAATCACAAAATAAGAATCTCAGAGTTGGAAGATACCTTAAAGGGCTTCTAGTTATTCCACCTTCCCCATACCAATTAGTGTGTAAGTATTTCCATCAGTTCACTAGCTCAACTGCTGTTCCCCTCTAGTACCATGGAAATGCAGTGTTAATTCGATTAATCCTAGAATCAAAGTTGGAAAGAGCCTTCGACAAGAGCTAATCCTCACACTCACCCCAGTGCCAGGATCCCCTGGCAAAACACATTTATGTGATGTGCCGTTCCACTCACATTTGAACATATGTATTCCATTCCTGAGCAACTCTAGCTTTTTTCCAGTTGTCTTTCCCCATGGCTTCACCATTTGTCTGAATTATCCAACTTGGGGCTTATATAAAAAAAAGACTAACTCCTTTCTATCTGACACAATTTTAGATGTGTTGGGATAAATTTTTCTCCCTGTGCCCTACCTGTTTCCCTTCCTGGGCCCACAGCATTAAGCTAATAGGAGGAGAGTCTTGCATTAAAACTTATACAGGAAAGGAAGCAGACAATCTTTTACATAATAAGGTAGTAGGAAATTAATCTTCATACACGGAGTTTTATTTTTGAAATTATTATATTCTTATTTGTATAAATGTATGGAATAGAGGTGCAATTTTGTTCCATGCACAGCTTGTGTAGTGGTGAATTCAGGGCTTTTAGGATATCCATCACTTGCATAATGTACATAAGGCCCATGAAGTAATTTCTCATCATTCACCCCCCTCCCACCCTCTCACCCTTCCAAGTCTCCATTGTCTATCATTCCATGCTCTTATGTCCATGTGTACACATTATTATTATTTTTTGAGACAGAGTCCCACTTAGTCACCCAGGCTGGAGTGCAGTGGCGCGATCTCAGCTCACTGCACCCTCCACCTCCTGGGTTCAAGCGATTCTCTTGCCTCAGCCTCCCGAGTAGCTGGGATTACAAGCAAACACCACCATGCCTGGCTAATTTTTTTTTTTTTAATACTTTTATTAGAGACAGGGTTTTGCGTTGTTGGCCTGGCTGGTCTTGAACTCCTGACCTCAGGTGACCTACCTGCCTCAGCCTCCCAAAGTGTTGGGATTACAGGTATGAGCCACCGTGCCCAGGGTGTACGCATTATTTAGCCCCCACTTACAAGAGAGGACATGCAATATATGTCTTTCTGTGTCTGATTTGGTTTCACTTAAGATAATGGCTTCCAGTTCCATCCATGTTGCTGCAAAAGACCATGATTTCATTCTTTTTTTATGGCCGAATAGTATTCCATTGTGTATATATACTACAGTTTCTTTATCCAATCATCCATTGATGGCCACTTAGATTGAGGTTGATTCTATATTTTTGCTATTGTGAACAGTGCTGTGATAGACATATGAGCACACACAGAAGGTTTAATGGTGTTCATGGACACCTCCCCTAGAGGGCCTCATCCTTCTCCTCTACCCTCAGTTCAACAGCAGAACCAAGCGTGACAACCTGTGCCAGAGGCTGACACCAGAGGGAGAGGCAGGAGGAAAAGGATGCAGGACCCTAGAAGAGCCATAATGTTGCCATTAGAAGAAAGCTGCTGGGCCCATCTGACTTTTTTTTTCCCCCAGTTTCTTCAACCATCCTTTTTAATGCATGATTTCGAGTCTCACACTGACTTCTCTGAACTCATTCCAGTTGGAGTGAGCTGGGCCGTAATGTTCAAAGTGTGCTGATCAGAGTACAATGGGTATCACTTCCCTCAGTGTAGACATTATGCGTGTTTGTATGTGTGTGTTTATATGTATAGTGTAACCTCAAACTCCTGGGCTCAAGAGATCCTTCTTGCCTCAGCCTCCTGAGCAGCTGAGACTATAGGTGTGCACCACCATGCCTGGCTAAATTTTAAATATTTTGTAGAGATGGGGGTCACGCTATGTTGCCCAGGCTGGTCTCGAACTCCTGGGCTCCCTCTCACCTCAGCCTGCCAAAATGTTGGGATTACAGGCATGAGCCACCACACTCAGCTAGATATTCTATTTAATTAACTAATTAATTAATTTTTTTAGTGGGTTAAGGAGTGGAACGTTTAATAGACAGAAGAAAGCAGAGAGGAGAGCAGTTCCTTGTGAAGGAGAGAGAGATGTCTGAAAAAAGGCCTAGATAGATATTCTATTTTAATCAGTGTATTTAAGATTGGATTAGCTTTCTTTTTTTTTTTTTTTTTTTTTTTTTTTTTTTTTGAGATGGAGTCTCACTCTTGTTGCCCAGGCTGGAGTGCAATGGCACAATCTCAGCTCACTGCAACCTCTGCCTCCCAGGTTCAAGCCATTATCTTGGCTCAGCCCCCTGTGTAGCTGGGATTACAGGCACCTACCACCACGCCCGGCTAATTTTTATATTTTTTAGTAGAGATGGGGTTTCACCATGTTGGCCAGGCTGGTTTCAAACTCCTGACCTCAGGTGATCCACCCGCCTCGGCTTCCCAAAGTGCTGGGATTACAGGTGTGAGCTACCATGGCCGGCCTGGATTAGCTTTCATGGTGACCACATCACACCACGGATTCCCACTGCACTATCGTCAGAAGCTCCCGTGTCTCCTTTACACATATCGTGAGAAAGGAGATGGAGCCATGTTGCATCCATCTCTTTATTTGTGCAGTTGGTGTTTTGGACTCAGTATAGTTACCTTTAACCTCTAGAAATCCTACTTTCTTGTTCTTCTATGCTTTCTCAGCATGAAAGTGGTAGGATGCTAAGCTTTGTTCTGGTTTTTCTTGGTGCAGGAGAGGAGGAGGCCGGAATGGGGGTTACAACTTGGGCCCGGTTATACTCCTGAGGCTCAGATGAGCCCGGCCAACATGGCCTCATGCTGGAGAGGACTTAGCTTCTGAGTCAATTTGAAAAGTCTTTTAATATGAATTAAAGAGAAAGTGTGGGCTGGGGGCAGTGGCTCATGCATGTGATCCTAGTGCTTTGGGAGGCTGAGGTGGGTAGGTTGCTTGAGCCCAGGAGTTTGAGACCAGCCTGGGCAACATAGTGAGACCTTGTCTCTACAATAAGTTAAAAAATTAGCTGGGCATGGTGGCACCCACCTGTAGCCCCAGCTACTTGAGAGGCTGAGGTGGAAGGATCACTTGAGTCTGGGAGGTTGAGGCTGCAGTGAGCTGTGATTGAGCCACTGCACTCCAGCCAGGGTGACAGAGTAAGACTCTGTCTCAAAAAAAAAAAAGTTGTTGGCAAAGACAAAACTACTATTCAAGCACTCATCTGAGGTGCTAGGAGACCCCCGGGCTTTGTGGCAGGGGCTAGAAGGGCCCTGTCTGCCCAGTTATACTTAGGAACTGAGAATTTGAACTCTTGCTACTGCTCCCAGGACAGGATCTGCTTACCAATTCAGCCATTTTCTGAGTTTTCATGGCACTTTGAGGACAGCATTTATCATACTATTTTGTGCGTTGGGAGTTCCTATGGCCAGAAACTATTTCTTATTCATTTTCAAATCCCTAGCTCCAAAGCCAAGGTATTACACCCCAGAACTAATAGCTATCATTTATTAAGTACTAACTTAGGCACTAAAATTAGGTACTCTCCATATATTAATCTCACAACAACCCAACAAGGTTAATGCTAATATTTCCATGTTGTAGGTGAAGAAACTGAGGCTAAAGACCACAGCTCTACCAAAGCCTCTGCTCTTTCTTCAAATGAATGAGTGAGTCGGGGGCGGTTGCTCTGAGTGAGAGTGGGCCAGAGTGGGTTCAGGGCATTCAGGAGCCACCACAGCTCATTCGTGGAGGTGTCTAATCAGCTATGCTAATTGATTGTCGTGTCTGCAATATCAGATGCATGCTTAATTAGCACATGAACTCTCCTGTCAGATATTCCTGGAGGGGCTCTGCCAGCCAACCTAGGCCCAGCCACAGGAGCCTGCTGCTTTCTTGGAAACAGGGTGGGGAAGCATGATGATCCCAGTATTGACAAGGATCCCCTGAGAACAGGAAGGTCCACTGCTTTGTCGTGTGGGAAGCAGATTCAGGATGAAGCCCTGTCTACAAGATGTGTCCAGTCTCCTCCGCCTCGAGGCCCTTGGTTCATCGACCTCTTCCCTACAGCCTTTGGACTTTGCACCACTCTTTGAGGCCTCTGTGCTTTTTTCCAAGCTCCTGCTTCTGCGCTGGTCTTCCTCTCCCTAGCAAATCCTTATTCACCCTTAAGGGTCCAGCTCAAATGTCACTTCCTTTGTGGAGTTCCCCCTGGCCCCCGTGCTACCCGCAGAGTGGCAGAATCAAATGCTTCCTCTTCAGACTTGCTCCTATTGTACTTGTACCTACCTGACTCTAATGTGAGTCTCTTCAAATTACAGTGTTTTTGACGTGTTTTTCTCCCCCGGCCAGACTTAGGGCTTATTCAAGGCAGAGACCACAGTCTTCAGCATCCGGCACAAAGCCCGGCCTGTACAAGACACTCAGTACATTTAATTTGTTGAATTAAACTGAATGCTAGGTTGAGGTTCCACTGCAGGTAAGAACTGGGCAAGTGTAAACTTCCAGAACTCAGCAGCTATTTATTAGTGATATGCAGATGTAGGTAGGGCATCTTTGAAATCTTCCCAAGGATTCTGTGATCCTTATTTTTCCTTTTCACAATAATCCTCTCCTACTTGGGAAAAAGGGGGATAAAATCGCACTTTGGCCCCAGCCTGGGGAGAATCTTGGCATTAGGCTGGGGGGCCATGGTGGGAGGAAGCATGGGACTGGGGCCTAAAGGCCATCAACCAGACTGCAAGCTGCCTGAGTGCAGGATGTGACTTCCCCTCCCTCCCACACATATGGCCATTGCTTCACCTGGAGTGACTTGGGACTGGGGAATCAGGGGTGGGCAGCAGTGCAGGAAAACCCATCCGCACCAGCCTGGGGCTCCCTCTTCTCACTACCTCATGAGGCCCTGTGGAGTGTGGACTGTTGCTGCTGTCCTGATCCCCCAAATGCCATAACTGCTGACTTCTGATGTAAATAGTGTACATTTGTTTTTTACTTTGCAGCTAATTTGCATTAACTTCTCTGAATGACAGACATATAGAAATTCCCTGATTTCTATGACCTCACTTCCACACCACAAAAAACCACAGTGGTCCCTATACCTCTGTACTCAGGGACTCCCAACCCAGGTGGGCAGATACCAGGGGGTTTCTGAGGAGCCCTGCATCAAGCAGGCACCAGCCCAGGAGGAAGCGATCCAGGAATCCCACTACCCCGGAGCCCACTGCTCTGGCGTCTCTTTCTTGTCTCTCGGGGTTGTGCGGGGTGAGGGCATGGGGGTTTGTGAAATGTCTTCGTGATTTTGTAATTCAGGCTAGGGAGTCATTCGGAGAAAAGCGAATGAAAAGTAGGGTAAAGGGGAAAGAGGGGCTTTGTGACTTAGGTGGGCTTTGCAGAAGGACAGGAAGCCACACCCCGAGCCTTACAAGGCAAGCTGGATGGGGCTGCCCGGCTGCAATGGGGATGGACCGATACAGACCGCTCAGTGTAGCCACCTGCTGGACACATGGAGTCATAGCGTTCTGCTTCCTTCATGCTTCCTACCCTCCAGCTGCGCCTGCTCTTCTTTCTTCCTTCTTTCTCCTCCTTCCGCCTAGTTCCGCCCCGGCCCGCATACCTGCTTTCCCTCTTCCCTCAGGTGTGACTACCCAGATGCATCTGTCTTGGCCCAGGGCTGGGGACTCTGAATTTCCTCCTTTGGTGATGACTGAAAGGGAGCAGCTATCCCTGGTTGAGGCCAGAGAGAAGGCTTTTCATCTCCATGTTCAGTCTCTCCACCTTCTCGCTTGGCTTGCTGGGATCCTGCGCTTGGCTGCGATTAGAGGCCACTGAATTTATTGTCCAAACTGGGATGCTTCTGAGAGTGAAGGGTGTGTGTGCTTGCTATTAGTAATTATGCAGAGACAACAGCTGTAGACCAGAATTGTCCCGGGCCAGCGGGGACTCATGGTAAGCATAGTTCCGAGGGTCCGCCGGCGTTTTCGGCCGTGCGTCAGGTGTGGAAGGCTAAGGCGGCCAGCAGAGGCTGCTGCGGCACTTGTTATGTGCCTCACTATCTAAAAAGCTCCTTTTGCCATGCTGGGACTGTGGTGGGTGAAGTTGGTTGTCGTACAGGGCTAAGGTCCCCTGAGTAGTGATTGTACCAGATTTGCTCACCTGGGCCTGGCGCACAATGGGATAAGAAAGCCGCCTGCTTCCTCTAGTCTGGGTGGGAGACACAGCCCAAAGTCCCAGGGCCTACCTTCTCAGAAACTCCCCATCATCCTGGATTGGACTGTGCCTTTCCTGAATTCTGACACTTCTTGTTCCTGCCCCTTCAGGCAAAGACTGGGCAAGCAGTTTCCTAGCACTGCCAGCTCTGAGGCTGGTGCCTTTCTGGGTGGATTATTGGCCTTCCTGGATACATTGGCAGGAGGACTCATGGGTCGGCCCCAGGATGCCCTGGCCAGAGGGGACCCAAGGAATGCCTGACAGTTTCTCTGCCTGACTTGCAGGGGGGAATTCAGACCAGCCTTGGAGTCCTGTGAAGGGGAAGGGCTCCTGGAATCTTCTAGCCCTCCTTCCTCTCACCCAGTTCTAACTCTGGCAGAAAGACCTCATTTCCTCTTCCCCATGTGGGAGACTTTCCCTCCCTTGACCCCTCTTGCAGTTGGGAGACCTTGATCCTTGTGGGAGGAAGGGGTTGCTGTACCAGGATGGGGTCCCTCCGCTCCCCTGGCCAGGGGAAGCATGACCTGCTGAGCTGGAGTCTGGCCCCGCAAGCTGTTGTGGCCTGACCTGTAGTTGCTTGCCCAGTACCAGCCCCTCTCTCCCATCTTCTCTCCCTGCTCACCTGAAGGGAGAGGCCAGTATCAGGCTTTCCAGGCTACGTGCTGGTGATCATACCATGGCAAAGGGCGGTGTCTCACACAGGCTGCGGGAGAGCTGCCCTGCTTAAGCAGAGAATTCTGGAGCAGCAGTGGGTATCCCAGGCAGCCACAGGGATTGCCATGGCAACACGCGAGGCAGCAGCAGCGGGAGACGGGATGGAGCAGGGCGTTTTCTAGGCTAGAGCTGAATTCCTGGGGTGGTCAGGAGAGGGCTGGAGGGCAAGAGATCCATAAACCCACAGCTGCCCCGACAGAGGGCAGTCTGCCTTTGCTCCTGGCCCCTTGTCAGTGGAAATCTGACACCCCCTGGTACATGTCTGTTAGGTGTCCAGCCTGGGCAGAGGGCCTTGTTGGTGTGTGGAGAGGGGGAAGGGGAATCAAACTTAACTGCAGAGATTTGTTTTCTCAGTACATCTGAAGAATAGAAATGGGTTTTAGGCTGCGCCAGCCTGCGTTTTTCTACCTGGGGGACTCTGAGCCATCAAAGTTAACCTAGACTAGTAACCGGGGATCAATTACAGACCTGTAATATGCTTTCCAACTTCCCATTGTAAAAAGCAGCCTATTTGGAAAAAAAATAAATGAAAGTGCTTTTCTTGGTCTCTGGTGCCACTGAGCCAGTGTGATTCCCTCCCTCCCCAGTTGCCTTTGCCCACTTCTCACTCATTACCTCTACTCAATTAGCCAAGGCTGGGTTAACCCCTCAAGAGCCAGGATTTGGGTGAGAGGGGATTGCTGTCACCTTCTACAGGCACGCCCTCCTCCTAGCACAGTTCTCGGGAGCGCAGAGCGGGCCAAGTCCAGAGCCTGCCAACCTCCTCCCCACCCTCTCTCTCGCTGCCAAATCTGACTTTGATTAGCGTGTGGAGGGGGAAGAAAGCAGGAAAATAGAATATTAAAATCTTAATTCAATTTAAAACACTGTCATTCACAGGCATGCCAAACAGTGAGATGACTAATTATTATGCAAATGAGGCAGATAGAAAAGTGATTAATAATTGCACAAATTAAAAATTATTGTAAACATCCTGTGACGAGTGATAAGTCCGATGGAGAGGCGAGAGCGGTGGGCCGGGGAGGCCATGGCGGAGCTGGCTCCTGCATCCTTATTTCCTCATTAGGGGGATTTAATTAGCGCCTGATGATGGGGCTCCGTGCTGCCAGGGGTGGAGGAGTTGGTGGCCAGGGCCTGGGCGGTCTGTGCTGGATCCTCGGTTTTTCTCCAGTTCCTCCTTATTGCTCTGTGGCTGGGGCTGGAGCTGGCTGCACAGGAGGAGGGGTGGGTTGGGGTTGGGGAAAGGCTGGACACCATAGAGGAGCAGGTGCTGTGCAAAGCTTCTCTGCCGCCTTCCACTGGCCTTTTGCCCGCTGCTACCTCTGTCATTTAAGTCCTCAGGTGTGGGTCAGGGGTGTTGGTGAGGAGGCCCCTGGGTGAGGAACTGTGGGCACATCCTGATTCAGCCAGGCATATTCCTCAGGGTTTAGTGAAGCGACACACAGGGCACGTCCCCAATGCTGAAAGGTCCCAGGGAGGATAGACAGGTATATGATGCTGCCTGGGGCCTCAGGGTTGCCTTGGGTCCAAGTTTCCCTGACTCTGCTGGGCACATAGAAACTAAGTCAGTGTCCTGAGCCAAGTGACTTGCCCTTAGCCATGTTCAACCTGCATCCAAGCGCCCCGCAGCAGGGAATGCTTAGGAGTCACTTTGGCTTGGGTGGGCATGGCTGCTGCAAGGCAGGGGACAGAGGAGGCCGAGTTCTTTGGGCCCAGCAGCACCAGGTGCTTTCCAGGGCATGCAGCCCTCCTGGATTCCTCCTGCCCAAATAGGGAAGCAGCTGATATGTTCTTGACAAAACATACCAGCCAGCCACAGTACAGCTTCCCCCTGCCAGTCCCCGAGCCCTGAACTCTGAGCAGGAGGGGATGGGACTGGGTCTAGGCTCAAGGAAAGGTGGCTGATGATGGGAAATCCATCTCCCTGCTCCACCCCCAGTCACCATGGACCTTAGGGAGATGGTCTTCCTTGTCCAGAGAAGACCACAGAATAAGCTGGGAGGTGAAGAGCCTGGTGAAGAGCTTTTGCTCTTCAGAGGAACAGTGGATGCTGGAAATTCTGGCAGTTGGGAAGGCTTCTGGACAGGGCCAAGGTGGGAATCTGGCCTTTGAAAGATGTAGAGGACTCAGAAAAGAGGGTTGGAGGTGAGAAATAGAGAGAATAGCATTATCCAAGTCTTTACCTTCTCTCTAAGAGCCCAGATTTTCCTAACGGGGCTAAGAAGCTGAGGTTTTCACAGGCCAAAGGCCCAGCCTGTGTGTCCCTAAATTTCTCTTCCTGAGACTGTGGTGTAAAATTAATTTTTTTTTCCTGGTGAGGGTTTGGAGGTGAGAAAGGTTTATTTCTGTTTCAGGACTCACGCAGTTATCCCAGGGTTAATAACCTGCACACAGCCTTGTCACCACAGCCACTAGTGCCCCTCTTCCCACCCCCTCTCTGCCAGCCTCATGTCTTCACTCTGGTTCCTGGGTTTCTCTAGTCCCTTTCTGATTCCTGGAGGAGGAAAGTTCTTTCCTATTGGGACTGCAAGTCCACCCCTCTGACTTCTGGCTAAAGCTTCCTGGACTCTGAAGGCTCTCCCTTCACTGTGAACTGTTTAGCCATAGCTGCCAACCTTCAACAAACTCCCTTCTCCATCTCCTCTCTTTGCCCGCTCCTGACTCCTGCCCTATGCTACCCTGAACCCCTCCTGGGTTCTTATTCTGTTTTTCTTTTGTTTTGGTTTCTCTGGGGCTCTGCTGAGGCAGCAAAGGGTGATGGGGTATGGTACTGATTCTGTGTTTACCTTGGACAAGCTATATCACCTCTCTGTTTCCTCATTGTTATAACTGGGAAAATGCTACAATCTCATGGAATCTTTCACTTTCCCATCTTCATCAGTTCATTTATTCCATCAAGACTTCACTTCTACGCGTCAAGTGCTGGGGATGCAAAGCTGCAGATGGTCTCAAGGAACGCGAGCCCTGTTGGGAGGCAGATAAAGGAACAGCACGCGCAGAGGCCCGGAGGAGGGAGGAGAATAGAAGTGTGGAGACTGGCAAGGGATTTGGGATGGCAGGAGGACAGGTTGCACTGGGGAGTGGTAGAGTTGGAGGCCTTTTGTTCCCTGGAATTTCAATACGATTTTGTGGGCTCTGAGCAGGTAAGAAAGGACTTTGTTGGGGTGGCAGGCAGGACTAACACTGTGTTTTAGAAAGATCGTTTTGGCAGCAGTGTGGAGATGGGCAAGGCTGGAGGCAGGGTCCCCACCCAGAGGCAGCTGCTGCTGTCTGTATGAAAGACGATGAACTGCAGCCATCAGGTGTGGCTCAAGAGTCACGGGAAGAGGAGAGAGCTTTGTCATGAGTCAGAAAAGGCAGGATGCAGCATCTCAGTGACTGTGAGGGTGACCGAGGGGGCGTCTTGGGTGACACCTGGGTTTCTGGCATGGAGCAATGCTCTTCTTTGAGAAGAGGGATCTAGGGAAGAAGGAGAGATGATGATGGTGTTGCTTTGGGAATCCTGGGAATGACCACCCTGGGTTTAGTTGCCTGGGACGGAGTGGGAATTGAATATCTGCTATTGAATATTTGATATTGAACATGCTGAATTTGGCGCTTCATCTGCCTTGCCTGTTTTATTTCTCACTCTGACCATACCTAGATCTTTTGAAAGGAGGCTTGACCCTATCCTGAAGCTTGACCCTGACCTTCTACCTTTCAACATTTTGGTTAGCGGGCGCCTGCTTGCGGACTTTCTGAGATGCACTTCTCAGTTATTCAGCTGTGTCTACATTCATTCCCACAGGCTCTGGGCAGGTTGGAAGAACCCACATTTGACCCTATGGCATTGGACTTGGGTTGTTGCTACCTCTATTCTGTGCCATGGGGAAGAAGGCTCTTCTCTGCTGAGTCCTAACAGGCAGATACTGGCTGTAAATCCTTTCTAGACCCCTCCCCAGTGCCCACGCTCTGAGGCTACTCGGAGGGCGGTGTGTTGTTGCTGAGACCCCTGAATCGCACTACTTCAGGCTGTCCCCTCACCTCGGGGGTGGAGATAAGGCCTGGGGTCTGAGTTTGAGGGGACTGATGCCAGGCAGGGCTCCTAGCAGTAAGGTGGAACTGCTTCCCTCCTCAGAGCGACTTTCTAAACCAGCTTCCCATTCCTCTGAGGCTGCCGCCACCCCTGGGAAGCACACATTTGTGGTTGCCGAACAGTTGAAGGGCAGTGGCTCTTTCTTCCAGGGCAGTGTGGGCCTGCCTCTGGCTCCCCCGGGAGGGCTGCACCCCCACCCACCTGTGCCCCTCATTAAGAGTAAACAGCCCAGAGTGCAGCACTTGGTGGGACCCATGAAGACCCCACCAGGAGTCCCTAGTGGTCCCCAGTGTCTCCATTATGCCCTCTGCAGTTCTCACAGTGCCCTAGGAAAGTCCATGTGCTTTTGCTCTCCAGAGAGCTCCTGGTCACTTTCTAATATGTCTCCAGCAACTCAGCATTATCAGTATTGCCCCAATATCTCTTTGATGGAATCCCTATCAGGCTACTGGCATTCATAGCTACTTCCCACAGAATCCCAGGAACACTCCAGTAATTCCCAGTGAGCTCCCAGTAGTGCCAGGTTGCTCCCATACCTCACAGTGGGCTTCTAGTGATATCACATTGTGTACCCAGGAGCACCTGGTGTTCCCCCAAGAACGTTCCAGCATGTTCCCAAGAATGCTCCAACACATGGCATCAACATTCCACTATTCCTGCAAGATTTCCAGTAGATGCCATTACTTCTCAAGTTATCTCCACCAATGCCACTGATGTGCTTAGAGGAGAATCTGCTGTCCTGCCCACCAGGAATGAAGAGAGGTTCTTTGCCTACTCCTCCTGCAAGACACCTGGGCTTTCCTGCTTTGGGAGGCTGGTAGGGAAGGCAAAGGAGTGGGAATAACATTTGTTGAGTGATAGCCGTGGCTTAGGCATTTATTTGTGCAATAAACTGCAAGGTGGGTGGTATCCCTATTTTATAGACTCAGAAACTGTTACCCAGAGAGTGGAGTAATTTTTTTCCAAAGGCAGTAAGTGGCAGGGAGTGATCAGAAGGGCAGCTCTGTCAGGTCTGACATCCCTGCTTGTCCGGAGCCTGCAGAGACCCAGAGAAGGCAAATCCCAGGGCCAGAGATGCACAGGGTAGGGGCGGGGGAGGGTGGGCAGCGGGCTCTAGGCTCCTTCCTTCCCTCCCTACTTTGTTTTCTCCTTTGGATTGCAGGCGTATTCATTCCTGAGAAAGAAAGGAAAGGGGTTAGGACTGGTTGAGCTGTCCTGGTTTCTTTGGAGAGAAGCTGTGGTTCCCGGAACGTCTTGGCTCTCTGGGGACTGCAGGGGTCAGATCCATCCCCTCCAGTTTCACATGCCTACTCAGCTTCCACATTCCACATCCAGTGGCTCACCAGACCCACCCACCGGCTCAGATGACCCAGTTCCAGGGCCGGCCTCAGGGTTCTGGGCTCCCTCCTGGGCCTGCCCTCAGCCCTGGGCACAACCTCAAACTCCAGGTCCTGGGTTGTACATCCGCCTTTCTGCCCCTTTCCCACACTCGCTGCTGCTCTCCCACTGGCTGCCTTCCCTGGCATGGGTGACCTTGCTAGTGCCAGGGGACTCTGAACAGCGCTGACTCAGCAGGTGGGGCGATGGAGCCACTCTGCAGGTGGGGAAACAGGGGAGCAAGGCTGGTTCTTTCCTTTCCCTGACCCGGCGGGGTCCCTTTGCCCTTGGGAGTGTGGACGGAAGGGCAGGGAGCTGGACAGGGAGGATGAGGTCCAGCGCCCTGGGTGAGGGCCCTGGTCGGGGAGACGGTGCCCGGTGGCTTGGCCTCCCTAGCAAGGACTCTGCCCCTTGTTCCTCAGCCTGTCAGGGAGAAGAGGAAGGGCTCTCTCTGGTGCTGTGTCGAGCAGCAGCCTCCCACACGGAGTGGGGAGGGGAAAGTTGAAACGCACCTTGACTCCTGACCATCTCCTCCCCACCCTCACCCCCACCCCCACCACGGCAGACATTGTTGGAAGGCATATTAATGGAGGGGTTAGGCAGTTTGGAGACAGACTGCCTAGGTTCATGTCCTTCTCTATCTCATTCTTGGACATATCACTTAGGGTCTCTGAACCCTGATTTCTCCATTTATAAAATGTGGCTAATAATGTTACTTACCTGTCACATGGTAAATGCTCAATTGAAAAGGCTAACATGAGAATGCCATTTTCTGTTATGTACATGATGCTTCATACAATCACACTGGCGCACATATGCGATTATGTGTGGGCTTTCTGTGCGCTCTGCCCTTCCCCAGCTTTGCTGTCTGTCCTTGTTGCTTCCAGAAGGTTGAGAGGGAGGTGAGGGGTCTGCTCCTGACAATGCTGACTACTGAGGGGCTGAGTGCTGCCCAGGAAAGTAGGTAGCAGAGGAGAGAGGACTTGGCCTAAGCGAGGGAGCCAGGGCCTTACAGAGGAAAGGAAAAGGGGGCAGGGGGAAGGAGGACAGGGAGGGTGGCTGGGTATGGCAGGAGTCAGGGCATCTCAGAGGCATGAAGGAGCTGGGGGTGCTGCCTTCCTACTCGGGCTCACCCGTCCAGCCCCCACACTGCCCTCCACACCAGACACCCAGCAGTGCTGCTAAGGCCACTGGCCAGGGGGTGTGGGCCACCTGCACCTACTGCTTGCCTTTGGGGGAGATTTTTTTTGGGGGGATTCTTGGCTCTCTTGGGTTATGCTCCTCCTTCTGGTGTACCCTAGGCAGGGAAGAGTTTGGGGAGAATGGGAGGCTGCTGTGAGGGTTATAGGTGGGTTACTTCACGGACTCCGTGAGTCTGGGGCTCCTTCTGTGAAGTCTCAGTGACAGGACACGAACCCAAGAACTGTTGGCATGTGGCATCCTTGCCTCAGGAGCTCTTCAGCAAGTGCTGGAGTTCACATGGCCAGCCTGAGGGAGGGGTCTTCTGTGTTCTCTCTGCACCCCTTCCCCTCCCTGCAGCCCAGTGTCCTCAGGGCAGGGGTGGGTGGCAGTGGGGAGGAGGGAGGGGAGATGGTCTGTGATCTCTGGTTGCAGTGAATTTGGGACTAAACATCATTAATGCTGACAGATGCCAGCCATACTAACTTGTAGAATAACAGGACAATCTAGGGGAAAAAAAAATCACTAAAAATATTGACTAAAGGCTTCAGATTTGTGCCTCCTCCCTGCACACCCCAATATGAGATAAATCTCTCTGCATTTATGGACTCCAAGTGTGTCTCAGCATCCCTGAAGTGCCTGCGGGGCGGGTGGCTTGCTCTCCTTGGGTCTGGTTCCCTCTCCTCAATATCCCTGTGAAGTGGGGGCAGGTGGAGGAACATGGAGAAAGAAAGGACAATGGTGTGTGCAGGGCCCTATTGTGGGGAGGGGGCCGGGGTCACCCGCACCACCCCAGGGATGGTGAAAAGAAAGGGTTGGGTTTATGAGCTTCTCTTCTCTCTTTTTCTTTTCAATTACAATGATACCTCAGGTAATTAACTGCTAATAACCTTGTTAATTTAAAATGGATGCTCTCCCTTCTGGCTCTCTCAAGGAAGGCTAAAGCCACCAGGGGTCAGCAGGTTTGGGGGAGCAGGAGAGGGTGGGCAGGAGAGGAGAGGATGCTGGGTGGGAGGCCCTTGTGGTGGGCAGGCAGGGCTGTGGCTGGCTGTGTGGCATGCTCTAAGGGGCCCGGCTGCTGTGGAAGTCCAGAGGTACTGGGATCCCTTCAGCCCCTCCATATTCCTGCACAACAACTGGATGGGTCACCTGGGCCCCCGACCTGGGGAAGAGAGCCTGTGGCTCTCTCCAGCACCGCAAGCCTTTGCCATGGAGCAGCAGCAGCTGCTCAGCCCGAGGCACCTCCCTGTTAGGAACTACCCGGGGCCTTTGGGCTCACGATCCTAGAAACTCACCCTGCTGAGGGTCACGTCTCCCATCCCCACTGCTTCTCAATCGCAGGGATTGGAGATACAGTCAGGAAGGGAATAAATGTCTCATTCTGAACAGTTTAGACATTTGTCAAGAGTCAGGCATCTAGACGAGGTATCTGTGATCTTTTTAGTTCAAATATGTATTCGTTAGACAGACTTTTAAAGTCTAGCCCAGGTCTTAGTGATACAAAGCTGAAGAAAGATAATGGTTCCTGCCTTCAAGGAGCTCATTGTCTCAGTGAAGTAAACAAATAATTACAACACAAACTGTGCAGAGCGTAGGGGAAAAAAAATACCTAATCTTGTAGGGTGTGGGCAGTCAGGGCAGGTTTTCCAGAGGAGGGGTATTTAAACTGGGCACTGATGAAACAGGAGGAGCTCCCTAGGCTGCTAAGATGGAGTGTAGGAAGGCCTGAAGGCAGGAGGGATGGCAGGAAGCATGAGAGGCTGTGGCTGCTGGGGAATGGGCAGTGCCTTGATAGGGATGAAACACAGGGAGAATGAGGAGGCAGCTGGAAAGAGAAGCGGGAGCCAGGTCATGAAGGGTTGATAGGATTTCTTCTAAGAGGTGACCTCCCTTGCCCATGGGATCTTAGCCCAGGCAACTGGGGGGCCACTCCCTATGGCCTGGTTCCCAAGGAGGCTCCTTCCTTGTGGGATTAACTCCTAGAAGGCGTGGCAAGGAGATCCCTGTTCCCCTGCCCTTTTTCTTAGAGGACAGGGGATTTTAGAGTGAAAGAGTGGGTGTTGGGGTGGGAAGGGGAGGAGAAATGGAGATTTAGAGATAAATAGAGCCCTGATTTGGTTTTTCCAAGTGGCTTCTTTCTGTCCCACAGTGCTTTGAGACCATTTTGGAGCCTGAGCGCATGAGTCTTGGAGTGTGTCTAGGGTGTCTGCACCCTCCCTGGGCAAAGCCACTGTTCAAAGCTAGGGATTTCTGTTCCCAGTGAGCTCCCACTCTGCTGCTGTGGGTCCCTGAGCTCCGCCTGGCAGTGCCCACCATCCTTCCCCAAACCTCAGCTCCTGGAGGAGGCCTGGATGGAGGTGCCAGGAGGGACAACAGGAGCTCCAGAAAGCCCACATGTAAGATTTGGGGGCTGAAGCCACCCTCGCCACCCTCAGTGGTTAGAATTGTTCGCTTCTGAGTTAGGTCCAGGTGGTTGGAACCTCCATTCTCTTGTCCCATTTCTGTTGTTTCAATTTTTTTTCAAGACAAACCGCCGCACAGCTCCATCTCTTAATGAAACTGTTTGATGTTAATTAATTATGCAATAGCCTCATTTGCATTCACAGGCTGTGGCTTCCCAGCTTCTCGCCCACTCTCCTCTGCCAGGAGCCCTGTATGTGCCTCAGGCAAAACAGAGACTTGATAGTGCTAGAGTCTGCCCACTCGCAGGCAACCCTCCCAGTCATTCTGCCACATCTGGAGCAGGACACAGAGGCTGGCCCCAAGGCTGGCAGCTACACTGGGGGCATATTTTGAACCCTTGAATCAACCAAAGAAGCCAGGGCACTTGAGTATTATCTAGTTCCTCCCCTTTACTTACCAGCTGCTGGTAAGTTAGACAGACATTAACCTTTACCTGGCTTCAGTTGCCTCTTCTGTACAACAGGAATAACACTAATTTCATCTCAGTGGACCATGCCTTGTCTATCTTTGTGTCTCCGGTGTTAGGTACATGGAAGGGACTAAAGAAGTAATTTTTTTGAATCAGATGACCTCTTTGGATCTCTTTCAGAGGTTAACTCCAGGATTCTACAGCATCCCCACTTTTACCAGGGTCCCCATTTCCATCTGCTGTAACCATAGGCCCTCTGTGATGGTTAATACTGAGTGTCAACTTGATTGGCTTGAAGGATACAAAGTATTGATCCTGCGTGTGTTTGTAACTGTGTTGCCAAAGGAGATTAACATTTGAGTCAGTGGGCTGGGAAAGGCAGACCCACCCTTCATCTGGGTGGGCATCTAATCAGCATCTAATCAGCTGCCAGTGCAACTAGAATATAAGCAGGCAGAAAAATGTGAAAAGAGAGACTGGCCTAGCCCCCTGGCCTACATCTTTCTGCCGTGCTGGATGCTTCCTGCCCTCGAACACTGGACTCCATGTTCTTCAGTTTTGGAACTCGGACTGGCTCTCCTTGCTCCTCAGCCTTCAGATGGCCTATTGTGGGACCTTGTGATCATGTGAGTTAATATGTTAATACTCAAACTCTCCTTTATATATATATCTATTCCATTAGGTCTGTCCCTCTAGAGAACCCTGACTAATACACCCTCTAACCTCTAAGTGGCCACAGTATTGATGCAGCATCCACTGTGTACAGAATCTAGTTCTCATCAAGGATACCCACTAGGACCTTGCAGGGCACACCGCGGAAGGCTCTGCTTTGGAGGAGACATGGTGGGAAGCATGGTGGCAGCGCATGGCTTGAATACTAAGCACGTGGTGGAGCAGTAAGGCCATGTCCTGTGCTGAGGACCACAGTCGGGGGAAGGGACAGGGGTGTTGAGGCGATTTAAGTGGCAGAGCCTTATGCCCTTGAAATCCACATAGGTGTCAGGCCAGGTGGGAGGAATCATGTTAACAGGGCACCTGAAAGGGCAAAATTCACACTGAGTTACAGTGGATGAAACCTGAGCTGTCTTTCATGGCAGAGTGGAAGGTGGGAGGGGGTCTCCAGGCAGTGAAGCTCAAGCTTTCTAGGGAGGTTCCCTCTAGCTACAGATCCCTTTCCTGGAAAATGTGCAGGTGCGCCTCCAAACCCCAATGCAATGAGGCCTGCTTTGGGCTCCTGGGCCTGAGGTAGAGGATTCCTGCCCGGTCCGGGCAAAGACATGTGGGCTTTAGAAAAACCAGACAGGAAGAGAGGGCAACAGGGACAGTGGGAGCCAGATGGCCCGCCCAGGGTCTATGTGGGAAATCTGAGGGGGCCTCCTAGGAAGACAGAACCCTCTGTGGGAGAGGTTTTGTCTGGAGACGGAGGACTGATCCTGGGACTGCGAAGGTAAGCAGGCTGCTGCCTCAGAACACAGAGCCAAAGGGGAGAGGGCTCTGATGTGGCACTGGGGGCAGAGGTAGGAACAGAACCAGGCACGAAGAACTTCCATCCCTTAGGGTGGTGGGCGGGGTCAGGAGGTGGGGCAGGGAGGCTGCTGTGAGAAAATCACCAGACTTGGGTGTGAAAGGACCCATCACCTCCTCGAATTCAACCTTCAGAGGAATGTGTGTGAGAGCCGTCATGACTCCATGCTATCAATAAGGAGACTGGGCTTGGAGAAGTTGGGAGTGAGGGGCATGGAGGTGGAGGAAAGAAGGGAAGACGTTGCAGAGGCAGGTGCTTGTGGAAGGGCAAGTGCTGGGGCTTTGAACTGGCATCTGTGTGATTCCTAGTGCTGTGCTGCTCACACAGGGCCGTCGGTGCCAGCTCTTCCATGGGCACTTGCACTCTGGCTGTCGCTGTCTACCTTTACCTCACCAGTTGGCAGCCAGATTCTTCCAGACCAGTGATCAGAAAGGGCCTCTGTGTCTCTAGTCCCTGGTCACTAGGCTCTCGGGATCCTGCTCTTTTTATGGGAGCCGAGTTGGCAGGAGCTTGGCTTCTGACCAGCTGCTGGAAGAAGGATGAGAATCAGATCTTCAGAAGGGTGGACCTTTCTTGGTGGATTGTGTTCAAGAAATCAAAGAAGAGAGACAGTTTGAGTATTGCGAGCAGGCCCGATGGGGAGGCTGTGAACTGGGACTGGGTGCTGCTCTGTCACTCGCTGTCTGATTAGTCTTGGGTAAGTCACTTTTTCTCTCTGGTCCTTAGTTTCTTAATTTGTAAAATGGGATAATTTATCCTTCATCCACCTGCCTTTCTGTCCATCCATTATTCCATCTATCCATCCTTCCATCCATCCACCCACCCACCCAGCAACTATTTATTGAATGTCACCTCTATGCTGGGCACGGTATGTGGCACTGAGGATACACAGCGTGACAAGGTTGACATGATCCCTGCCCCTTGTGGATCTTAGATTGACCAAGGAAGAAAGACATTAAGTAATAATAACAATAATAATGATAATATAATGATAATGCCTGTCTTCTATGGCTGTTTGGGGACTAAACTAATGAGACAGTGTAGGAGAGGGGTTTTACAAGCACTTTCTTGCTAGGAGTTCTTATTATCAGAAGTCCTGCCCAAGCAGGAGCTAGAGAAGCCTTCAGCTCTTTAAGCCTATGACAATGTTTAGTCCAAACAAAGTCCATTCCCTCTCTATTATCCACCTCAGCTAACTCCTGGAGCTGCTTCTCCTTCCTCTTGCCCCCTGCCTCTAGCTTCCTGCTGTGTCTTCCCTGCAGGAGAGAAAGGAAACCTCAGTGATCAGTCACGTCCCTGCCCTGGCGGAGGGGCCGGATGGGGGAGCTGAGCTAACTGCTGCTAATTAGCACCACTGAACCTTGGCCAAGCTGGAGAGGCAGATAAAGGGAGGTGGCAGAACGGGGGTGGTACATGTATGGTCCTGTTGAGGGTGTCCTAGGCCCAAGCTTCTCTAGGACAGGCCCTGAGATAACCCCTCTTCCATGCCATCCCTTGGCTGTGCCCACCTAACATCACCCATGAACACACAGTGGAGAGGGTAGAGCTATATGGTAGTGGAGGAGGAAGCGGATGGCCCAGAAGA
Organism: Homo sapiens; assembly: GCF_000001405.40. NCBI lineage: Eukaryota > Metazoa > Chordata > Mammalia > Primates > Hominidae > Homo > Homo sapiens. The sequence continues at coordinate 116,718,858 of NC_000011.10, read as the reverse complement.
GAGGACCCTTCCAACTGCTGCCTTCCTTCTCCAGATTCAGGGGAGGTACTCTCCCCGCCTTCTTAGTATTCTCATCTCCAGATCTCAGTGTGGGCTGTTGCCTCTGTGGAATGCCCTACCTTCTTCATCACCACATTTCACCTGTCCTTCCAGACCAGAGAAGAAGCCTCCTCCACCAAATCTGCCCTATCCACTAGCTGGAAGCAATACCTTCTTTCCCTAAATGCCCACAGCGCTTGGTTCATGCCTTGCTTATGCATGTATCCCGCTCTCTTTTGCATCATGCATGTTGGGCATGGGTCTTTTCTCGCCACCATTCTTAGGGAGACCTCCACCTAAGTCCTCACTTCACACACACTGCCTTACACAGTGCCTGATACTTAGTAAGTGCTCAGTGAAGTGAATCCAGACAATGTAAGAGTGTCTCTGGGCCTCCTGGGTGTTCTCAGGCCAGTTTATGAAGGTGCATGGAGGTATATTCCCATTTTACAGATGAAGGAATTGAGGGTCAGGGAGGCCAACTAGTTTTTCTCAAAGCCAAATAGCCAGTAAGAAGTGGAGACACCAGCCTGGGCAACATGGTGAAACCTTGTCTCCACTAAAAATACAAAAATTAGAGGCTGGGCACAGTGGCTCACGCCTATAATATCAGCACTTTGGGAGGCTGAGGCGGGCAGATCATGAGGTCAGGAGTTCGAGAGTAGCCTGGCCAATATGGTGAAACCCAATCTGTACTAAAAAAATCCAAAAATTAGCCAGGCGTGGTGGCGTGCACATGTAGTCCTAGCTACTCGGGGTGCTGAGGCAGGAGAATCACTTGAACTTGGGAGGCGGAGGTTGCAGTGAGCCGAGATAGTGTCACTGTACTCCAGCCTGGGTGACAGAGCAAGACTCTGTCTCAAAAAACAAACAAACATACAAACAAACAAAACCCAAAAATTAGCCAGGCATGGTGGTGTGCACCTGTAGTCTTAGCTACTCGGGACTCCAGCCTGGGCGACAGAGCGAGACTCCGTCACAAAAACAAACAAACAAAGAAACAAAAAAATAAAACCCAAAAATTAGCTGGGCATGGTGGTGCGCACCTATAGTCTTAGCTACTCGGGAGGCTGAGATGAAAGGACCACTTGAGCCTAGGAAGTTGAGGCTGCAGTGAGCTGTGATCAGGCCACTGCACTCCGTCTTAAAAAAAAAAAAAATAGAGACAGACTTCAAAGTCAGGCCTATGGGGGCAGTTTATTAATTGGGGAGACTTATGCAGGTAACAGGTTCAAACTACTAAATAATAATAAATGATAGAAACAACCAAACCAGCACCCCTTAAGAGAAGGATGTTCTGAGCATACTTCTGATCTATTGACTGGATGAGCCATAGGCATGCTGACTCTGTGGGACCATGGGGAGGTCATTTTGCCCAAGGGCTTAGTATTCTGGAAATATTGTCTTGACTGGATTTCCATGAGGTCTTTGGGCCCCTGGAATGTTTCCTCTGTAAAGAAATTGCTCTCCACCACTCTGCTTACTCTCATCGCACTATGGCTATGAACATCTTCTAGATCGACACTTTGGTTTTCTGTGCAGAATAATCTGGAATGGGTTGGAGGAATCACCAATATGTTCTGCTGTCACAGACAGGCCCTCTGATATTCAGCTCAACTAGTGAGTTTGCTGAGAACTTACCATTGGCACCTCATTGCTTTGGTTAGTGTAATGTAACTTTCTTCTATGTGAATCCTGGGAGATTTGCATGGGCAAAATAGTCTCTGACATTTCGTGGTGGCTCAGTGTTTGACCCAGGAGCTCCCAAGACTTTCTTCTTCTTATTTTAATTTTCTGGGTATAGTGGATGTCTGTGGTCTTTGCCCGGGATCCCTTACCCCTGTTTTTCAATGACCATATTCCTGCCTCCTCTAGAGCACTGACTGTTGCCCTATTCTAGTGGGGCAGAAGGGCAGAGCTGTTACCTTGTCTCAGGAGTAATCCTATGACTCAGATCTGGCCAACATGCCAATCCCACAGTGATTGGCCTTAGAATGTATATATGGCCCAAGGTGAGACCGTCGGAGCCCTGCCCTGAACTTTTCCATGGGTGTGGAGGGAGAACAAAGCTCTCTCTTCTCTGAGATCTTAAGCAGTGACAATGTACCCCAGAGCAGCCTTTGGCCATGCTAGCCCAGGGGCCATTCTTTCCATGACGCTGCCCCAGGGAGGAAGCTCAAATTTAGTAAGACAGAAGAAGGACAATGCAAAGAGAGCTGGAGAAGGGGAGAGAGGCCTGACAACACCATCTGACTTCTGCTTTTCCCATGTTCTTTCTAGTTATGTGAACCAATACATCTCCAATTTTACAATATAATTTTAAATCCATTCCCTGCAGCTGAATGAGTCCTGAGTAATAAGGTAAGGTTATATATATACCTTACACACACACACACACACACACACACACACACACACACAAGTATATGTATGGATATAAAACCACAAACAAAATAGGAAGGACAATTTCAGAATTAAGAACATCTATATACTATCACAATGCTCTCTAAGTACACAAAAGAACGTCTAGGCCGGGTGCGTTGGCTCACCTGTAATCCCAGCATTTTGGGAGGCCAAGGTGGGCGGATCACTTGAGGTCAGGAGTCTAAGACCAGCCTGGCCAACATGGTGAAACCCCATCTCTACTAAAAATACAAAAATTAGCCTGGCATGGTGGCGCACGCCTATAATCCCAGCTACTCAGGAGGCTGAGGCAGGAGAATCACTTGAACCCGTGAGGCGGAGGTTGCAGTGAGCCGAGACTGCGCCTTTGCACTCCAGCCTGGGCAACAGAGTGAAACGCCATCTTAAAAAAAAAGAAAAGAAAAAAGAAAAAGAACATCTATAAAATTGAGTACATTTAGCTTTGTGAAAAATGTACTACATTGCCCTTCTTTTTACTAGTGGAAACTTTATCAAGGGCAGCCCCTGGTTGTGTACCTGTGTTTGGGAACCACAGATTTAGTTAACCCTTTCCAGAGGGCAGGTTCACAAGGGGGAAGGGCTCAAGAGAAAATTGGGAAGGTTGGACCTCCCAGGCAGACCTGGCTTTATACTTTGTTTCATGGAGCTATCTCTGCCCTAGCAACTACACCGGTGTGTGTGTGTGTGTGGACAGAGAGAGAGAGAGAGAGGTCTAAGATCTTCCACCCCAGGCCCAGCCCCTGTCCCACCCACCCTCAGTGTTTGTCTCCTGCCTGCAGGCCTCCTGATTCCTGGGATGCTCAGAAGAGCGCCCCCTGGACAATGGGCATGCGGCCCTGGGAGCAAGGAACCTGCAGGAGGTTGATTCGGCTCAGCCTGGCGGGAGCCATGGGGGCTTTATCTTGCCATTAATGGTTTTCTAAATTGGTGGCAGTGGAGCACAAAACCCAATTTGCACCTGGAGCATGCATGATTACTATTGTAATAACCTCAGCTAATAAGAATATGATGTGGGGCTAGGCTGGGAGAGAAAACACATTTCTCATTAGCTTTTGATTAATTACTCTACATAATTTCTTAGTTGTGGTGGCCAGGGGGGTGGGGTGTTGCCATCTTCTCACCTCACCTTAACCCTGGTGGGCTAGGAGTCATCTAGGGATTGTGGTATTTCCACGGTGGCTGTCAAGGGAGAAATCCCCGCCTCTCCTCTCCTCCCCACACCCTTTCTCTGTCTTCTCTCACCCTCCCGCTCCAGCCCTCCCTTTCCCTGCCTTCTTAATCTCTTCTCTCTTTGCTCCCCCACCCCCGCTTAGCCTTGCCCTCATCCTCATGGGTGTCTGTCGCTTTGTGTGAGAGCCCACATTGTCCCTCTCACTGCCAGATAGGTAGGCTGATCCGCCCTGCTCTCTGAGCCTAGCTTGCCTATTTCCATCGGCTTCTGTCCGCTCCTGCTCTGAACTTCTTGTGTCTGACCTGGATGTGCTCTCGGCCCAGTGCTCCTGGCTCAGGTTGGTTTCTGGCCTGGTTCAGAGGCCCCTTATCCTTCTCAGGGAGCTGCTATGTGGTTTGAAATTGTTCTTGCCCCTTTCCCCCTCTCCACACTCAGTGGAGCCTCCTGGCCTGAGGCCTCTGCCTTCTCTCCTGGCCTCTGGCAGCCAGGCCCTGGCCGGATGGGGGCCCTCAGATTGTCACATCTAGGACCCAGTGCTCCACAGGGCACTGGCTGGAAGCAGGTTCATTTTATTTGTAGCTCAACCTCTTTCTGTTGCTCTCCTGCCCCTGCTCTATATCCAGAACTGCGCTAGACATCGTGGAGGACATAAGAGAAGTAAAAGCTGTGGATCTTGCTATTAGATTGTCTTGAGGAGAAACAGAATCTAACACAAAGCTGTGTGCACCGAGAGCTAAGTGGGTGAGGCAGCGAGACCAGAGGGGAGAGAGGCCTCTGGAGGCTGGAGGGCTCAGGGGGGATTCTGGGAGGAGGGGGCTCACAGGAGGCTTTAACAGAGGGCGGATTTGGATTGATGGAGAGGTTGGGGGAGGGGGTGGGAAGGAGAAGGAATTCCAGATGAGAGCATAGCATGAGCACAGACCTGGAGGTGGGACGCTGGAGGCAATTCTGGAGGATGTGAAGGTGGCCAGTGCATTTTAAGTGGCGGTTTCTGGGGCAGATGAGCTAAAAAGAAAATCTGGAGGCTGACTCCCTTGAATGCCAGGCTGAGGGTTTGGGGCATACATGGTATGCAGCTGGGAGTTCTGACAGGTCCGGGGGTGCAAGGTGACTTATAGCAGCAGTTTGCGGAATGGATGATGGTAAGGTGTATTAGTGTTATGGTCTGAGTATGGGTGTCCCCAAAATTCATATGCTGGAACTTAACTCCCAAAGTGATGGTATGAAGAGGTGGGGCCTTTGGGAGATGATTAGCTCAGGAGGGCTCTGCCACCATAAATGGGATTAGTGCCCTTAGAAAAAGGCCTGATGTATCCTGTTTGCCCTTTGCCCCTTCTGCCACGTGAGGACACAGAGAAGGTGCCATCTATGAGGAACAGGCCTTCATCAGACACCAGATCTGTTGGTGCCTTGATCTTCAATTTCCTAGCCTCCAAGACTGTGAGCAATACATTTCTGTTGTTTATAAATGACCCAGTCTGTAATGGAGGAATTGGTAAAAAAAAAAAAAAATTAGCCCAAAGCATTTTTGTTACAGTAGCAGGAATGAACGAAGACAATTCGTGTTCTATTGCTGCTGCAACAAATTACCACAAAATTAGCAGATGAGAATAACACAAATGTACTATCTTAACAGTTCTGCAGGTCAGAAGTCCAGGTTGGCTTGACTGGTTTCTCCACTCTAGATTATACAGGACTGAAATCAGGATGTCAGCTGGCTGGGCTCTTATGAGGAGGCTTTGGGAAGAATCTGCTTCCAAATTCATTCAGATTCCTTGTGGTTGTAGGACTGAGATCCCATTTTCTTGCTGGCTGCAAGCTGGAGCCACCCTTATTGCCTAGAGGCCTCTTCTACTTCTTGCACATGGGCCCCTACATCTCAGAGCCAGCATCAGTGCATCAAATTCTTCTCATGCTTGCAAGCTCTCTGGCTTTCCCTTCTGCCACATTTCTTTCTTTCCTTTTTTTTTTTTTGAGATGGCGTTTTAGTCTTGTTGCCCAGGCCAGAGTGCAATGGCGCGATCTCAGCTCATCGCAACCTCCGCCTCCAGAGTTCAAGTGATTCTCCTGCCTCAGCCTCCTGAGTAGCTGTGATTACAGGCATGCGCCACCATACCCAGCTAATTTTTGTATTTTTAGTAGAGATGGGGTTTCTCCATGTTGGTCAGGCTGGTCTCGAACTTCTGACCTCAGGTGATCCACCCACCTCGGCCTCCTGAAGTGCTGGGATTACAGGTGTGAGCTACTGTGCCCGGCCTCTGCCACATTTCCTTTGGCACTTTGTCTTTTGCTTCATCTCTGATTTCAGCTGGAGAAAATTCTTTGCCTTTAAGGGCTCATGTGATTAGGTGTTCCCACCTGGATAATCCAGGCTAAGCTCTGTATTTTAAGGTTGGTAACCTTAATTACATCTGCAAAACCCTCTTTGCTATGTCATGTAACGTATTCATAGGTTCCAGGATTAGGGCATGGACTTTTGCGGGAGAGGCAGTATTGCCTACTGTATGAGGCAGGGCAGATTAGGCAGCACCTGCCATAGTCCTGATGAATGGAAATAAGGGCTAGAACCTGGGGTGTAATGAGAATGGAATGGCTTGGGCAGGTGCTGAGTCATTTCAAAGACAACTAGAGGATGATGATTGGTTACATGGGTGCGTTGGTGAGGGGCAGGAGAGTTAGGGGAAAGGAGGAGTAAACCTAGGATCCGGTGAGGAAACAAGAGAAAAAACCTCACTTGTCACTCTAGGAGGAGGAGCTGGTTATTTATTTATTTATTTATTTTTATTATTTTTTGAGATGGAGTCTCGCTCTGTCGCCCAGGCTGGAGTGCAGTGGCACGATCTCGGCTCACTGCAACCTCCACCTCCTGGGTTCAAACAATTCTCCTGTCTCAAACTCCCAAGTAGCTGGGATTACAGGTGCCCGCCACCATGTCCAGCTAATTATTTTATATTTTTAGTGGAGATGAGGTTTCACTACATTGGCCAGGCTGGTTTCGAACTCCTGACCTCAAGTGATCTGCCTGCCTCGGCCTCCCAAAGTGTTAGCATTATAGGCGTGAGCCACTGCGCCCAGCCAAGGAGCTGGTTATTGAGGGTAGATGATGCATTTGTTGCAGACAGGATGACTTAGGGATAACAGGAGAGTTCCTGCCAACCTGGAACTATCTTAGGAGCAGTTGAGGACACCAGAAATGTCACACCTGGTGATACAAATGTGTGAGACATTCACATGGCAGCAATGTTTTGGGGCTTGGGGAGAGAGGGTAGAAAGAAAATTGGGCAAGAGCCATAGGGGATGACCAAAGAAAAGGTAGAAAGAGGAAGAAGAGTAAAGAGAGAGAGAGCAGGCCCAGGAAGGAGAGGAGCCAGGCGAGGTCCCATCTGTGAGGCCAGGGAGAGCTGAAGAGCAGAGGCCCGGCAGGAGGGTGTACAAAGGCCATGAGCTGGTGATGGGATGGTTGGTAGTGATGGGAATGTGCATTTCTGAGTGCAGGGGCCAAGGAAGGAGGGAGAGAAGGACTAAGAACACATAAAAGGCTCAACAGGGCCCACAGGAACTGTGTGTCAGCATGTAGGGAGAGAAGGGGCGGGCGTGGGGCATTGGAAAGCAGGGTAGAGGAAGAGACTGGCACAGCTGGAAGAAGAGAGAGGCGATACAATTTCAGGGACGAGGCTCTCACAGGGGAATGGGCTGATGAGGCTGAGAATGGAACTGGAAGCTTCAGGGGGAAGAGACCAAGGGTGGATCCATGATCATTGCTGGGTAGTGCTGAGCCCATGGAGGACCTGCTGGTCTGGCTACGAGGTGGAGGTTTGTACCCTGGCCCAATGCTACTTCCTGGCTGGAAGTCTGCCCCCAGGGCTTGGGTACTTGGGCAGGACTGGCTGGGTCTGGACCTCTGGGCATCTTGGAAACAGAACCCTCTGGAGGTGGAGGCCGGCCTGTGGGGAAGGGGCAGGGATAGAGCTGGGCAGGGACAGAGCCAGGCCGGGCAGCAGATGTAGTCACTGTGCGGTCATTCCTATCCTGGGACTATCTTCTCTTCCCTGATTATCTTGGGGGGCTGGGCCTCACAGCACAGAGCTTCCTGGAGTGAGGGGATTTTTTCGAGGGGACTTGGGAAGAGGAAGCATAAGGGTGTCCAGCCTGCCAGAGGGCTCTATGGGGAGCAGGAAAGCATCAGCTCCATGGCTTTTGGCTCCATCGGCACATGGTCATCCCTGTGCCCTTCCATGTGCTCCTCCATATGCCCAAGGCCTCAGTGAATTCCAGCCTTCCCGCCACTTCTGACATTTGCGGGCCATTGTCTGGGGCCTAATTGCCTGCCAGAGCACCCTGCTTGGCACCCCTGCCAGCCATTTCTCCTCTGGCACAGCTCAGAGCTGGCTCCTACTGTTTGCAGCAGCTCCACAGGTAGGTCCAGGATGAACCTGGGGCAGTGGGCAGGCCCTGCCAGTCTTTGTGGGCACATGGTGGGGACCCTCCAGTGTGCACATTTGTATGTGTCCACGCCCAACACTTGTCCACAGCTCAGCCCAGCCCTTGGCCTCCTCAGGGGACTTCAGGCTTGGGGGTCACGGAGATGGCTGGGGCCTTTGGGTGGGTGGAGGGGGCGCAGAGGGGCCAGTGCAGTGATAGAGGCTCAGGGAGGCCGGTCCCATTGCTCAGCAGAAGGGCCGAGGGAGGATGCTGCAGGTGGAGGAAGCCCAGGACTGCACCAGCCCCTCCCTGGCTCCCCCTGCCCCGTGTCCCCATGGCTACCACCGCTGCCAGCCCTTGGGCTCCCTCAAAGGCCTCCTACCCTGTGAGGGAAGAGGAAATCTCGCCAGAGATCCATGTAAAAATAGATGTATCTCTGGATAAGCAGCGAACTTGAAAAACAGCTGAGCCGGAGTCTGCTCCGCTGACAGAAGATCTATGTACCAAATTCCTCTTCAAAATCTATTTCTCCAGAGATTTATTCTTGCAGGGCTCTGCCAAGCTGGGGGAAGTTTGCAGCATCGGGCAGCTGGGAAGCCCTGCGGGACTGCCCCCACCCTTTCCGTGGTGATGATCTCCCAGCGTGAGCCGTGGTCAAATTAGGCAGGGCTGAGGGGTGCTGGCCGGAGCAGAAGAGTCAGTGGTGAAATGCAAGAGGGATGTGAATGACAAAAAGGACATTCTCATGCATTAGCCTGGCTGGGTGGGAAGCGGAGTGATGCAGCAGGACACCCATCCTGGCGGCCGGGAGAATAAGTGATGGCTATATTTATGTTTCCATCTAAATGCATGGATCAAAGCAGACACTTTAATCTATTCAACAACAGCCCGAGGATTAAAAAGTTGCAGGCAAATCACACTCTTAAATTGGTAATATATTTTTGCTTGTCACTTGACAAATCATTTTAGAGAGTGACTCCACGCCAGGTGGGGGACCTGGAAGCTTGAACCTGGCTCCCTAACCTGGGAGGTGCTCGAGCCCCATAGGGTGCAGCATGAATCTCCTCATTTGCTCTAGCTCCTGTGAGCCAGTTGGGAGGGGAAGTGGGAGCTAATGTGGAGTACCAGTCCTGAGGTCACGCAGACATGCGTCCTAGCCTCCAAAACAGCCTGGAAGGTGATACTATAATAATCCCCATTTCACAGACCAGGAGACTGAGACATGTGGCTTGCCTGGGTCACACAATAATAAATGCTACAGTGGGGGCCAGGCGTGCCTATAATAATAAATGGCACAGTGGGGGCCAGGTGCCTATAATCCCAGCACTTTGGGAGGCCGAGGTAGGCAGATCATTTGAGGTCAGGAGTTCGAGACTAGCCCGACCAACATGGTGAAACCCCATCTCTTCTAAAATACAAAAATTAGCCCAGCTTGGTGGTGGGCACCTGTAATCTCAGCTACTCAGGAAGCTGAGGCAGGCAAATCACTCGAATCCAAGAGATGGAGGTGGCAGTGAGCTGAGATTGTTCCACTGGATGCCAGCCTGGGTGACAGAGTGAGACGCTGTCTCAATAAATAAATAAATAATAATAAAATAAATAGAAATAAATGGCACAGTGGAGTGCAAAGCCAGATGTTTTGACTCCAAGCACAGTGGCCTTGTCCTTCAATGGAACTGCTGGGTGAGAGAACAGCTCTCCTTGGGGGTCACAAGGCACAGCGGGGAGAAGCAGCATCGGCTCTGCTGCTTGCTGTGTAACTCCTACTAAGTTCTTCCACTTCTCAGCCTCCTCATCTGTAAAATGGGGCTAACGGTAGTGTTCGTCTCTGGAGGTGGTTGTCAGGAGGCCGTGCACTGAGCACACTGCCTGACACATGGTCAAAACCCAGGTTTGTGCTGAGCTCTGAAGGACATGAGCAGACAGAGAAAGGAACTCGCAAGCATGGCTTCTGAGGAACGGGTGAAGGAAGGCCCTTGGTTGGGAAGAGACAGAGCTGCCTCCGAACACAGGCTGGATGGTGCAGAAAAAGGCAGAGTGGATTTGTTGTGTGGCTCCAATAGGGACGACTGGGTCCTTCAGGAGACTGATGGATTTCAGTGAAAGAGAAGCAAGGAGTTTCTAATTGCCAGCATAGGTGATTACAGGCTGCAAAGAGGACATAGCAGCTTGACTCGGGTGACATTTAGACAGCAGAAGTCCCTTCCCTTTCAAGCAGGAGAACCTAAAATTCCATGAGCAGTAGGGTCAGCTCCCCACGATTCTTGGGGAACAAGAAGAGTTGGGTAGTTCAATGGAACTGAAGAATCTACTTTTAAAAAAAGGTGTTCTTTTGCCGGGCGCGATGGCTCATGCCTGTAATCCCAGCACTTTGGGAGGCCGAGGGGGGCAGATCACTAGGTCAGGAGATGGGGACCATCCTGGCTAACACAGTGAAACGCCGTCTCTACTAAAAATACAAAAAATTAGCCGGGCGTGGTGGCAGGCGCCTGCAGTCCCAGCTACTCGGGAGGCTGAGGCAGGAGAATGGCGTGAATCCGGGAGGCGTAGCCTGCAGTGAGCCGAGATCGCGCCACTGCACTCCAGCCTGGGCGACAGAGCGAGACTCCGTCTCAAAAAAAAAAAAAAAAAAGGAAAAAAAAGTGTTCTTTGTGTGTATGTCATGATTTAATCCTACAGGTTTATGCTTGGCTCAGATCCCCACTAACCTTAGGGTATGTGAGATGGGCGTGGTGTTTGGGAGGAGGCTGGGTGGCACAGGAGTGGCAAGGCCACGGGGTGGAAGGAGGCAAAGCCAGCCCTGGGCAAAAGGAAGAATTCCACCCTTGCCCAAGACGAGTCAGCTGGTCTGTGCAGTCAGAGCAGTGCCAGCCCGGGGAGGAATGGTGGACCCGGAGTTAGAGACTTGGGCTTCCCTCCGCCCCCATCACTTAATATGTGTGTGTCCATCCTCAGGCCACCTCGTCTCTCTGAGCCCCAGTCTCTCCACGTGGAACGCAGGGAGCTGATACCTGCTCCCTGCTCTCCTTTCAGAGGGGTTTTAAGAATCCAGGAGAAGCTGGCCTTATTCCCTTGGACTTGAGAGGGGTGCCTTGGGCATCCCATGGCCTGGTCCCAGCGCCCCTTTCCCCTCGCGCGGGTTCCTGCCGGCTGCAGTCGCAGCGTCCCGGACCAGCCTGCACACCGACACCTGGCGCGAGCGCTGTCACGGCAAGGCCGCCGCGGGTGGGGTGCGGGAGGGTGCGGCGCGGCCAGATTGCACCATCTGCCTGTGCGGAAGTGGAGCGCAGGTGTTGTGTTCGGGGCGCAGGTAATTGCTGACGGCTGAGCCAGCTCTCCTGGCTTACGGTCTCCAGCGGGCGCGGGAGGTGGCAGCCCGAGTGGCTCCCTGCCTGGACAGCGCTCTGTGCCTTTCTCACGCCTTCAGCCTCTAGTGAGACTCACCCCTGCTAAGCAAGGGCGGTCAGGGCGGTATCAGATTCATTTTGCCAGCGAGGAAATCGAGAAGCCGAGAGGTTAAATCCCCGGCTCAAGGCCCTGGAGCCAGTCAATAGTGCGCCGGAACCAGCCCTCCGGGTCAGCGGACTCTTAATTCCATTTTCCTCGCGTGACCCAGCAACGCAGGGCAGTTCAGCAGACATTTATGGAGAACCTTCTACGGGTCAGGGCCTGAGCTAGGTGTAGGGGTTTGGACGGGGGCTCTGGCTTTGTTCCTGAGAGGGTGCAATCTTAAATCTCCCGTGTGGACCTGAGGCTCCCAGCTGTACCCCACATCACCATGCCCACCACCATGGCAGAGAAGCAAGAAGTTTCTAATCACCAGCGTTGGGAAAAGAGGACACAGCAGCCTGACCCAGGAGTGACATTTAGACAGAGAAAGTCCCTTCCCTTTCTTTTTTTCTTTTCTTTTCTTTTCTTTCTTCTTTTTTTTTTTGAGACGGAGTTTCGCTTTTGTTGCCCAGGCTGGAGTGCAGTGGCGCAATCTCGGCTCACTGCAACCTCCGCCTCCCGGGTTCAAGCGATTCCCCTGCCTCAGCCTCCCAAGTAGCTGGGATTTCGGGTGCCTGCCACCATGCCTGACTAATTTTTTGTATTATTAGTAGAGATGGGGTTTCACTATGTTGGCCAGGCTGGTCTGGAACTCCTGACCTTAGGTGAACTACCTGCCTCGGCCTCCCAAAGTGCTGGGATTATAGTCATGAGCCACTGCGCCTGGCCGTCCCTTCCCTTTCAAGCAGGAAAATCTAAAATTCCATGAACAGTAGGGTCAGATACCCACAAGTCATGGTAGGGACAAGAAGAGTTGGGTAGTTCTATGGGATCAAAGAATCTAGTTTAAAAAAAAAGGTGTTCTCTGTGTGTATGTCATGATTTAATCCTACTGGTTTATGCTCGGGTTAAATCCCCACTAACCTTAGGGTATGTGAGGTGTTTCTCTGGAGCACAAGACTGGCTGTTTCAAACACTTGGTCATTTGCTGGGGCCAGATGCTTTGGCCTCTGGTGCAAGGCCTTTCCGAATCCCGCCTCAGTCTACCTTCACAGCTTTATTTCCCCCTGCTCCTGCCCCAGCCCCTCAAGTCAGGCTACCTAGGCCCACCAACTTCTGTTCTGCAGCTGTGCCTGGGACCTCAGTGCCCTTTTCCAGCCCAGAACTTGGCTTGCCTCAATCTACTTATGCTTCTAGGCCTGGCTCCAGTGGGACTTCTTCCGTGAAGCTTTCTTTGATTATCCAGCCCTTCCTGATTCTTCCCGAGCAACGAATGACTCCCTTTCCTGTGCTTCACTGCCTTTGGCAGGTCCTTTGTGACAACCTGAGGCCTCGTGGTATGGTTTCAAAGCTGCTCCTGGAACCCTTCCTCACTAGCTTGTGAGCTCTCGAAGGCCTGGGTCTGGGTCTTACTCATCTATGACCTGCTCCCTCCCCCAGCATCATTCCCTCACCCAGGAGCTGCTCCAGGATTGAAAGGAGATAGTGTACGTGAAATTGTTTTGTAAAATACAGCACAATGCAATATTGCTACTGCTAAAACTGAAAAGAGTTTATTGAATCAAAACCCTAGGAAATAAAGGAAGCTCATCTTAACAACCCCCTACTTCTACATTATTTTCATTAACCATGTAAAATTACAATAATAACAATAGCTAACATGTATTGACCTTTTGTGCCCAATAAATATGGTCATTATTATAATAAGCATACAGACATGTGTACATGCTACATACACCTTTCAATTTCTGCACATTAAGAAGTGATCGGCTGGGCACAGTGGCTCATGCCTGTAATCCCAGCACTTTGGGAGGCGGAGGTGGGCAGATCACCTGAGGTCAGGAGTTCGAGACCAGCCTGGCTAGTGTGGTGAAACCCCTTCTCTACTAAAAATGCAAAAATGAGCTGGGCATGGTGGTGGGTGCCTGTAATCCCAGCTACTCGGGAGGCTGAGGCAGGAGAATCACTTGAGCTGGAGAGATGGAGGTTGCAATGAGCCGAGATTGCGCCACTGCACTCCAGCCTGGGTGACAAGAGCGAGACTCCGTCTCAAAAAAAAAAAAAAGTGATTATTAAGACAATATTGAAAATAATGCCACGAATCTTCAAATGTGCTTCAAGAGATTCTCAACCAAATGTCCTCCACAAGTGTCTCTGTGACCTCCTGTTCTCAAGGGCCTATGTGGATGGAGTCTATGGCTGTGAGGTGTCCCGGCCAGGTCAGGAGCTGACCCCCGGCCTAGCAAGATACTCCGTGCTTCTTACAACATTTCCTGCCTTCCTAGAGCAGTACCCAGAAGGCATCTTGTCCTTGTCTTGTGGGGTGGTGGGTGGCGCACCTCGTGGGGCATGCTCATGGTGGGCACCACACATGGGCGTCTTAAAGAGGAGTGTGTGTCTCTGTAAGGCTATCATAAGCGTTTTTATTTCAAGTCTGAGTGACACATTTTTGTCCTTTTGGCATTTATGGAGGATAGAAAAAACTGCTCTGAGTAAATAAACAGAGAAGAAGAAAGGCCTCCCTCCATGATGGGCCTGGTTTACGAGGCAACAAGCCTGGGGGGTCTTTGTTAGGGTTTAGTGATTTGGTTCCAGCACTGAATGGAAGCACAATCTTGTTTTTGAGTCGTTTCAGAAAGCTTGGGCTCCTCAGCTTCTGAGTTGTAACATTTGGAGGTTGTGATCTGCATTTTGGGTATGTGTCTGGGGGTGTCCCTGTGAGTACACAGGTGGGCATAGGTGTGTCAGGGAGATATGGGTCTGTGCATGCATGCGGTGAATGGAGTACATGCCCCACCTGAGCAGTGTCTGTACAGTAGGGGGGTGCGTATAGATAAGGTGATTGGGGTGAATGTGGATCTTTCTGGGTGTCAATCTTATATACTATGTGTGAATAAGCATTTATATGCAGGAGTCTTTTTTTTTTTTTTTTTTTTTTGAGACAGAGTCTGGCTCTGTTGCCCAGGCTGGAGTGCCATGGCGCGATCTCGGCTCACTGCAACCTCCACCTCTCAGGTTCAAGCAATTCTACTGCCTCAGCCTCTCGAGTAGCTGGGAGTACAGGCTCAAGCCATCACGCCCAGATAATTTTTGTAATTTTAGTAGAGACGGGGTTTCACTATGTTGGCCAGGCTGGTCTGGAACTCCTGACCTCAAGTGATGCCCCCACCTCTGCCTCCCAAATTGCTGGGATTACAGGCATGAGCCACCGCACCCAGCCCCAGGGGTCTGTATTTTTGTCATCGAATGTTGTTAGTGCCTTGGAAGCTCCCTGTGCCACCCCAACCCCCAACTATGACCCTTCCTTCATTGCCCCTGAGTTAACCACTCTCCTAACTTTTGTGTGAATCATTCCCCTCCTTTGTGTTATGGCTGTGCCACTTTCATGTGTCTCCTTGGTGAAAATGGGTCCACAGATGTGAAGCTGGGATGTATTTGGTGTGAATGCGGGTCTGAGTTGTGTTCACAGTGGAGCCTGGATGTGCTCTGCTCAGCGAGTGCCTCTGTTTGGGTGGATGGGTGGCAGAGGGTTGGGGAAGAGCGGTTGGGCTCTTCAGACAGGTCCCCGTGAACTTTGCATACCCAGCTCCTGTGGCTCCTTCTGGCTCGGTTGCCACCTCTGGTCCCTAGTGGTTCTGCCTTGCTGGTCTGCAGAGAGATCAACACCCTTCAAACCAGCTGCCTTGTTGGCTGCGGCGCACTCCCGCGGTTACCATGGAAACCAAAGTAGGTCTGCTTCTGCCTGCCATCGGGTCCCTGGGCTAGGGCAGCTGTGGGCCAAAGCCACCGTGGTGAAAGCTGGCTGTGGGGGAAGGGAAGAGGGGCCTGGGGGACCCTCTGAGCCTGCTTCTCCTCACACGCTCCTGGGGGCTCTTTTCTGCCTCCAAACACAAGGGCAGGTCCCCGTTGTCAGACAACTGGGATCAAAACAAACCGTTTGGAAAGGGCCTGAGCAGTTGACTTTTCCACACACATACAAAATCTCTTCCTGAAAAAAAATCCAAGACATATGCTAATTCCACATCACTGTGCATGTCATTTGTATATCATTAATTCAGTGCCTAAAATAAAGTGGCTTTTAGGAGAGAGCGCGTGAGATCTGATGGGAGGACTCTGTACATGTGTTTGTGGCCTGGTTTTATAACAGGCATCTGCTCAGAGTTCACTGCACTGGGAAGACTTAAACGTAACAGTGTTAAGCACTGCAGCGATCACAGATCCTGTGTGGTTTTGAAAAACAGAATAGCAAGCACAAACCTAGCTGTGTAAGCAAAAGGTGATACATTGTTAGGGAGACACATAAAAGTGGCACAGCCATAAAGCAAAGCAAGGGAATGATTCACACAAAAGTTAGCAGAGTGGTTAACTCCAGGGCAATGCAGGAGGGGCACAGCGGGGGAGCAAGGGCACACCGGGAGCTTCCCAGGCACCAGTAACACTGCATGTCTTAACCAGGTGGTGGAGACACAGATAGGTGACTGATTGTTATCCTTTTTGTTTGTTTGTTTTTTTTTTTTTTTGAGATGGAGTCTCGTTCTGTGGCCTAGGCTGGAGTGCAATGACATGATCTCGGCTCACTGCAACCTCCACCTCCTGGGTTTAAGGCATTCTCCTGGCTCAGCCTCCCAAGTAGCTGGGATTACAGGCGCCTGCCACCATGCCTGGCTAATTTTTGTATTTTTAGTAGAGTTGGAGTCTCACCATGTTGGCCAGGCTAGTCTTGAACTCCTGACCTCAGGTGATCCGCCTGCCTCAGCCTCCCAGAGTGCTGGGATTACAGGCATGAGCCACCGCACCTGACCCTGATTGTTGTCCTTTTAACTGTACTTATATATTTATATCTTCTTCTGTATGTGTGATACATATGGCAATTAAAAAATCACTGATCCTGAGCTTGTGGCCTCTGGCTCGATGCAGGTAGTAAGAGGAGTTATGGGGTCAGGGAAAGAAGACAGGGTGGGATCACAATTGTTATGAGTTTTGGAGCTGCCTCTGGCACTGACTAGCTATGGGACCTTGGGGAAGCCACTCAGCTTCTTCCAGCTGCAGTTTCCTCATCTGTAACATAATGAGTATGTTGGAGTTATTTATTCAATTAAAAACTAATTTTGAGCTTTCTTTGTGGCAGGCACTGGGCTAGGAAAAAGACATTTACAAATGTCACAGCACACACTAGAAAATGATGTGTGGGTCTGGAGGGGCCAGAGGCTCTGGGCTGGGAGAGAGACTGCCCACAGGGACAGTGGAGGAGGCCAGCTTTGAAATGGGTCTTAAAAGATGGGCCGCATTTCAACGGGCTGAGACAGGGCAGGAGGAAATGACAGAAGAGAAGGCACAATGTTGTCAAAAAGTAAGCTAATTGGGAACAGCAAAAATCTCATTATGGCTGGAGGACTTGAAGAACAGGTCTGGCTTAATCACTGAAGAGGCTCCTTTCAACTCTAACAGGAGAAACTTCCCCCAGCCTGGGCTAGGGAGGAGGACAACTGGCTCTGCTGGGGGCCGGGTTGGGGAGAAGAAGAGGGGAGGTGTCAGGGTGTCATTGCACCCCCTTGTCCTGGGTGCAGGAGACAACTTGCTCCCCAGGGCTCTGATGCTCAAGACTCTGGGCCCCTCCAGACAAGCTGGGCTGTTCCCACCCTCCTGGCCTCTACGCCGGCCTGGCTGTAGAAATGGGACCCTTCCTTCAGACAAAGACCCTGTGGGCCTGGGTGCATGAGGACCCTGCAAGCCCACAGCAGATCCAGACAAGCCCAAAGCCAGTCAGCTGCCAGAATAGGTGTGTAGGGAAGCAACATTCTCTTGCAATTTCCTTGAAGTTAAGACAACCCTGCCAGGGCGCCTTGGTGGCTGCTATGCTATTACTTGACATCAGGCCTGGCCCCACCCTGCTCTACCCCAGCACCCGCGCTGACCTGACCCTGTCACATTGAGCATGTCGTGATAGGAGAAGGAGCCCTTGACCTGGGAAGGGGCCCTTGACATGGGACCAGAAAAGCGGGTCCATGTCCCAGCTCCATCTCTTAGGAGGTGGGATGAGTCTCTAACCTTCTCTGACAGGTCTCAGGTGTCCTTGTTTGCAAAGTGAGAGGGTAGACCAGTAATCACTTAGGAACTTTCAGAAAGTAGAATCATTCGCCCCTTTCAGGTGGAATGATGTGTTCATCTCTGACCCATGCCTGCTGGACACTTCCGTTAGGACACCATGCTGCTTTGCTTGGAGGAGATGGTGTTTCTCACTGTTGAAGTGTGTGAAGTGGTTTATGTTGCAAGAGTGTAGTGTTAGGGCCCCACAACACCTTCTTCAAGGGGAACTCTTGAGTGATGGCTTGTCAGAGAGCTCTCTAGGAAGCAAGGTAACTTGTGTTTGATTGTTCTTAGAGCAAAAGACCTGTTGGGCAGGTCAGTTCTGCAAGCAAGCTGAGAACTGCAGGCCACCTTAGCCCATGTCCAGGAAAACCAAAGGAGAGAGGGTTTCCCTAGACTGATGCACACACCGCAGCATTAGAGATGGAAGGACTGCTGTCAGCACCACAGACCCCAGGCAAAGGCGACGTCTACCACAAGGACCATGACTACTCCAAGACAAGGATCTGATGGCCACCATTTACACATCCACTGAACACATAGTTGGTGCTCAGGATTTATTGAATGAATGTCTTTGGGGCAAGTGCAAATTCAATGTCATGGAAATTCTTGAATGTGATGCTTCGTGAAGACCTTAAAAGCTGTCCTGGTGGGAGTCAGAGGTCCACCATCACTCTTAGAGGTAGATGGCATGGGTTTTGGAAACAGTTAATGGTCTGAGTCTGGTATATACCGGTTGTGTAACCTTGAGCCTCTCTCATCCTAGTTTCTTTGTCTCTAAAATTGGTGCAATCTTCTTTATTTATTTATTTATTTGGAGACGGAGTTTCACTCTTGTTGCCCAGGCTGGAGTACAATGGTGCCATCTCAGCTCACTGCAACCTCTGCCTCCCAGATACAAGCGATTCTCCTGTCTCAGCCTCCCAAGTAGCTTGGATTACAGGCATGCGCCACCATACCTGGCTAATTTTTTTTTGTGTGTTTAGTAAAGACAGGGTTTCGCCATGTTAGTCAGGCTGGTTGCAAACTCCTGACCTCAGGTGATCCACCCGCCTCGGCCTCCCAAAGTGCTGGGATGACAGGCGTGCACCACCACACCCAGCCTATTTTTTATTTTTTATTTTTTTTGAGGTGGAATTTCACTCTTGTTGCCCAGCCTGGAGTGCAATGGTGCAATCTTGGCTCACTGCAGCCTCCGCCTCCTGGGTTCAAGCGATTTTCCTGCCTCAGCCTCCCAAGTAGCTGGGAATACAGGCACCCTCCATCACACCCGACTAATTTTTTTGTATTTAGTAGAGATGGGGTTTCACCATGTTGGTCAAGCTGGTCTTGAATTCCTGACCTAAGGTGATCCACCCACCTCTGCCTCCCAAATGCTGGGATTACAGGTGTGAGCCACAGCACCTGGCCAATGGGTGCAAGGTTAGTACCTGCGTACAGCACTGTGAAGATTGCATGAGGTGATTCCCATAGAGTGCTTAGCACCCTTTGTAGATTCCACAAAAGGAGTGTTTCCTCTGTGCCTGGTATATAGCAGGTGGCAGTTGTCATTGAGGATGGCAGCAAGTGCTGGTATGGTTGGTGTGGTCAGCAGGGTGAAGGGTGTATGATGCAGAGTGGAGGGGGTGAGAAAGGAATCTGCAAAGGAAGGAGGGTGGGTTTGAGGTGGGGCTTGTTTGTAAGTCATACTGAGGGCAGCAGGGAGTCCTGTGGCCTCATCAGGTTGGAGATGTATAGAGCTGAAAATGAAAGAAATGAGCTTTGGTGAAGGGGAGAGCCACGTTTAGCACCAAGCAGGGCAGGTATTCTTTCCATTCATCCCCCATTTTTTTATTTTTTATTTTTGAGATGGAGTCTGGCTCTGTTGCTCAGGCTGGAGTGTGGTGGCACCATCTTGGCTCACTGCAGCCTCCACCTCCTGGGTTCAAGTGATTCTCATGCCTCAGCCTCCCAAGTAGCTGGGACCACATGTGCACGCCACCATGCCCGGCTAATTTTTGTATTTTTAGTAGAGTTGGGGTTTCACCATGTTGGCCAGGCTGGTCTTGAACTCCTGACCTCAAGTGATCTGCCTGTCTCGGCTTCCCAAAGTGTTGGGATTACATGTGTGAGCCACTGGAACTGGCCGCATCCATTCCTTCTTTATGAATTTATTCATTCAACAAAGATGTATTGAGCATCTACTATGTGGCAGGCACTTTTCTAGGCATCAGGGATACAGATGCATACAAAAAGTCAAAACTCCTGCCTCCAAGAACTTACTCTAGTGAAATCTAGTGGAATAATTGTATCATTCGACAAACGTGTTGGGATACCTGTCCATTGATTTTGCATTTATGTACCTTTTTTTTTTTTTTTTTTTTTTTTTTTGAGATGGAGTCTTGCTCTGTCGCCCAGGCTGGAGTGCAGTGGCACGATCTCAGCTCACTGCAAGCTCCACCTCCTGGGTTCATGCCATTCTCCTGCCTCAGCCTCCCGAGTAGCTGGGACTACAGGCGCCTGCCACCATGCCCGGCTAATTTTTTATATTTTTAGTAGAGACGGGGTTTCACGGTGTTAGCCAGGATGGTCTCGATCTCCCGTCCTCGTGATCCACCTGCCTCTATCTCCCAGAGTGCTAGGATTACAGGCATGAGCCACGACGCCCGGCTGGTTTTTTTTTTTTTTTTTAATAAAACTGATTTGCAGAATGTTTTAACCTCACCTGAGCAGGCTATGAAGAAAAGGGAAGATCTGTCTATATCTAGATGAGGAGATGGGAGTATAGGGACAGCCATATCATGAGACTGGAAAGAGGGGACTTCTGAGGTTGATGCTAATGAGAAATTCAGACCAGGAATTTAGCTGAGCAAGGGAATCCCTTCCTCCTCCAGACTCTACCCAACTGGGAGCCCGTGTCTTATGGCCAACACAGTTATGGTGTGGCTTACTCCAGAGATTTTGTCCAGTTCTTGACTGTCACTAAACTTCCCCCCAGCCTGTGGCCCCTGCCTTGAGCCTTCTGCCTAAACCATCCTTACTTAGAAAAGAGCAGTAACATCAGAACCAGAGAGAGCCACACACAGCCTCTTGGAGATGGTCCCTCTCTCAAGGGTCAATAATTAATCAAGGAAAGAGGGAAAGGAAGGGAAGACAGAAGGAAGGAGAAAAGAAAGGCGGGCAGGCCAGTAGAATTGGCAATCATGATGCCGTGGTTCAGTGTGATATTCTGGTGCATTCTTGGTTCTTGTCTGCAAGGATGCTTTACTGTGTGGCTCAGGAGATCCTCCCAAGTTGTGGTACGTTGGTCATTGACCCCCTGAGTGTGAAGCCCTGTCCTGGGGCTGCTGGAGGCTGCTGGAGACATCTCAGCCTCACCTCTAGCCTGGCTGGTGGCCTGGTTGCTGGAACTCACTCAATTTATTCTCACATCTGGGCCTTGTCCCCACACCCTGCCTTCTCTGGGGATCTTCCTTGTTCTCAGCCTTGCCAAATCCTACCTGCAGGAGCCCTGCCTTAGAAAGAACACAGGCTGGCCGGGCATGGTGGCCCATGCCTGTAATCCCAGCACTTCGGGAGGCCGAGGCGGGCAGATCACGAGGTCAGGAGATCAAGACCATCCTGGCCAACATGGTGAAACCCTGTCTCTACTAAAAATACACAAATTAGCTAGGCGTGGTGGCGGGCATCTGTAGTCCCAGCTACTCAGGAGGCTGAGGCAGGAAAACTGCTTGAACCCGGGAGGCGGAGGCTGCAGTGAGCCGAGATCACACTACTGCACTCCAGCCTGGGCAACAGAGTGAGACTCTGGGTGACAGAGTGAGATTTTTGTCTCAAAACAAAACAAAAACAAAACAAAACAAAACAAAACAAAACAAAACAAAACAAAACAAAACATAGGCTTCGGAGTCAGACGGACCCAGGTGTAAATCCCAGCCCCGCCCTTTTCTAGCTATATGGGTTTGAGTGAGTCACTTACCTCCCTACCTCCCACTCAGCCTCTCTGTGCCTCTCACCTCCTCTACAAGTGAGAGAACCTTGCAGGCTGATGAGGTAAGGATCATAGGCCATGTGGGTCGTGCCTCCAGCACCTGGTAAGGTACTCAGCACATAGCAGGATTCAGCTGCTTTGTTTCCTTTTAGGAAAAAGGCAGGATATGCAACCTTACTTTAAATGTAGCTACTGAAAGACCACCTCCTCCATGAAGTCTCCTGGCCCTCATCTGCCTCCATCCTCTCTAGCCCTGTGCTCTTTCTTAGGCCCCAGGGCTTTGGCCCACATCTTCCTGGAAGGTCAAGTCCTGGAGGGGTTTACTCCAGTCCTGAAGCAGGTGCTTGGGAAATGTGTGCCGATTGGTGGGTGGGGGCAGAGGTTGTGTGGGGGCGTGGAGGGTGAGGGCGGATCTTGGGCAGTGGGCAGTCAGGATGGAATCCAGGCTGGCTGCAGGGCGGGGATGGTGCGGGGCCTGCTGCTGCCTTCCTGACTCGTCCTCCCCCAGCCCATCTCATCTGGGTCTCCCACCCCTTCTCTCTGACCTTGTTTCTCGTTGGCTCAGCCCTGTCCTGTTAATGAGCTGAGCCAGCTTGGCGACCGCCTCTCTGATGTGCTGACTCAGTCCTGTGGCTCCCGCTTCCTCTGCCCTTGTTTGAAAATGCCAAGTTAATTGCTCTCCAGCTTTAGGCTACACTGGCAGGGGGCACACCCCCTTTTTCCTCTCCCCTTCCTCATACCCTGGGAGGGGCTAGGCCAGCGCCCTGCAGCCTCCTCCAGCCCTGGGGCCTGCCCTCCATGGACAGGGCAGCCAACCAAGAGTGTTGGGAAGAGGGACAGAGGAGGCAGAGAGGGGAATGGGCTATCAGTGTCCATTAGGGAGCAGTGGAGAGGGCGGGGAGGTGGGGGATAAGTTGGCACTCTTGGAGCCTGCTCTCCATATTTCCTGGCCCTCAGGATCCGGGAGATGGCTCTGTGTGGGAGGGAGGGAGACTGTGGGCACTGACAGGTGGTCTCTCAGATCTGTGCCCAGAGCTGAAGGTCTGGAGAGGGTAAGGTAGCTAAGAGGGAGACCCTGGGCCTCAAACAAGAAGGAAGGAGGGAAGGGAGGAAGGGAAATAAAGAAGGAGGGAGATAAGGAGGGAGGGGAGGAAGAGGATGGAAGGGAGGAAGGGAGGAAGGGAAGCAGGGAAAGAAGGAGGGAAGGAGAGAGAGAAAGAAGGGAGGAAGGGAAGGAGAGAGAAAGAAGGAAGGGAGGAAGGGAAGAAAGGAGAGAAGGAGGAAGGGAGGAAGGGAAGAATGGAGAGAAGGAGGAAGAGAAGGAGGGAAGGAGGGAGAGAAAGAAGGAAGGGAAGAAGGCAAGGAAAGAAGGAGAGAAGGAGGGAAGGGAGGAGGGGAAGGAGGGAAGGAGGAAGAGAAGGGGGAAAGAATGAAGGTAGAAGGGAAAGAAGGAGAGAGGGAAAGCAGAAAGAAAAGAAAGAGGGAAAGAAGGAAAGAAGGAGAGAAAGAGGTAGAGAAAGAGGGAGGGAAGGAAGCAAAGAAGAAAGGAATGGAAAAGACAAGGATGGAAGGAGAGAAGGAAGGAGGGGAAGAGGGAGTGAAGGAAGGAGAGAAAGAAGGAGGAAAGGAAGGGAGGAGGGGAAGAGGGCAGGAAGGAGGAAAGGAAGGGAGGAAGCCAATGCTGACTGTTGCACAGAGAAGCTCTCATTTAATTCCTGCAGGATGGGCTACCGATATGCCATCCAGGGGTGAGAGTCAAAATCTTTAACAGCACTGTGGCGCCAGCGCTGGCTCATCAGGATGGACACCAGGCATGGAGCTGGGCAGGGTCCTAGAAGCCCCCTGAGCTGTGACAGGGGTTCACCTTTAGGTGCTGGGCCGTGGGGAGGTAGGGGCGAGAAGTGCTGGGTGGGATAGGTGTTTAGCAATCGGCGTGGAAGTATTTCAGCATTCTAACAATATCAGCTCCACAGCGGCAGGGCTCCTCATCTGTTGTCTTCATAGGCATGTCCCCAGTGCCAAGAATGAGCCTGGTGCATACTAGGGGCTCCATCCTTTGTTGAATGAATGGGTACAGGAGGATGCTGAATGCCAACTTGGAGCCAACCCAGGTGAGGGAGTCACTGTCAGTGGTGTGTGGTGGAACACAGAGCTGGGTGATGGTTCTGTGAGTCAGATGCCACACCGAGGCCCTGGGGGTGAGGGTGCAGCTGGGAAGATGCCCATCCCGGCCTGCAGGACGGGAAGCATGAGGGCAGGGTCTGGAGGTGGCTCCTGAGGAGGCTTATTGGGGACCCTTCCTTCAAGACCATGATTTTGGGGTTCCCCTTCTGGGGACTGGTCCCTGGCTGTACCCAGGCTAGCTGGGGGCTTGGGATGCAGGGGCTGAGGGACAGGCCGAACTCCTGCCGGGAGGGTGCACACGAACTCAAGGTTTCTTATTGCAAGGCAGAGAAGGGGTTAGAAAGGAAGCCCTCATCCCATGGGTGATCACTAAGGCAGAGACAGATGAGGAGTCTTCTCTGGTGAGGGGGTGAGGGGGTGAGGGGGTGGGTGTGAGGGGGTGGGCCCCGCCCCTCTGCACATCTGTGGCAGGTGGAGCCTCCTGCAGGCACTCTGTGTTTCCAGGAGGGTTTTCTGCCTTCAGCATCTTTGAAATGACCCGGGCAAGGCGAATGGGCCCTCCTGCCTTCTTTCTTTCTCTCTCCCATTCTGCCTAGGAGGATTGGGGTATGGGAGTGTGGGGGGAGGGAGATGGTGGGGGAGCATAGGGGGGCATAGATGAGGAGAAGATAGCCCAGGTAGGAGTTGCCCTCTTGGCTCTGCCCTCTTGGAGCTGCCCTCTTGGTGGGGCATAGATGAGGAGAAGATGGCCCAGGTAGGAGCTGCCCTCTTGGATCTGCCCTCTTGGAGCTGCACTCTTGGCAGGGCATAGATGAGAAGAAGATGGCTGAGGTAGGAGCTGCCTTCTTGGCTCTGTTCTGCCTGAAGAGCAGCTTCTGCTGACCTCTCCAGAAGGGGTGGTGTTTTCTGATCACCTTTCGGCTTCTCAAACCGGGTGGGCTTTGCACAGACGGTGCAGCAGGAAGGAAGGAAGAGTGGATGAGAGAAGGAGCACACAAGAGAACAGTGAAATTCCTAAACAGGTGAGAAGCCTCCTGTGAATTCCAGACCCAAAAGTTCCCTGGAGGAGCACTGAGAGGCGGGGAGCCCTGCTGGGCAGGGCCCATTTCAGTGCCTTCCAGGGCCCTGGTGTTCCCGCCTGTGGGTCCCTTGGAGGCCGGAGGGCCACAGCAACTGCCTGAGTGGCTGCCCCGTTGTGTGCACCTCCTCTCTCCTCCCTCCCTCCCTGGGTCTCCAGCCAGCCCGCTGGCTTGATGAATTAGCCCCATAGATATTCCGTTGGGAAAACAAACACACATCATATATATCTTTGACAAGTTATTATTCTCCCTTATCAGGATTCGGGTGCATTCCTCGCCTGCCATTACTCACGCTGCACACCCGCCCTACCTGGGACTGGGCACTGAGCTCACCAAGGTAGCACCTGGCCAGGCTGGCTGCGTGCCCTGCCCTGCATCTGGGTTGGGCCGTGAGTGTGTGTGTGTGTGCATGTGTGTGCATGCGTGTGTGCATGTGGTTCCAGGCTGGAGCCAGAACAGGAACCACCCTGGCCCTGCTTTGGCCCACTAGACTGACCAAATACTTCTCCAGGCAGGGACTGGTGTGGCTCAAGATGAAACTGATGGTGTTCTGGGCCTTTCGCTCTCTCACTGGAGCCAGGAGTGGAAGTTTTGTTCCAGGGATTGCTCTGGTTTGGGCCTCACCCATATCCACTTACTGGGCTCCCCCTTGCTGCTGGGCCCTCCCCCAGCCTCCTGGCAGGACAGATCCCCCTGCCACCACCCACCAATGCCTGTGCTTCTTGGAGCCCACAGTGGCTCCTCCAGGGCTGCCCCCTTGGCCTATGTGGTAGGAGGGTCAGGGGCTGATGAATGAGATGTAGGTGAGTATCAGTGCTCTCAGCCAGGCTGTTGGGCTGTGATTTGTCATCTCTCACCCAGCACATTCCCACTTCCCCAGAGGCAGGCTCCATATTAACAAGTCCTCTACTTAGGAATATAAATGGGGCAGTTGGAATTGCTCCTGAGAGCCGGAAGATGCGAATGCATTCAGGCCTTGGAGATGGGAGCCAGGAGGGGAGCAGGGGGAGGGCTTCATGCCGAGGTGCCCTCAGACCAGCTGGGAGGGCAGCACCCCATCAGCCTGATTCTGAGGTGGGGACCTCAGAGGAAGGGAGGTCCCTGCTGCCTGGTCTGGGGCTGGGCCGGGGGTGGCTGCTCCTCAGGGCTGATGGGCCTGTCCCCCTGCTCTTTCAGGCGGGACCTTCCACCAGAGAGACTTCAGCTGCTGTGCCCTGAGAGGCTGCTCCCGCAGCAGGAGTTTTCGTGCCGTCACAGCGACTGCTGATGGGTCATTTCTACCAGCCCTGTTAGCTCTCCCCTGTCTCCAGCTCAGGCTGTGCATTCCTGGGAACCTTCCCTTCCCTCCCTTGGGCCACCTGCCTGGACCCTCACGGTGCCTTGGATCAAACAGCAGTGCTGGGAGAAGAGAGGCAGCCTTGCTGGGCCGGCGTTGCTCTGGCCTCCAAGGCTGAGTCCTCAGGTGGACTTGCTGCAGCCAGTTGAGCAGGTTCTGGTGTCCTGGCCTGGGCGACACTCTGAGGGGGTGGGCACCAGAGATATTTATGGTGCAATCCCTGCCTTCAGAGGCTCCGGTTCACTGGGGGGACGGCTGGGGAGGGGAGAACCGATGGTCTTGAAAGGTGTGCTGGGCGCTGAGAGGTGACCTTGGTACTCCTGGCAGGAGATCAGGGAAGGGAGAGACTGTGGACTGAGCACCATGGTGTGGAGGGAGGGCTCAGTGAAGGCTTCCTGGAGAGGCAGAGTGCTGGGGCGTGCAGGATGGAGAGGAGTGGGGGAGAGCCTTGGAGGGAGGCCACAGGCCAAGTGTGGGGAAGTGTTCTGGACATTCATTCAGAGTTCTGGTTATTGTCCCAGGGCCAGAATCCTGCTTCTTGGGGTCAGCTTCCTCCTGACTTCTAATGCTCCCTTCAGCTGGGGGGATGGATGGGAGGCAGATGAGGTGAAAAGGATGAGATGGAGTCAGGTATGGTTTGGTCTTTTGGGGCCGCAGCTTTCAGTCCCCTCAATTCCAGTACCTGGATAAAGTCTCCAAGCCTAGGGGCCTGCTGCCATCTCAGTGGGTGTGTGTGCCCATTGGGCGTAGGTTCCCACTTCACCTGGGGCTCAGGCCCCGGGCACCTGGCTGGCCTGGGTGGGTGTGGAGGTGTCTGGTGCAGTTAGCTTCATGGCCACTAGAGGGGAGTCCAGGCCCGTGTTTCTCTCCTTCCAGCGACGGTGGGCCTAGGCAGGGAAGAGATCGGGGTGCGGGGTGCTGGTGCTGGTGTCCACGTTGGCGTTCTTTGTGCTGGGAATGAGGGTGCCTGTTCTGCTTCCTATTAATGCCTGAGCTCTTCAGTTCCAAGTTAGGGATGAAAAATCTCTGGAAATCTGGGAGCCCTGGAAAAAAGGCATTATTTAAACATTTAATATCTACAATACTTTTCTTCTTCTTTTAGATACAGGGTCTTGCTCTGTCATTCAGGCTGGAGTGCAGCAGCGCGATTATAGCACACTACAACCTGGAACTCCTGGGTTCAAGCCATCCTCCTGCCTCAGCCTCCCAAGTAGCTGGGACTACAGGCACGTGCAACCACACCCAGCTAATTTTGTTTACGTTTTTGCTGTTTTTTTTTTCCCTTGTAGAGATGGGGTTTTGCTATGTTACCCAGGCTGGTCTTGAACTCCTGGGCTCAAGCAATCCTCCCACCTTAGCCTCCCCATAGCACTGGGATTACAGGTGTGAGCCACTGTGCCTGGTGACAATTCTTATTTTAGTCCCTTTTACAAAAATAGGTTATGAATGTAGAGGACCCTGTGGTGGGTGGTCAAAGGCACAGCCTTTGGTGTAACGTAGACTGCCTGGGTGGGATTCCAGCTTCACTGCCTAGTGGCTGGGTAACCTTGGGCAGGTCAAATAACATCTCTAAGGCTTGGTTGCTCCCACTGTAAAATGTGGGTTATGATGCCTAGGCATAACCACATAGGCATAGGCATAAAACACAAGGGTCATTTAGCACATGCCTGCCATATAGTAAGGATTCCAGTGTAGCTTTTTAGTTTTCCTGATAAGCAATCACATTTGATTAAGATGTGATATGGTTTGGCTGAGTCCCCACCTAAATCTCATCTTGAATTGTAGTTCCCATAATCCCCACGTGTCGTGGGAGGGACCAGGTGGAGATAATTGAATCATGGGGCCTGTTTCCCTCCTCCTGTTCTCGTGGTAGTGAATTAGTTCTCACGAGATCGGATGGTTTTATAAGGGGCTTTCCCCGCTTCTCTGGGCCCTCATTCTTCTCCTTCCTGCCACCGTGTGAGGGGAGATGTGTTTGCTTTCCCTTCTGCCATGACTGTAAGTTTCCTCCCAGCCCTGTGGAACTGTGAGTCGATTCAACCTCTTTTCTTTATAAATTACGCAGTCTTGGGCAGTTCCTTTTTTCTTTTTTTGAGATGGGGCCTGGTTCTGTTGTCCAGGCTGGAGTGCAGTGGTAAAATCTCAGCTCACTGCAACCTCTGCTTCCCGTGTTCAAGCGATTCTTATGCCTCAGCCTCCCAAGTAGCTGGGATTACAGGCATGCACCATCACGCCTAATTTTTAGTAGAGATGGGGTTTCACATGTGGCCAGGCCGGTCTGGAACTCCTGACCTCAAGTGATCCGCCAGCCTCAGCCTCCCAAAGTGCTGGGATTACAGGCGTGAGCCACCATGCTTGGGCAGTTCTTTATAGCAGCATGAGAACAAGCTAATACAAGATGAAAGAGTAAAGGCCCAAATTTAAAGAAAAACACTATTTTCTCTTCCATTAGCATTTTAAAGATACTTCCCCCACCCACCAGCCCCGGCCATGAAGAAATTAGAAAAACTTGCTTCAACCCTGATATTTTCTAGGCCTTAATACAAAAATGAATGACTGCCAATTTGCACCTTCATTTATGTCTCATATTTCCTGAGGTGTGATTGCCTGCTGGGCACCCCAGGCCCCTCTGCAACTGAGTGGGGACACTCAGGCTGCTAGGATGCTGGCACCAGGGAGTCCTCTAGCTCCGGCTGTCCTCCCCAGCTACACATTAGTATCATCTGGGCGCTGTAGAAAAGACCAGTGCCTGAGCCCCACCCCCAGAGGTGCTTATTCACTTGGTCTGGGGTGGGGCCCAGGTGCTGGACTGATTCGAAGCTCTCTGGGTGATTCACGGAGCATCCAGGGTTCAGGACCTTTGCCTGGAAGTTTTCCTCTGGTGGAGGGAGATGTCCCAGTGTCTTCTCACTGTGGGCTCACAGAATTCTGTACACATTCAGGAGGAGACATTTGGCTTGGTGTAGGCAAGCCCATTGGGTCATTCATAAGGGGGCCTTGGTTCTGGTCCTGGCTTAGTTGTTGACTCTGGAGAGCCTCTTGGTAAGCACCCTGCCCCCTGGGCCTCAGTGTCCTCATCTGTCAAAGGGGATGAATGGCACCTGTTGCGCCTAAGGGTCATGTGGCCTGGGGATCAGATGCAGCAATGTGTATGCTTCCGAAGGTTGTGAAGCTGAGATACCCACAGGCGGTTTCTCTCACCTGCCCTTTCAGAGAGTGGGGATGAGTTCGTTTGCAAGGCTGCTATAACAGACCCCTCCGCACGGGGTGGCTTAAACAACAGAAATGCACGGCCTCATCGTTCTGGAGGCTAGAATCCAAGATTTCGGAATCAAGGCAGAGTTAGTGTCTTCTCTGGGTAGTGAGGGGAGGATCGGGTCCAGGCGCCTCTGCTTGGCTGTGGATGGCTGTCTTCTTCCCCAGGCCTCTCTGCTTGGCTGTGGATGGCTGTCTTCTTCCCCAGGCCCCTCTGCTTGGCTGTGGATGGCTGTCTTCTTCCCCAGGCCTCTCTGCTTGGCTGTGGATGGCTGTCTTCTTCCCCAGGCCTCTCTGCTTGGCTGTGGATGGCTGTCTTCTTCCCCAGGCCCCTCTGCTTGGCTGTGGATGCTCTTCCCTTGGGGCATATCTCTGTGTCCACATTTCCCCTTTCTATAAGGACGCCAGTCATGTTGGATTAGGGCTCACCCTAACAACCTTTTTAACTCATGACCTGAGTTTTAATAACCGGATTTTTGTTTTGTTTTGTTCTTAAGACAGCATCTTGCTGTCACTCTGGCTGGAATGCAGTGGTGCAGTCACGACTCACTACAGCCCCCACTTCCCACCTCGGCCTCCCAAGTAGCTGGGACTACAGACTACAGGCATGTGCCACCATACTTGGCTAATTTTTTTTTTTTTTTTGTAAAGATGGGGTTTTGCCTTCTTGCTCAGACTGATCTTGAACTCCTGGGCTTAAGTAATCCACTTACCTTGGCCTCCCAAAGTGCTGGGATTACACGCATGAGCCACTGCGCCCAGCCTTAATGACCTGATTTTGATTTGGTTACCTCTGTAATCAAGGATCTGTCTCCAGTAAGATCTGAGACCACATTCCTGAGGTGCTGGGGGTTGGGACTTCTGTGCAGCAATTTTAGAGGACACAATTCAACCCATTGCAGGGAGCAGGAGAGTGCCTGAGTGCTTAGTTCAGAAAAGAGCAATGCAAACAACCCGCAAAAGACACTGCTGGGGGTCAGCGTAGAAGGGTGGGCAGGGACTTGGCCCAGCTTCCCTCTCTCTCAGAGAAACCCTCCCTCACCACTCTATCTCCTCACTTGGGCCTCCCGGACTGATTTGCCTTCTAAGTATTGGGAGGGTGAAGGGTCAAAGTGTCACGTGACCCTGCTGCAGGGGCACTAGGCACCTCCTAGTCTAACTGGGTGGCACTGCCTGGGTATCACTCCTGCACCACGTGGCGGTCTGTGGAGGGGCAGTCCTGAGGAGAGAGAGTGGGGTCTGCATGGTGGTGCCCTCAGTTACAAAGCAGGTGGCCTGCTGGAGTCTGGGCAAGCTCCCGTCCTCCACCCTATGGTGGGTGGAGAAGAGGAGGGGCAGGAGCACCGGAGACAAAAGACCTCATGGAATACCCAGGCCAGGTGGGTGGAGCCTTGTTCCTGTGATTGACAAGAGCAGGGGCTGCCTCCCTCCTGCCCCTGCCCATGCCCAGGGATCCACCAGGTAGGAGTGTGTGGGTGTATGTGCATGTGAGTGTATGAGAGAGTGTGTGTGTGTTAGTGTATGAGAGTGTGAGTATGAGAGTGTGTGTGTGCACGCTTGTATGTGTGTGTGTGGGGGCAAGGGGTTCAGGCCTGCTGCTGGCCAGGTGTGCATCCATATTTATCAGGGGAGAGTCCCTGGAAGGCAGCCGGATGCTGAGCACTTGAGGCAATCTGCTTGGACCAGCTGCTCTGTTCCTGGCCAGACACTGGGAGGAGGAGATTTGGGATGTCAGCCTAAACAGTGGTACCCTGGTCTGTAATGTTTGCTGATTTCTGAGGTGTAAATACCTCTACCATGGCTGAGTTCAAGCTACCAACATGAAGCTAACAGGAATTTCAGGAATTCCTGAAATTCCACACGGTGGCCCATCCCCCTTGGTGTAGGGA
Organism: Homo sapiens; assembly: GCF_000001405.40. Taxonomy (NCBI): domain Eukaryota; kingdom Metazoa; phylum Chordata; class Mammalia; order Primates; family Hominidae; genus Homo; species Homo sapiens. The sequence continues at coordinate 116,687,573 of NC_000011.10, read as the reverse complement.
AGAAACTGGCCCAGAGGTGGAAGGGCCCGTGGTCACATAGCAGGATGATGAGGGGCTCAGCTGGATGATGTTGCCAGACTGCACTGGAGTGTCTGTCTGTCTTCCTGGTGTCACCATTGATAATGGGTGCTCTGTGACAGTGGGGCAGGATGATGAGGGGTCACTGTGGGCGCCATCCAGCCTGTGCCAATAATGACCCAAGGACACCACAGAGCACCAGGTAGTTTAGCAAGTGCTTTCTTACCTGCTCTTTCTAAATAAAATTTTCACAGCCACGCAGCAGAGCATCTATTGTTACATTTTGCAGATGAGGAGACTGAGGTTCAGAGCGATGATACGATTTCCCCAGGGTCATATGACCAGTACATGGCTGTGCATTCACCCAAACCTAGGTCTTCTGAGGCCAGTCCTGGTTCTTACCACTGGCCCAGGATGCTGAGGTCACGATGCCTTCCCCTCAGTGTGGCCTCTCCAGGGGCCCGATGACCCTCCATCTATAAGACCTAGAGGTGGAGGTGGGGTGTGCATGCCCTGTGCCTTCCACTCTATCAGGCATGGGAGGGTCTCATAAGCACCTGCTGTTGGGTAATCCGACCCTTGGGAAATGGGCAGGTGGCTCAGCTTTGGCTTCCACTTCTCCCCGAGGACGGGGCCAATCCCGTCCACCTGTTTTCTTCTCAGCCAGAGACCCCCACCCCCCAACCGGCTGTCCCCACCACTCAGCCTTAACCCTTCCACCCCCACAACCTCTCAAGCCTTTTTTCCAACTGCCCCTGGACCACACAGGTCCCTCACAGGCTGGCCTGTGACAGGTGAGGAAGATGTGCATGCATGTGGGGGTGGTGTAGTGTGTGCGTGTGTGTGTGGTTTATTTTATTTTATTTTATTTTTTAACCGTAGCTCCATTCCTGGAACAAGATCTCTTCTGGATCCAGGATGAGATACACATGGAGATCTCAGAAGTGTCTGAGTCTCCCAGGCGTGGCCCAGCGTGTGGAAGGGGACTGCAGCTGGTTTGGGAGATAGGCCAATAGACAGACCAACAGAGGGTAGAAAAGAAAGACAGTGAGGAATAGAGACATCAAGATAGAATATGTTAGAGAAATAGTAAAAAGCAGATAACCAGAGCTCATATGTGCCAGATATTGTGCCGAGTCCTTACTCTATAACCCTCTGAGGTATGCACTACTTTACCTCCATTTTACAGTTGATCCAGAGAAGTTAAGTATCTTGCCCAAGGTCACACAGCTAGTGGGTGGTTAGAGTATAATTCAAACCCATTATGTCTGTTCTTACCCATTACACTACCAGGTCTCACTGCTAAGGAGAGGGAAGCCAGGAGACAAGGAGATGGAGAGGCGGGAGGTTGAGAAGCCGGGTGTCCATTCCAACACTCTTATATGCCTGGGGGGCAGTTTGGGGTGCCATGCTTGAGAGGCAGTGCAACGTACCAAGGAGGAGAAGCACCTGGCAAGGAGTAGGATAGTTCTTGCCAGCTGTGTGACCTTGGGCAAATCACTGTACCTCTCTGGGTCTTGGATTCTTCAGCTGAAAAACAGAATAATAATTCTGCCCTGTCTTTCTCTCAGGCTGGTCCTAATGGTAATAAGAAGTGATGGATGTGATTATACAATTGTTTATCTAATAAAATATACTGAGCATCCACCACTTGTCAGGCACGGGGAATAAGAATGAGAACAGGTCAAACACTGTCCCAGTTCTTTGTGGGGCTTCCAGTCTGGAGGGTGATACAGGTCCCTGCAATAGAGAGGGTTATGTGCAAAGTCCAGGAAGTGACAGGAGTTGAAAGAGGGGCACTTAACCCAGTTTAGGGGGTCAGGAAAGGCTCCCTGGAGGAAGTGACACTGAAGCTGAGACAGGATGATAAGTAGGAGCTGGTTATGGCAAAGGTTTGGTTGGGGAACAAGGAGGGTGTTCCAGGAGAGAGCAGAGAGGATGGTAAAGGAATTGGATTCAGCTGTATAATGAAGCGCCTCCTTTTATTTGCCTAAAACACACCTTGGTCAAATTTTAAAGGTGGTCTTGAGCTCTAGTATTTGGATTTGTGTCCAAAGACTTCTTAGCCTAACTGAAGGTGGTCAAAGTTTTTTTCCTCTTCTAGAAGTTTAGAGTTTTAGCTCTTACATGTAGGTCTATGATTCATTTCAAGTTAACTTTTGTATAAGGTGTAAGATCTATGTTGAGGTTCTTTTTTCTTTCCTTTTCTTTTTGTATGTAAATGTCAAATTGTCCACCACAGTTTGTTAAAAAGACTTTCCTTTCCCATTGAATTACCTTGGTACCTTTGTCAAAAATCAGTTGACCATATATGTTGGGTATATTTCTGGACTCTTCTATTTCATCGATCTATATGTCTATCCTCACCCCGATACCACACTGACATGATTACTGTGGCTTTACAGTAAGTCTTGAAATTAAGTAGTACAAGGCTTCCAACTGTCTTCTCCTTATTCTAAGTCTTTGTATTTCCTTTAGAATTAGATTGCCAATTTCTAAAAAACTAACAAAACCCAGTCTACTGGTCTTTTGATTATGTATGCATTGACTCTATAGACGATTTTGGGGAGAATTAGCATCTTAACAATATTGAATATTCTGATCCATGAATGTGTTACATCTCTCTATTTATTGAGGCTTTCTTTTTCTCAGCAATGTTTCCTAGTTGTCAGTGTACAGATTTTACAGAAATTTTCTTAAATTTATGCTTGATTTTTAAAGTAGTATTTAAAAAATTTTATTTCCAATTTTTTATTGCTAGTACATAGAAATACAGTTTTTAAAAAATTGGCCTTATATCCTGTATCTTGATTAATCTCGTTTATTCTAGTAGTTTTTTTTTTTGTAGACTATTTGAACTATTTTTTAGAGATCATCTCATTGTGTGGTAAAGACAGTTTTACCTACAACAAACCCCCATGACACAAGTTTACCTATGTAATAAACCTGCACATGTACCCCTGAACTTAAAAGTTAAAAAAAGAAAACTTGAAAAAAAGACAGTGTTACCATCTCTTTCAAATCTATTTCTTTTTCTTGCCTTATTTCACTGGCTAAGGTTACCTATACTATATTAAATAGAAGTGATGAGAGCAGATATCCTTAATTTGTTCCCAATTTAAGTGAAAAGCATTCAGTCTTTCACCGTTAAGTATGATGTTAGCTGCAGGGTTTAAAAAATGCCCTTTATGGATTTAAGAATGTTCTCTTCTATTCCTAGTTTGCTGAGAGTTTTTTTATATCACACGTAGGTGTTAAATTTTTTCAAATGATTTTTCTGTATCTATTGAGATGATTATATGTTGTATTTGTTTTTAGTTTGTTAATGATATGGTTTGGCTATGTGCCCACCCAAATCTGGTCTTCAATTCACCCACATGTTGTGGGAGGGACCTGGTGGGAGGTAATTGAATCATGAGGGCAGGTCTTGCCCATGCTGTTCTTGTGATAGTCTCATGAGATCTGATGATTATAAGGTGGGGGTGGGGGTGGAGGGGAGCGGGGACGGAGTTTTCCTGCACAAGCTTTTTTTTGCTTGCTGCCATCCATGTAAGATGTTGCTTCTCCTTCTGCCATGATTGTGAGGTTTTCCCAGACACGTGGAACTGTAAGTCCAATTAAACCTCTTTCTTTTGTAAATTGCCCCATCTTGGGTATGTCTTCATCAGCAGCATGAAAACAAACCATCAGGAAACCACTTATTAGGTGCACACACATTTATGATTATGTTTCCTTGAGTAATTGACCTCTTTATGAAATGTCCCTCTTTATCAGGTAATATTCCTTATCCTGCAAACTACACTTTGTCTGGTATTAATATATCAGTGCTTTCTTTTGAACAATGCTTACTTGGTATGTTTTCCATCATTTTACTTATAATCTAGCTGTGCCTTTTTCTTCCAAGTATTGAGTCTTGCTTTTTAATCCAGTTTAATCTGTCTTTTAATTTGGGTGTTTAGATCATTTATGTTTAGTGTAATTATGTACATAGCTGGGTTTAAATTTACCTCCTTGCTCTGTTTTTTTGGCCATATCTGTTATTTGTTCTTAGTTTTCTGTTGTCTTTTAGATTGAATTTTTAAAAATTTCATTCATTTTATCTATCTGCACTACTGAAACCTAGTACTTTTAATTTCTGTCCCTCTCTCTCTTATGAAGACCTTCTAACAGAGCTTTAGGGGATGAAGTGGGCTGCCTGGGGATGTGGTAAAGAAAATAATGCTTTAAAATATGTCTCAACTCTTGAGATAAATAGCTACCTTCTGGACTCAAATGCCTGGCACAATTTATATAGCTCCTTCCTCTGTCTTCCACTTTTCTGAGGTGTATCGCCACCTCAGCTTATGGGAATCTTTAGGATGGCATAAGCCGTGTCACTAAAGCCAGAGAAAGAGACCTAAATGTAAGATTTGTAGAGCTCTTGGTCCCTCCCTTTCATTCTGAGGGACAAATATCTTTTACAGTGATTGCCAGGGAAGTGGGCTATAGCATAGCGAAAAGATTCACCCTCTTTTCTTTGAAACAGGGTGTAATTCTATCACCCAAGCTGGAGTGCAGTGGTGTGATCACAGCTCACTGCAGCTTCAGTCTCCTGGGCTCAAGTGATCCTCCCACCTCAGCCTCCTGAGTAGCTGGGACTACAGGTGCACACAATCTCACTTGGCTAATTTTTGAATTTTTTGTAGAGACAGGGTCTTCCTATGTTGGCTAGGTTGGACTTGAACTCCTGGGCTCATGCAATTATCTGCCTTAGCCTCCCAGTGTTCTGGGATTACAGGCATGAGCCACTGCACCCAGCAGGACTCACCCTGTTGATAGCCACCCACTACAGGAGAATTACGAGACATTCATTACTGCCCCCATTACTTTCATCCCTGGAAGTAGAATGGGCCAGTACAGTCTCACAGTATCTCTGTACTTTTACTATGCAATGTTTATAACTGACATAAGAATTAGGACTATAAAGAAATAGGAGATGAAATTTCAAGTAGTGAATTCTTTATTGTGGCGATAGTCAAGTCATAGTTGGACAACTACTTATCAGTGAATGTTGCAGAGGAGTTTCTAATAATGGATGGGAATGTGAACTGGCCTAGGAGTTCCTAAATTTGAGCATCAGAATCACTTAGGAAATTTTTTTGTTTTTATTTTCTTGAAGGTATTATATGCATATGGTTTTAAAAAATCAAATAATGCCAAAAGGCTTATAACAAAATACAGGGGTTTTCTGTCTCAGCACTCCTCTCTTCCCAATCTTCCTCCTCAGAGGAAATATCTTTGACTCTTTATCCTAATATTTATACACATTTCTATTTTTTTTTTTTTTTTGAGATGGAGTCTCACTCTGTCACCTAGGCTGGAGTGCAATGGTACAGTCTTGGCTCACTGCAACCTCCGCCTCCCGGGTTCAAGCGATTCTCCTGCCTCAGCCTTCTGAGTAGCTGGGACTACACGCGCATGCCACCACACCCGACTAATTTTTATATTTTAGTAGAGACGGGGTTTCACTATGTTGGCCAGGCTGATCTCGAACTCCTGACCTTGTGATTCACCCGTCTCAGCCTCCCAAAGTGCTGGGATTACAGGCTTGAGCCACTGTGCCCAGCCATATTTTTCTAAATAAATATTGATCCTTTTGATTCATAATTTCAAGATATCCATTGACTTCTCTTTATTATAGATAGATAAATTAGTTATAAGCCCCAATATAGCTATATTACCATTTACAATATACCAATATTCAGTATTTACATTGTTATGCAAATATTAATAACTGAACATTGTAGTATACTTTTTTTTTATTTCTCCTGAAGTTAATAATTGCCCTGATTGTTAATTTGCTTAGTTTTGTGTGTACCCATTTCCAATTCTTCCTATATCTCCTAGCAGGCTCTCAGTATGATTTACCACAAGGCCAGTCTCTCAGATAATCTGTTAGCTGCATTATGTAAAAAATTAGAGCCATCCCTCCTGAAGACCTCCATTTTTTTTCAACCTGTGTTAATTACTCTGAAGGCTTGTTGCACCCCTATCATCTGGGTCTTGTCTTTGCTGTCAGTCTTGGGTTTCCCTCACCTCTCTCCTGGGTTGAATTCCTTGTTTCCAAATCTCATGTCTTTGTCTATCTTATCAGATTAATGGTATAAATGCAAAGGTATGGTGGTGATATTCGTATCTCTTGAGTCATAGTGCTCCAATATGAGTTGATTGTCTTTCCTGCGTTGTGAACAGTTGTCACTCTGGAGTCTTTTTTCACCCTTGTCCAGGGGATTTCCTTTGCTTCTCTCTATGCCTTCCCCTTTCTTGGCTTACTCTTTTGTTTTGGTAAGAGACAAGCTCTGTAGCTTCATGACAATTACGGAAGAGAGAAATCTTTTGAGATCTTGCAAAATTGAAAAGTCTAATTATTCTACTTTATAGTAGGTGATAGTTTGTATAGGTATAGCATTTATGGTAGCATTTAGTATTATTCACCAATATTTCTAGTTTTTCCTTTTCTGAACACATGACAGGATTGTATACCCTCAGTTTCTTGAAGTTAGGCATCGTGATGTGATTTGCTTTAGAGAAAATGTGAGTAAAAGTGAAAGGTATTACTTGACTTCAAGAGATGATGTGTAATTCATCATGTTTCCTCTCCGCTACTAACATTTGAGATGCTGGAGGCTCTGTCAGCCTGGGTTCCTGAGTGAGAATAACTTGGGACATTTTTCTCCCCACCAAGTAGCTGAGCAAGAAACTTTCATTATTTTAAAGCATCAAGACTTAGGGGTTATTTGTTGTCACAGCATAATCTAATTCATTCTGACAGATATTAAGATATACTCCCAGGCTGGGCACAGTGGCTTACACCTGTAATCCCAGCACTTTGGGAGGCCAACGTGGATCCCTTGAGCCTGGGAGGAGGAGGTTGCAGTGAACTGAGATTGTGCCACTGCACTCCAGCCTGAAGGACAGATGGAGGCCCTGTCTTAAAAAAAGAGAAAAAGATAGACTCCTAGAAATGGAATACAGTACTGATGAAACAGAAAGCTTAAAATAGATGATCTGTCCTAGGGGCTGTGTAGTGAACTGCAAGAAAATTTTATTGGAGGTTAGAAGATGGAAATTTATATTATGCAGTGGGAAATATTTATTACAATTGTATGGATGTCAGATCACATTTTGAGAAAATTGTAACTGAAGATGAAGATACGGGAAAACAGTATGTTACCAAATGTTTAGTTATTATTGACTGTGCTTGGCAAAGTATTATAGTAATAAAGAATGTGCTCAGAAAAGAATTGGCCAATATGCAAGCAGAAATGAAAGTGAATAGAAAGTTTCCAAAATCTGGAGGCCTTGAAATATTTGGGAGAGCCATAATTTTGGATTCCAAATAGTAGAAGATAAAATTGAGAAAAGTTTTGAATGAAAAATTTATTACTGTGGCAAGGATCAAAATAAGGGCATGGCCACTCTTAAAATCTTTGAGTTTATTAATATGTTTCAGAGTATCTTTCAAGGATATGGCAGCTAGTTATCCCTTTAAATTGGACAGATGTCTCAAGGAAAAGAGACTAAGGCTGTGGATATCTACACAATCCTGATAGGCTCAAGGTACACTGATCTTTAGATGGAGAGAGATTTGGAGATGAGAAATCAAAGGCATAACTCTGGAATCTGTGTCTCTAAAAGAAATATGGTTATGGCTACTGGATTCTATTGCTGTCAGAATCAAATAGGTAAGAAATTATTGAGATAGTTGCATGGCCAAAAGAACCACCAGTCTGGACTTAGACTATTAAAGACCTAAAATGACCCTATGTATCAGTAGCAGATGATCTGAGAAAGAGGCTCAGCCCTTAAGAAGAGCATATTCCCTTACATTCACTTCCAATATGGCCAAGGAGAATAATGGAAAATAATTTCCTAGAGGAAGGAGTCAGGAGAAATGGAGTATAATGAATGAAGGAGCTCCTCTTAGAGTCCATTTGCATTGCTATAAAGGAATACCTGAGGATGGGTAATTTATAAAGAAAAAAGGTTTATTTGGCTCATAGTTCTGCAGGTTGTATAAGAAGCATGGTGCCAGCATCTGCTTCTGTTGAAGACTTCAGGAAGCTCCCATTCATGGCAGAAGAGGAGCAGGAGCAGCCATAGCATGGCAAGAGAGGATGGAAGGGGAGGAAGGTGCCAGGTTCTTTTTCACAATCAGTTCTCATGGGAACTAATAGACCAACAACCACTCATTACTGTGAGAATGACACCAAGCCATTCATGAGAGATCCGCCTCCATGACGCAAACACCTCCCACTAGGCCCCACCTCCAACACTGGGGATGAAACCTCAGCATGAGATTTGGAAAGGACAAGCATCCAAACTGTATCATTGCTATACCCAGGTAGTATAACGGTAGCCAAACCCAGAAATATCCCTGCTCCCAGGGGTTGTCCCTCAAGATGTCTGCCCAGCAAGATTTCAGAATTGCTATGAGTCAGTGTCTTCTGTGTCTTTCCATTCTTCCCTTACTGAATGGGACTGGCTATTGTGGTTATCCTATCCCTGTTTCAACATTGTATCTTGGGTGTGTGGAGCAGAAAATTTATTTTTAGCTTATAGGTCTCCAGATTAAGAGGACAGTCACATCTGGATCTAGTGTATACACCATAACACATCAGTCAGGGGTCCTGAACTTTGCTTTAGTTGCTATGACTAGATGGAACTTTTGGGTTGCTTTCCTAGGGGAGAGGGTGAGTGCGTGTTGCTTGGTGAGGTGAGTGAGCCAAATATTTGGTGGCCAGAGGATGAAATGGTCATTCATTCATTCATTCATTCTCTCTCTCTCATATCAATCATCTATCTATATCTAATTCTTCTCTCTCTGGGTACATGGTGGAGTTACTCTTCTCTGATTCCTTGAAGTTACGTAAGTCTGTACAACTGACTATGGCCAGGGAAATGTGAGCAGAAATGATGTGTGCCACTTCCTGTCAGAATTTTTTAAAATGGGTACATAATGTACTTATTTTGGGGGTACATGTGATATTTTGATACATGAATACAATGTATAATGATCAAATCAGGGTAATTGGGATATTCATCACCTCAAATATTTATCTTTTATTTGGGAACATTCAAATTCTTCAGTTATTTTGAACTATACATTATTGTTAATGATAGTCACTTTATTGTACTATTGAATACTAGATCTTATTCCTTCAATCTAGCTGTATATTTTTTAAGCCAATAATCAACCTCTCTTCAATTCTCCCTCTCTCCTCCCCTTCCCAGCCGCTGGTAACCACCATCAACTCTCTACCTGCATGGATCCACTTTTGCTTACCCTTATGAGTGAGAACATGTATTTGTCTTTCTGTGGCTGGCTTATTTCACTTAACGTAATGACCTCCAGTTCTATTCATGTTGTTGCAAATGACAGGATTTCATTTTTTAAGTCTAATATTCCATTGTGTATATATACCACATCTTAATCCATTCATCTACTGATGGATGCTTAGGTTGATTCCATATCTTCACTATTGTGAGTAGTGCTGTGATAAACATGGGAGTGCAGATATTTCTTTGATATACTTATTTTCTTTTGGATGTATACCCAGCAGTGGGACTGCTAGATCATGTGGTAGTTCTATTTTTAGTTTTTTGAGAAACCTCCATATTGTTTTCCATAATGGCCGTATTAAGTGACATTCCCACCAACAGTATATGTGTTCCCCTTTCTCCAGTCTTTGCCAGCATTCTTATTTCCTACCTGTTTGATAATAACCATCCTCTCTGGAATGAGATAATACCTCATTGTGGTTTCGATTTGCATTTCCCTGGTGATTAGTGATGTCGAGCACTTTTTTCATATTTTTTTGTCATTTGTATGTTGTCATTTGAGAAATGTCTGTTCAAATATTTTGCCCATTTTAAAATCATACCGTTTTTCGCTATTGAGTTGTTTGAGCTCCTTATATATTCTGGATATTTATCCATTGTCAGTTGGGTAGTTTACACACATTTTCTCCTGTTCTTTGGGTTGTCTTTTCACTTTGTTGTTTTCTTTGCTGTGCGAAGTTTTTAGCTTGATATAATCCCATTTGTCTATTTTTGCTTTGGTTTTCTGTGCTTTTGAGTGGTTTTTTTTGGTTGGTTTTTTTTTTTTTTTTTTTTTTACACGGAGTCTCACTCTGTCACCCAGCCTGGAGTGCAGTGGTGCGATCTCGGCTCACTGCAACTTCCACCTCCCAGGTTTAAGCCATTCTCCTGCCTCAGCCTCCTGAGTAGCTGGGATTACAGGCACCTGCCATCACACCCAGCTAAATTTTTTTGGTATTTTTAGTAGAGACAGGGTTTCACCATGTTGGCTGGGCTGGTCTTGAACTCCTGACCTCAAGTGATCTGCCTGCCTCGGCCTCCCAAAGTGCTGGGATTACAGGCGTGAGCCACCGCGCCCAGCCCATGCTTTTGAGGTTTTACACAAAAAAAATCTTTGTCCAGACCAATGTCCTAGAGCATTTCCCCAATGTTTTCTTCTAGTAGTTTTATCGTTTCAGATCTTAGATTTAAGACTTTAATCTATTTTGATTTGATTTTTGTGTATGGTGTGCAGTAGACATCTAGTTTAATTCTTCTGCATATACTTACTTCCCAGTACCATTTATTGAAGAGACTGTCCTTTCCCTAATGTATGTTCCTGGTGCATTTGTTGAAGATAAGTTGGATGTAAATACATAGACTTATATCTGAGTTCTCTACTTTGTTCTATTGGTCTATGTGTCTGTTTTTATGTCAGTACCATGCTGATTTGGTTGCTATAGCTTTGTAGTAAATTTTGAATTCAGGTAGTGTAATGTTTCCAGTTTTGTTCTTTTTGCTCAGGGTTGCTTTGGCTATTTGGGGTCTTTTGTGGTTCCATATAAATTTTATAATTTTTTTTCTATTTCTGTGAGGAATGTCATTGGTATTTTGATATGGATTGCATTGAATCTGTAAATTGCTTTGGGTAGTATCATCATTTTAGCATAGTAATCCTTCCAATCTATGAACATGGAATATCTTCCTATTTTTTTGTGTCCTTTTCTATTTCTTTCATCAGAGTTTTATAGTTTTTTTGGTATAGATCTTTCATTTCTTTGGTTAGATTGATTCCTAGATATTTTATATTTTTTCATAGCTATTGTAAATGGGGTTGTTTCCTTGATTTATCTTTCAGATTGTTTGCTGTTGGTATACATAAATGCTACTGATTTTTGTACGTTGATTTTTGTATGCTGCAACTTTACTAAATTTGTTTATCCATCCTAACAATTTTTTTTGGTGGAGTCTAGGTTTTTCTAAGTATAAGATCCTGTAAACCATATACAAGTCTAATTTGATTTCTTCTTTCCCGATTTGGATGCTTTTATGTCTTTCTCTTGCTTAATTTCCCTAGCCTGGACTTGCAGTATTACACTGAATAATAGTGGTGAAAGTGGGCATCCTTGTCTTGTTATCTTAGCCAAAAGGCCTTCAGTTTTTCTCTTTCCAATGTTAGCTGTGGGTTTGTCATATATGGCCTTTATTATTTTGAGATATGTTCCTTCTATACCCAGTTTGATGAGGGTGTAAAATTCTAAAGGGATGTTGAATTTTACCAAATGCTTTTTAGGCATCTGGTGAAATAATCATATGGCTTTTGTTCTTGGTTCTGTTAATGTGATGTGTCACATTTATTGATTTGTGTAGGTTGAACCATCCTTGCATCTCTGGGGTGAATCCCACTTGATTATGTTGAATGATCTTCAAATGTTGTTGAATTCAGTTTGCTAGCATTTTGTTGAGATTTTTTGCATCTACATTCATCAGATACATTAGCCTGCAGTTTTTTTTTCATTGTTTCCTTGTCTGGTTTTTGTATCAGGGTAATACTGGCCTCCTAGAAAGAATTTGGAAGTATTCCCTCCTCTTCAATTTGTTTTGAAGAGTTTGAGTAGAATTGGTATTAGTTCTTTAAATGTTTGGTAGAATTCAGCAGTGAAATCAACAAGTCCTGGGCTTCACTTTGCTGGGAGACTTTCAGCTTCAATTTCATTACTTGTTATTGGTTTATTGAGATTTTCAATTTCTTCATGGTTTAATCTTGGTAGGTTTTATGTGTCTAGGAGCTTAACAGTTTCTTCTAGGTTTTTGATTTTGTTTTATAGCTGTTCATAATAGTCTCTGATTCTTTGTATTTCTATGGTATTGGTTGTAATGTTTCATTTTTCATTTCTGATTTTATTTGGGTCATCTCTTTTATTCTTAGTCTAGCTAAAGCTTCGTTGATTTTGTTTCTCTTCAAAAAAATAACTTCATTTTTTGTATTTTTCTGTATTTAAGTATCAATTTCATTTACTTCTCTGCTCTTTATTTTTTTTCTTCTGCTAATTGTGGGTTTGGTTTGTTAATGCTTTTCTAGTTTCTTTAGGTACATCATTAGGTTATTTATTTGAAGACTTTCTACTTTTTTGATATAGGCATTTATTGCTATAAACTTTCCTCTTAGTACTGCCTTTGCTCTATCCCATAGATTTTGACAAGTTTTATGTATACTTGTTTCAATAAAATTTTAAATTTCCTTCTTAATTGTCTTTTATTTGCAAGTTTTATTTTTAGTTCAGGGGATACGAGTGCAGGCTTGTTACACTGGTAAATTGCATGTCTCTGAGATTTGGCATATGAATGATTCTGTTACCCAGGTAGTGAACATAGTACTTGATAGGTAGTTTTTTCAGTGCTTACACACTCCCCACCTTCTCCTTCTTAATTTCTTAATTTACCTATTGACCTTTCAGGATCATATCGTTTAATTTCTATGTCTTTGTATAGTTTTCAAAATTCTTCTTGTTATTGATACCTGGTTTTATTCCATTGTGGTCAGAAAAGATGCTTGATATGATTTTGACTTTTTTTGAATTTATTGATACTTGTTTTGTGGCCTAACATGTGGTCTATCCTTGAGAATTTTCTATGTGCTGATGAGAAGAATGTGTATTCTGCAGCTGTTGGATGAAATGTTCTGTAAATACCAGTTAGGTCCATTTGGTATAGAGTGTAGTTTAGCACTGATGTTTCTTTGTTAATTTTCTATCTGATGATCGTTTAATTACTGAGTGGGATGTTGAAGTCCCCAACTATTATATTGCAGTCTATTTTTCTCTTTATATATATATGTATATGAATATATATAACAATATATAAAATATATATAAATATATAATATATATAACAATATATAATATATATAAATATATAATATATATAACAATATATAAAATATATATAAATATATAATATATATAACAATATATAAAATATATATAAATATATACATAAATATATATAAATATATAAATATATACATATATAAATATATATACACATATAAATATATATACATATATTAATATATATACACATATATAAATATATACATATATAAATATATATACACATATATAAATAAATATATACACATATATAAATATATATACACATATATAAATATATAAATATATATACACATATATAAATATATATACATATATAAATATGTATACATATATATAAATATATACACATATATAAATATATATACATATATAAATAAATATATATAAGTATATATAAATATATATAAATATATAAATATATAAATATATATAAATATATATAATATATAAATATATATAAATATATATAAATATATATAATATATAAATATATATAAATATATATAAATATATAAACATATATAAATATATATAAAAATATAAATTATAAATATATAAAAATATAAATATATATAAATATATATAATATATAAATATATAAACATATATATAAAATATAAAAATATATAAATATATAAATATATAAAAATATAAATATATGTAAAAATTAAATATATATAAAAATATATATATATAAAATAAGTATATATAAAATATATATAAATATATGAGTATATATAAAAATATATATAAATATATAAGTATATATAAAAATATATATATAAGTATATATAAATATATAAGTATATATATAATATAAATATATATAAATATATAAATATATAAATATATATAAATATATATAAAAATATATAAATATAAATATATATAAATATATATAAATATAAATATATAAATATATAAATATATAAATTAAATAAATAAATATAAATATATAAATATATATATAAATATATATATAAATACATATGTTAATGTTTGCTTTATATATTTGGATGCCCTGGTGTTGGGTGCATTTGTATTTATAATTGTTATATTCTCTTGCTGAATTTACCCCTTTATTATTATATAATGACCTTCTTTTACTTTTTAAATGTTTTTTGACTTGAAGTCTATTTTATCTGAAATAAGTATAGTTGCTCCTGCTCTTTTGTAGTTTCCATTGTATGGAATAACTTTTTCCATACCTTCACTTTCAGCCTATGGGTGTCTTTATAGGTAAAGTGAGTTTAAGGTCTTATCTATTTTTTTTTAACCCATTCAGCCACTCTGTGTCTTTATTGGAGAATCTAGCCTATTTACGTTAAATGTTATTGATAGGTAAGGACTTACTACTGCCATTTTGTTACTTGTTTTCTGGTAGTTTTAACTCCTCTTTTCCTTCTTCCTTACTGTCTTCTTTTGTAGTTAAGTGATTTTCTCTGGTAGTATGACTTATTTTTTTTTTTATTATACTTTAAGTTCTAGGGTACATGTGCACAAAGTGCAGGTTTGTTACATATGTATACATGTGCCATGTTGGTGTGCTGCACCCATTAACTTGTCATTTACATTAGGTATTTCTCCTAATGTGATTCCTCCCCACTTCCCTCACCCCACGACAGGCCCCAGTGTGTGATGTTCCCTGCCCTGTGTCCAAGTGTTCTCACTGTTCAATTCCCACCTATGAGAAAGAACATGCGGTGTTTGATTTTCTGTCCTTGTGATAGTTTGCTCAGAATGATGGTTTCCAGCTTCATCCATGTCCCTACAAAGGACATGAACTCATCCTTTTTTATGGCTGCATAGTATTCCATGGTGTATATGTGCCACAGTTTCTTAATCCAGTCTATCATTGATGGACATTTGGGTTAGTTCCAAGTCTTTGCTATTGTGAATACTGCCACAATAAACATACACGTGCACGTGTCTTTACAGCAGCATGATTTACAATCCTTTGGGTATATACCCAGTAATGGGATGGCTGGGTCAAATGGTATTTCTAGTTCTAGATCCTTGAGGAATCACCACACTGTCTTCCACAATGGCTGAACTAGTTTATACTCCCACCAACAGTGTAAAAGTGTTTCTATTTCTCCACATCCTCTCCAGCACCTGTTGTTTCCTGACTTTTTAATGATCGCCATTCTAACTGGCATGAGATGGTATCTCATTGTGGTTTTGATTTGCATTTCTCTGATGACCAGTGATGATGAGCATTTTTTCATGTGTGTGTTGGCTGCATAAATGTCTTCTTTTGAGAAGTGTCTGTTATATCTTTTGCCCACTTTTTGATGGGGTTGTTTGATTTTTTTCTTCTATATTTGTTTAAGTTCTTTTTAGATTCTGGATATTAGCCCTTTGTCAGATGGGTGGATTGCAAAAATTTTCTCCTGTTCTGTAGGTGCCTCTTCACTGTGATGGTAGTTTCTTTTGCCATGCAGAAGCTCTTCAGTTTAATTATATCCCATTTGTCTATTCTGGCTTTTGTTGCCATTGCTTTTGGTGTTTTAGTCATGAAGTCCTTGCCCATGCCTATGTACTGAATGGTATTGCCTAGGTTTTCTTCTAGGGTTTTTATAGTTTTACATCTAACATTTAAGTCTTTAATCCATCTTGAATTAATTTTTGCATAAGGTGTAAGGAAGGGATCCAGTTTCAGCTTTCTACATATGGCTAGCCAGTTTTCCTGGCACCATTTGTTAAACATGGAATCCTTTCTCCATTTCTTATTTTTGTCAGGTTTGTCAAAGAGCAGATGTAGATGTGTGGTGTTATTTCTGAGGCCTCCGTTCTGTTCCAGTGGTCTATATCTCTGTTTTGGTACCAGTACCATGCTGTTTTGGTTACTGTAGCCTTGTAGTATAGTTTGAAGTCAGGTAGTATGATGCCTCCAGCTTTGTTCTTTTTGCTTAGGACTGTCTTGGCAATGCAGGCTCTTTTTTGGTTCCATATGAACTTTAAAGTAGTTTTTTCCAATTCTGTGAAGAAAGTCATTGGTAGCTTGATGGGGATGGCATTGAATCTATAAATTACCTTAGGCAGTATGGCCATTTTCACGATACTGATTCTTCCTATGCATGAGCATGGAATGTTCTTCCATCTGTTTGTGTCCTCTTTTATTTCGTTGAGCAGTGGTTTGTAGTTCTTCTTGAAGAAGTCCTTCATATCCCTTGTAAGTTGGATTCCTAGGTACCTTATTCTCTTTGAGGCAGTTGTGAATGGGAGTTCACTCATGATTTGGCTCTCTGTTATTGTCTGTTATTTGTGTATAGGAATGCTTGTGATTTTTGCACATTGATTTTGTATCCTGAGACTGCTGAAGTTGCTTATCAGCTTAGGGAGATTTTGGGCTGAGACATGGAGTTTTCTAAATATACAGTCTGTCATCTGCAAACAGGGACAATTTGACTTCCTCTTTTCCTAATTGAATACCCTTTATTTCTTTCTCTTGCCTGATTGTCCTGGCCAGAACTTCCAACACTATGTTGAATAGGAGTGGTGAGAGAGGGCATCCCTCTCTCGTACCAGTTTTCAAAGGGAATGCTTCCAGTTTTTGCCCATTTAGTATGATACTGGCTGTGGGTTTGTCATAGATAGCTGTTATTATTTTGAGATACGTTCCATCAGTATCTAGTTTGAGAGTTTTAGCATGCAGGGCTGTTGAATTTTGTCAAAGGCCTTTTCTGAATCTATTGAGATAATGGTGTTTTTTGTCGTTGGTTCTGTTTATGTGATGGATTATGTGTATTGATTTGCATATGTTGAACCAGCCTTGCATCCCAGGGATGAAGCCAACTTGATCTTGGTGGATAAGCTTTTTGATGTGCTGCTGGATTCGGTTTGCCAGTATTTTATTGAGGATTTTTGCATGGATGTTCATCAGGGATATTGGACTAAAATTCTCTTTTTTTGCTGTGTCTCTGCCAGGCTTTGGTATCAGGATGATCCTGGCCTCATAAAATGAGTTAGGGAGGATTCCCTCTTTTTCTATTGATTGGAATAGTTTCAGAAGGAATGGTACCAGCTCCTCTTTGTACCTCTGGTAGAATTTGGCTGTGAATCCGTCTGATCCTGGACTTTTTTTGGTTGGTAGGCTATTAATTATTGCCTCAATTTCAGAGCCTGTTATTGGTCTATTCAGGGATTCAACTTCTTCCACGTTTAGTCTTGGGAGGTTGTATGTGTCCAGGAATTTATCCATTTCTTCTAGATTTTCTAGTTATTTGCGTAGAGTTGTTTATAATATTCTCTGATGGTAGCTTGTATTTTTGTGGGATCAGTGGTGATATCCCCCTTAACATTTTTTATTATGTCTGTTTGATCCTTCTTTCTTTTCTTCTTTATTAGTCTTGCTAGCAGTCTATCAATTTTGTTGATCTTTTCAAAAAACCAGCTCCTGGAGTCATTGATTTTTTTTGAAGGGTTTTTTATGTCTCTATCCCCTTCAGTTCTGCTCTGATTTCTTGCCTTCTGCTAGCTTTTGAATGTGTTTGCTCTTGCTTCTCTAGTTCTTTTAATTGTGATGTTAGGGTGTCAATTTTAGATCTTTCCTGCTTTTTCTTGTGGGCATTATTTAGTGCTATAAATTTCCCTCTGCACACTGCTTTATATGTGTCCCAGAGATTCTGGTATGTTGTGTCTTTGTTCTCATTGGTTTTAAAGAACATCTTTATTTCTGCCTTCATTTCGTTATTTACCCAGTAGTCATTCAGGAGCAGTTGTTCGGTTTCCATGTAGTTGTGCGGTTTTGAGTGAGTTTGTTAATCCTGAGTTCTAATTTGATTGCACTGTGGTCTGAGAGACAGTTTGTTGTGATTTCTGTTCTTCTACATTTGCTGAGGAGTGCTTTACTTCCAACTATGTGGTCAATTTTGGAATAAGTGCAATGTGGTGCTGAGAAGAATGTATATTCTGTTGATTTGGGGTGGAGAGTTCTGTAGATGTCTATTAGGTCTGCTTGGTGCAGAGCTGAGTTGAAGTCCTGGATATCCTTGTTAACCTTCTATCTTGTTTATCTGTCTTATATTGACAGTGGGGTGTTAAAGACTCCCACTATTGTGTGGGAGTCTAAGTCTCTTTGTAGGTCTCTAAGAACTTGCTTTATGAATCTGGGCGCTCCTGTATTGGGTGCATATATATTTAGGGTAGTTAGCTCCCTTTACCATTATGTAATGGCCTTCTTTGTCCCTTTTGATCTTTGTTGGTTTAAAGTCTGTTTTATCAGAGACTAGGATTGCAACAACACCTGCTTTTTTTGTTTTCCATTTGCTTGGTAGGTCTTCCTCCATCCCTTTATTTTGAGCCTATGTGTGTGTCTGCACATGAGATGGGTTTCCTGAATACAGCACACTGATGGGTCTTGACTCTTCATCTAACTTGCCAGTCTGTGTCTTTTAATTGGGGCATTTAGCCCATTTACATTTAAGGTTAATATTGTTATGTGTGAATTTGATTCTGTCATTATGATGTTAGCTGGTTATTTTTCCCGTTAGTTGATGCAGTTTCTTCCTAGCATCGATGGTCTTTACAATTTGGCATGTTTTTGCAGTGGCTGGTACCGGTTGTTCCTTTCCATGTTTAGTGCTTCCTTCAGGAGCTCTTGTAAGGCAGGGCTGGTGGTGACAAAATCTCTCAGCATTTGCTGGTCTATAAAGGATTTTATTTCTCCTTATGAAGCTTTGTTTGGCTGGATATGAAATTCTGGGTTGAAAATTCTTTAAGAATGTTGAATATTGGTGCCCACTCTCTTCTGACTTGTAGAGTTTCTGTTGAGAGATCCACTGTTAGTCTGATGGGCTTCCCTTTGTGGCTAACTCGACCTTTCTCTCTGGGTGCCATTAACATTTTTTCCTTCATTTCAACCTTGGTGAATCTGACAATTATGTGTCTTGGGGTTGCTCCTCTCAAGGAGCATCTTGGTAGTGTTCTCTGTATTTCCTGAGTTTGAATGTTTGCCTGCCTTGCTAGGTTGGGGAAGTTCTCCTGGACAATATCCTGAAGAGTGTTTTCGAACTTGGTTCCATTCTCCCCGTCACTTTCAGGTACACCAATCAAACGTAGATTTGGTGTTTTCACATAGTCCCATATTTCTTGGAGGCTTTGTTCATTCTTTTTACTCTTTTTTCTCTAAACTTCTCACTTCATTAATTTGATCTTCAATCACTGATACCCTTTCTTTCAGTTTATTGAATCAACTACTGAAGCTTGTGCATGTGTCACATAGTTCTTGTTCCATGGTTTTCAGCTCCATCAGGTCATTTAAGGTCTTCTCTACACTGCTTATTCTAGTTAGCCATTCATCTAATCTGTTTGCAAGGCTTTTAGCTTCCTTGTGATGGGTTCGAATATCCTCCCTTAACTCAGAGAAGTTTGTTATTACCAACCTTCTGAAGCCTACTTCTGTCAGCTCATCAAAGTCATTCTCCGTCCAGCTTTATTCCGTTGCTGGCAAGGAGCTGTAATCCTTTGCAGGAGAAGGGATGCTGTGGTTTTTAGAATTTTCAGCTTTTCTGCTCTGGTTTCTCCCCATCTTTGTGGTTTTATCTACCTTTGGTCTTCGATGATGGTGACCCACAGATGGGGTTTTGGTGTGGATGTCCTTTTTGTTGATGTTGATGCT
This sequence comes from Homo sapiens, assembly GCF_000001405.40. Taxonomy (NCBI): domain Eukaryota; kingdom Metazoa; phylum Chordata; class Mammalia; order Primates; family Hominidae; genus Homo; species Homo sapiens. Next base: position 116,667,698 of record NC_000011.10, on the reverse strand, counting down.
ATTCCTTTCTGTTTGTTAGTTTTCCTTCTGACAGTCAGGTCCCTCAGCTGCAGATCTGTTGGAGTTTGCTGGAGGTCCACTCCAGACTCTGTTTACCTGTGTATCACCAGCAGAGGCTGCAGAATAGCAAATATTGCAGAATAGCAAATATTGCAGAATAGCAAATATTGCAGAACAGCAAATATTACTGCCTGATCCTTACTCTGGAAGCTTCATTTCAGAGGGGCACCCAGCTCTATGAGGTGTCATTCGGCCCCTACTGGGAGATGTCTCCCAGTTAGGCTACACAGGGGTCAGGGACACACTTGAGGAGGCAGTCTGTCCATTCTCAGAGCTCAAACTCCATGCTAGGAGAACCACTGCTCTCTTCAGAGCTGTCAGATAGGGACATTTAAGTCTGCAGAAGTTTCTGCTGCCTTTTGTTCAGCTATGCCCTGCCCCCAGAGGTGGAGTCTACAGAGTCAGGCAGGCCTCCTTGAGCTGTGGTGGGCTCCACCCAGTTCGAGCTTCCCAGCCGCTTTGTTTACCTACTCAAGCTTCAGCAATGGCGGACGCCCCTTCCCCAGCCAGGCTGCTGCCTCGCAGTTTGATCTTGGACTGCTGCACTAGTAGTGAGCAAGGCTCTGTGGGCGTGGGACCCGCTGAGCCAGGCGCGGGGCATAATCTCCTGGTGTGCCATTTGCTAAGACCGTTGGAAAAGTGTAGTGTTAGGGCGGGAGTGTCCCAATTTTCCAGGTACAGTCTGTCATGGCTTCCCTTGGCTAGGAAAGGGAAATCTCCCGACTCCTTGTGCTTTCCGGGTGAGGTGACGCCCTGCCCTGCTTTGGCTCATGCTCCATGGGCTGTACCTACTGTCCAACAAGTCCCAGTGAGATGAACCAGGTACCTGAATTGGAAATGCAGAAATCACCTGTCTTCTGTGTCAATCACGCTGGGAGCTGCATACTGGAGCTGTTCCTATCTGGCCATCTTGGAATGGACTTCCTCTGGTAGTATGTTTTAATTGATTGCTTTTTATTTGTAGTGTATTTATAGATTTTTGCTTTGTGGTTACTATGAGGCTTACAAGTTCTTCTAAACAGACAGCAACTTAAATTTGATCACAAAAATAAGAAACAAAGGAAAAACTAAACAAAACTCTACACTTTAACTCCACCCCTTGCTACATTTTGACTTTTGTTGTCTCAGTTTACATCTTTTTATTTTGCCTATCTCTTAACAGGTTACTGTAGTTATTATTTCTGATAGTTTTGTCTTTTAGTCTTCATACTAGAGACATGAGTGGATTACACACCACAGTTACAGTGTTAGAGTATTCTGAATTTGTTCACTTACTTTTACTAGTAAGTTTTATAACTTCAAATGCTTGCTTTTTGCAACCTTTCTTTCAGATTGAAGAACTCTCTTTAGCATTTCTTGTATGACGAGTCTAGTGATGAATTCCCTCAGCTTTTGTTAGTCTGGGAAAGACTTTCTCTTTCCTTCATGTTTGAAGGAAAGCTTTGCCAGGTACAATGTACTCAGCAGTTTTCTTTAAAAACACTTTAAACATGTTGTCCTCCTCCCTCCTGGCCTCTGTTTCTGGTGAGAAGTACGTTGCTAGACAAATTGGAGCTCTTTTATGTACTATTTGCTGCTTTTCTCTTGCTGTTTTCAGGATCCTCTGTCTTTGACCTTTGAGAGTCTGATTATTATATGCCTTGGGGTAGTCTTATTTGGGTTGAATCTGTTTGGTGGTCCCTGAACCTGGATATTTACATCTTTCTTTAGGTTTGGAAAATTTTCTTATTGTTTCTTTGAACAAACTTCTTACTCTTGCTGTTTCTCAACTCCCTCCTGAATGCCAATGACATACATTTGCTTTTTGGCAATTATTTTCTATATCTTGTAGGCATTTTAAATTCCTTTTCATTTTTTTCTGTGTATTTTCCAGTAAACTATCTTTGAGCTCACTGATTCTTCTGCTTGATCTTCCTTCTGCTGTTGAGAGTCTCTAATGTATTTTTCAGTTCAGTAAATGCATTTCTCAGTTCCAGGACTTTTGTTTGATTTTTTAAAAAATTATTTCAACCTTTTTGTGAAATTTCTGTTAATTTTCTGAATTGATTTTCTATATTACCTTGGAATTCACTGCATTTCCTTAGAATTGCTATTTTGAATTCTTTATCTGAGAGTTCACACATCACCATCTTGTTAGGGTTGATCACTGGCTCTTTGCTTTGTCCATCTGGGGAGGTCATGATTCCCTGTTTGCTGTTGTTTCTTGTGTATGTACATTTATGGATTTTCATTGAAAGATTAGTTACTTATTCTAGTCATCACTGTCTCACATGTTCTGGTCTTTCTAGGGTATATTTGCTTAAAGGTTCTTTGTAGCTGTCTGCAAGTCTCCTTAATCCTATATTGTTGCCTCTCTTTCTTGGCACTAGGTAGTGCTTTAAGCTCAGGTTTGCCTCAGCTCTCACGAAAGTTCAGAGCACTGTCCATCCAAATGTTCAGAGCACTGCCCATCCAAATGTTCAGAGCACTGCTTGTCCTGAATGGGGGATATTCTGGCTAAATGGGAAGGCTGGCAAGGAGTGTATGCCCAGTAGGCCCGTGGAGCATGCCTTCTATAGCATGCTGTTAAACAGCTACTCTGATTTGGCATCTCCTTTGGCTGAGATAAAAAGCAGAGTTTTGTGGGCTGGGGTTTCTAGTCCTGCCTCCCCTGTTTGTCTCTAGGTACCCTCAGGGTTTTCTCTCCCTGTAGGCACTTGTGGTGCTTCTGGTGGGCTGAGGTAGGAACAGTGTTTGTGCAAGGGAACCCAAGAAAGTGAGGAAGCTGGCTGTCTGCCTTGCTTTCACTTCTTCCAGTGTAGAAAATGTGAATCTGGAAGAAATGATCCATGAGTGGTGCCTGGCAGATTGAAGGAGGGGCATTGTGGATAGAGAAGTCTGTTTCTCTTACCATCTACTCAGAGTGTTTTACTTCTCTGTCGTTCCGGGGATTGTCTCAGCCTCAGAATTGAGTTCTGGGATAATGCTGGTGATAATCTTGGTACTGGATTTTATTTTATTTATTTATTTTTTGTGGGAGAGAATAAAGCCAGGTTGCTTTGACTGTACCAATTTGGTGATATCACCTTGACAGAATTTTTAAGAGAGCCATTTGTCATGTTTCCTTTTCTACTATGGAAATAGATGAAAACTCCAATAGCCTGGGTCCCTGCTGAACTGAGTTGAATGTGTTAACAGCTGAGATTTTGGAGTTGTCTGTTATTGTAGTATAACCAAGCCCATCCTGACTAATACAGAATTCTAATTTGTAAATTGTTTTTCTTCAGAACGTTAAACATGTCACTCCTTTGCCTTCTTTAGTATGGCTGTTGAAAAGTTTAAAACCATTCTAATTCTTGATTCTTTCATTGTGACCTTCCCATTTTTTTTCTATTTGAATTTTATCTTTAACCTTAGTGTTCTGAAACTTCATAATGATGTGTCTTAGTGTTCACTTATTTTCATCAATTGTACTTAACATATGGTGGTCTTTCAGCTTGGAAATTCATGTTCTTTTGTTTTTGGGAAATCTCATGAGTTATTTTATCGATTTATTTTTCTCTATTTTTTGTTTTTATTTTGTTATTGATGTTGAATTTCCTGAACTAGTGTTCTAAGTTTTTTACTTTTTTTTTTTTTTTTTAAGAGATGGGGTCTCTCATGTTTTCCAGGCTAAAGTGCAGTGGCTATTCACAGGCGTGATCATAGTGCAACGCAGCCTTGAACTCCTGGGCTCAGGTGATCCTCCTGCCTCAGCCTACCAAGCAGCTCACACTACAGGCACATGCTACTGCACCTGTGGCACACTTTTGGCTGCCATAAAAATATACTGGCTACATTTCCTCTTATTTTCCATCTTTTTGCTCTGTTTTCTAGGGTATTTCCCCAAATTTATCTTCTTTCCTATTGCATTTTTTGTTTTTGCTATCAGAAATTTCCAAGAGCTCTTTGCTGTTCTTTCAGTGTTCTTCTCTTATAGTATTCCATTCTTATTTTGTGGATGCAGTATCTTCTTTTATCTCTCTGAGGACATTAATTTTAACTTCTAAATTTTCTTTCCTCTGTCTAGTTTTCTCCTCCAAGTTATTATTTTTTTTCTGTTTATTTGCTTTGGCCTCTATCTTTTGTATTAGAAGCTTTCTTCCCTCAAGTATCTGATAATCCATGGCTGTCAGCTCACAAGTCACTCAGCAGGCTGAAGAGCTGATTATAAGCTCTGAACTTGAGGGGTGCTTGCCAACTTCAATGGGCTGTTTGTTGGAGAACAATGTCGGTGTCTTGGGTCCCTCTTCTTGGACTGGCTGTATTTCCCAGATGGTACTTTACCAAACTCCTGCCTGAAGGATAAACGTCTGATTGCCAGCATTCTGGAACCAAGTAGACGATCAGGGCTGGAAGTCTCTGGCTCCCATATTTAGTGTTACATGCTAACTGGTTTCCGTTGTTTATGGTCTGGTACTCACCCCCTCATTTGTGCTGTTTGGTCTGTAGAGACCCTTTCTAGAGAATAAACTTCCAGTGTTCTGCAGTGGGTTGGGTGGGGGGCAGTTGCCCAGCAGCATGGAATGGGGGAGGAGACCGAGAAGGAGAGGGCAGTGAAGGAGAGGGACAGACAGGACAGAGTAGTGTCCCTGAAGCAAGTGACACAGAGGTTTCGGGAAAGAGGGAGTGATCACCTGTGCCCAACAGCCTGATGAGTAAGATGGGGATGGAAAAGTAACCCTTGGGCCTGGCAGCACAGAGGTCATTGGTCACCTCAATGAATGATGTCTCCTGGAGCCATGGGAATGAAAGCCTGATCAGAATGAGTTCTAGAGAAAATGGTAGGAGAGGAAGCTATGGCAGTGATTGTGAAGAACTTTTTCCATTTGACTTATTTCTGTTTCAAAATAACCCTGTGAAATGGGCAGTCATCCCCATTTTATAGATTTATAGTTGAAGAAACAGTCTCAGAGAGGTTTAAGTGAATGGCCTCATTGCTAGCTGCTTCTCAAAAAGGCTTTCCTCTAGTCCTTTCTGTTTTCGCCACCTCCTCCCCAGCCTTCACCACCTCCTCCCCAGCCCTCGTTCCAGAGGTGTCTGGAACTGTCAGTTCCTGAGGCTTTTGTGGACTTTTACAGTGTAAATTGGACTAATTCTCAGCTTTTCCTGTTGCTAGCTGTGGATTCAGCATTCTTAGGTCCACAAAGTCATTTATCACTTGTCTTGTCCCTTAGCTTTTCAGCTTCCATAATTTTGTGATTATTGTCTGAGCTGCCAAGAGTGATTTCAGGCCCCGGGAAGCTCTCCTGGACTTCAGACCCCCCTTCTTAACTCCTCTGCTGATTCTTGCTCATCTCTTCAAATTCTGAGGGCTCGGTCCTTGTACTTCTTCTCTTCTCTCTCTTCCTAGACAATTTCTTCCAGTCCCATGGCTTTAAATACCTCCAAGTCTGCAGGACCCCAAAGTCTCTGCCCCTCACCATGTGTCCCTGCTGCTGGCCTTGACAATGTTTGCCTAGTCCGGGCTACAAAATAGGCCACCTGTCCCCCTCCCATTTTCTATCAGCCTCCACTGACATCCCCCTGCCCTGCCCCAGACCCCCTCATCCTCTCCACTTCCTTTTCCTTGGGGCCAGGAAGGAAGAGTGTCTGCACAGAAAGCCTGTTGTCTGCTCATTCTCAGGCCTGCTCTGATCACCTCCCTGGGGAAGCCTTCCAGGATGGCAAAGGCACATTCCTGTGTGCACACTTGCTGGGGTTCCTCACACACCTGCCTCCCTGGCATCTGGTCAGGTTTGTGCCTGTGTGAGCTACCGCTTGGCCCTCCCCCTGGGGACAAACCCCATACAGTGTCATTGACAGTCCCCTCTTTTTCCCTCTAGTTCCTTGGACTCTTACCCCTATGGGTATTTGATAACAGGCATGGATTCTCTCCCCAGAAAAGTGTTTATAAACTCATTTTGCATCTAATTTCTGGGGGTTCAAGGACTCTCTGAAACCCCTGCATAAACCCCCTCATTATCTCAGGGTAAGAACCCCCAAGCTAAGTGAGACAAGCATGGATCGTGAGCACATATGCTCCATTCCCAGTGCTTGCCAGGACTTGACTTGCAATAGGTGTTCAGTCGGTAAAGGCGTATCCTGCATCTACTATGTGGCAGGTGCTGCTCTACATACTGTGAGGACTCTACATAGCAGTGAGGACTGCAATATTTTTGCCCAGGGAGCTGGCATTCTGTGGGGAGACCAACATAAATGCACATGTATGTATGTTACAGTGTCAGGAGTGCTAAGATGTGGGCAGAAGCCAGATCACTTAGGAACTTCTAGCTCACAGTAAGGACTTCAGACTTTGTCCGGAGCGTGATAGGACACTATTGAGCAGGGAGTGATAAGATCAGATTTTGAAAGACCATTCTGGCTGCTGTGTGCAGAGTGGGCTGTGGGGAATGGTGGAACTGCTGCAGTGGTGAATATTCAGAAGTCAGGCTGACTCACCTGGCTCAAAGGCTGGGCACAGGCTGCCCTGCATACCCTGGGCCTTTGAGCAGCAGGGCAGTCGGGGGGAGGGGGCCTCCTGGCTCTGCTATAGCTCCCAGAATCCCCTATCACCTTCTCTCCCCTTACCAGCCTCCTCCCTTCTCAGGCAAATGTCGCCAGGGTACCCAGACTGTTCTCCTGCTTCCTCTCCCCACAATTTTCTTCCTGCTTTGGGTCTTGCTGTCCTGCCTTGGGCCTGTACTGTGTGGATCTAGATCTATGCCAGGAATGCAGCAAGGGCCCAATCTGTAGTACTTCTTGATTGAATGGAGCATGAGGAGGAAAGTGAACTGGAAGCAATGGCTTTGGCCCCAGGCAAGTGGCCAGATGGCATTTATTCCCATATATGTATCTGCCTCAGTACATGCTGTCTATACCTATGGGGTTGTATCTGTACTGGATACGTGTGTGTGTGTGTGTAGGGACAATACTATGCACCTGCATGGCTCTGGTGAGTTCACCTTGGTGGATCCCTAAGCTTCCCTGCCCTCAGGTTAGGAAGGGGACACCCCCATCCCCCTGGCTGGGTGCAGGCTCTGGACTCCCTTGCAGTGGGAAGGCAGTCTGAGAATCCCACTGTAGGTGGTGGTGGGACTGACTTTGAGTCTAGGCTGCCACTGCACCCTGGGGAGACATTCCCAGAACCTGGTGGCACAGTGATCATTACAGATGCTGATAAGCAGTTCTGAGGGAAGGCGTGGATCAGTAGGCGAAGGGGAAGGATTTCTTGTTTGCCACCGGCCCCTTCTCATCATCTCCCAGGAGGAGGAGGATGCTGTATAGGCCATCTGCCTCTCCTGCCCCCTCGGCCCCCTCAGCAGCATGCAGGGCCTGCTACCTCAGAGAGGGTTCTTGCCGGCTTTGTGCCTTCAAGGCTATAGGCAAATCAGCTTTGGCAGAGAAGCAGAGAGGGGTGTTGGCCATGTCCCTGCAGCCTTTCTGGGGAGAGTGTCAGGGTGGAAACGTGGGCCTCCCAGCACCTCCCAGTATGTGTGCCTCTCCGCAGTACCCTGGCCTGAGGAGGGGCGGGGAGGAGGACCTAGTGTTCTTCTATAGAACTCATGTGCCTTTACAAGTGCCAGCCCCCACGCTAGGCCCCCCCAAAGCTCACCATCCAGTAGGAGAGTTAGACCAGAAATAAATGAGTGGGACAAGGGAGAGTGGCTTCGAGGAAGAAAAAGTATTGGGGGCCAAGAGGCAGGGGCACTTTGCCCTTCCTTCCTCAGGAGGCAGGGGAAGGGGAGAAGGAGTGTTCCTGGGGAAGATGGATAGGATTTTTCCAGGTAAAAAGAGAATTTCACCTGCACTGACCCAGAGGTGTGAATGCAGGTATGGGGCTCAGGGCTAAGAAGGTCTTGGGCTTGGTGGTGCTGGGGCAGGCTATGGTAGAGGATGCAGTTAGAACGGGAGGAGCAGGTGGGGTGAGTTAGAGTGAAGGGCTTGTCCAGGTGGTGACATGCATTTCCTGACAAACTAGGTAGGTTGGCCTTTCTCTTGAGGACCCCACATCTCGCATGTTTGGAAGGAGTGATGTGGTGAAATCTGTGTTTTTAGGAAGAGCGTGTTGGCTTCTTTGGGGAGAGGAGACTATAGAGGGGTATAACTGGAGGAAAGGAGACCAGGAGAAATGTCTCCTGGGTGGTCCAGGTAAGAGACGGTGGGGGACAGGGTGGAGGTCGAGCTACTGAAGGAATAGCACCCAGACAAACCAGGGAGCTGGATGTGGCATGGCTTGTCGCCACCATGCTTTGGGCCAGACAGAGCTGGACGCTAGGGGCCTTCTGGGACTGTCCCTGGGTGACGAGGTGGAGGGTGGACTTATTCACTAAGAGGGAGGATGAGAGATTCCAGGAAGATGACGGTGAGCCCAGCTTTGGACAAGATAAATGGAAACATGCGGGTGCTGTGACCAGCAGGCAGTTGGCAATGTCCAGACCTAAGGGAGAGGTCTGCAGCTGTGGCGAAAGGGGCATCTGAGGTAGGGTGCAGATGAGAGTCCCAGGGAGGCAGAGGGTGGAGATGAGAAGAGAGAAGCAGAGGGTGGAAGTGGCCGCCTGGGAAACAGCATCATTAGGAGTAAGGAAAGGAGCCCTCACAGGGGGTGGAGGAGGTAAAGTTGGAAACAGCAGGGAAGCCTGGGGAGCGCCAGGTCATGCGGCCCGGAGAGTGACCTTGAGAAGGTGTCACTGCCGTCCAACACCTCAGAAAGACTAAATGAGAAAGACCCAAATGAAGTCATTGTTTCTGGCGACTGTGGTCCTTGGCGACCTCTAGAATTTTGCAGTGTTTGGGCTGTGGGAGACTGATGGGGATATTGCATTTGGTTCTTTTCCACAGGTGGTTTTAGAAGCCACTGTATTCCAGTACGCTGTTGTGTCCTTGGCTGATAACACCCCTCACCCCCATGCCTACAACCGGGCTGTGTCTCTGGGCTCCAGGGAAAAATAAAAAGGGTGGTGAGAAAGAGCCACTTCGTAAGAAACTCTGTATGGCATTGGGGTGTGAGGTTGCGCAACTGAGAGGCCTCCAAGAGGGTCACCCCGTAAGTGGGGAGAGAAGAGGGGATAGAACCTGATGTTGTTGCCCAGAGCAACATGGCCTCCTCTCTTCCCTGGCTGCACACACTGGAATACACTTCCCAGCCTCCCTTGCAGTTAGATGTGGCCACGTGACTGAGTCCTGGCCAGTGGGATGTGAGCAGATGCTGTGGACCCTTTCAAATACGGCCTTGTATAAGGAACCTCCCTTGTGCAATTCTAGCTCTTCCTCCATTTGCCAGCAGAACAGAGAGGATTCTGGGGTCTTGGAGAAGGGTGGAGCCACAAGATAGGAGGAGACTGGGTTTACGAATGACTGTGTGGAGCTGACTCCCCACTGGGCAGTGCTGTGAGCACCAGATAAACTTTTATTGTGTTCAGCCAAGTGAGATTTAGGTGTTTATCCATACAGCAACTAGTGTCACCTGAAGGGATACAGAGATTTTTCTCCCTTTTGCTGGCAGCTGCCATGCAGATGTGACACTTCAAGGCTTAAGAGCAGTGCTGACCCTGTAGGGGTGGAGGAGACTGGAGGGGAGGTATCCCGGAGAAGTATGAGCACCACCAGCAGATGGGGTGGTAGCTGATGCCTATACTTGAGCATCTGTGGCACCTTTCCTGCGTATGGCCAGAAATACCACAATCTTCTAGGGATGAACCTGCAGTTACAGTGGGGCAGAAATGCGGGTTATTACTTTGTGCAATCCCTTTGCATTTAGTGTGTAATGTAATAGTGCCTGGTGCATAGTGAATGCCTATTCAGTGATATTTACGGCTCTGAGGCTGGTTGAACGAGGGAACAGGTTACACTGGATGAAGTTCTGCTGAGTTTGTACCTTCTTTTTCCCTGTCTGCCTTTCTCTCTCAACTGTGGTTCAGGACACACTGTAGAACTATAAAATGGAAGCTGGATGCAACCTTACAGGTGACCTGATTTCTCTTACATGTTGTATGTAGATCGGGAAGTTGACACAAGTGATATTAATGACTCCAGATCTGGCTTTGGAGTTAGGCCAGGAGATGGCATTGTATCAGTGTCACTGCTAGGGCACAACCCAGGTCTTCTGCTTCTCTAGCCAGAGTTTTCAAAATCAGAAAACTAACAAAATAATGATTTTTTAAAAAGAAAAAGAAAAGCCAGGCATGGTGGCTCACACCTGTAATCCCAGCACTTTAGAAGGCAGAGGTGGGCAGATCACGAGGTCAGGAGTTTGAGACCAGCCTGGCCAACATAATGAAACCCGGTCTCTACTAAAAATAAAAATAAAAAAAATTAGCCCGGTGTGGTGGTGGGCATCTGTAATTCCCAGCTACTCAGGAGGCTGAGGCAGGAGAATTGCTTGAACCTGGGAGGCAGAGGTTGCAGTGAGCAGAGATCACACCACTGAACTCCAGCCGGGAGTTCCAGAGCGAGACTCCGTCTCCCAAAAAAAAAAAAAAAAAAGAGATACCAGTTATATTCCCAATGCCTAGAGAGACTGCCATTGTTAACATTTTAGTTTATACCCTTCCAGTCTTTTTTTCTTATGTGTGAATGCACATAACACATTACATATCTAGAGTAATGTATATGCAATATTTATACTACATGTAGACTATACAATATATTCTGCATATTCCATATGCATTATAAATATAGAATATATTACCTATAAAATGATAATATTCTGTAGATACATGTAGTATACTACATAAATGTATATACTACGTATATACATATTAATAGTATATAATATTAATAGTATACTACATAAATAATATATAATACTACATGTAGCATATGATATATTCTGTGTACACACATAAAATAGAAAAATAAACTCATGCTATATATATTGATTATAACCTGCTTTTTCCACTAAGATCATAAAATTATTTTCCACATTATTAAATACTATTGTATAATGTTTTATATGGCTGTATCATTTAATCCTTGTTGTTGAACCATAAATGTTTCCGTTTTTGCTGTTATAAAGAGTGCAATAGTAAATGTTTGCTATTGCACATTGATTTTTTTTTTTTTTTTTTTTTTGCAGGGGGCTAAAGTCCTATATGTGGAATTTTTGGATCCAAAAGTAAGAAAGATGCTAACACTGTTGATGTGCGTAGACAAACCGATCTCTGCAAAGGCTGTGCTAATTTAAGCTCCCATCATTGGTGAAGGAGGTGGCCCATTTCCTCATACCCTTGGCCGGAACTGGGTGGTGTCATTTTTCCAAGGGCGCCTCTCATTCCTGAGTGGTACCAGGGGAAAGGAAGCAAGCCTTGTTCTGGGCCTTCATGTCTGTGCCTCCCTGGGGTGGGCAAGCATTGGTGGGAGGCCCAGGCTCAGCTGGAGGGCTGGTAGAGGAAGTGGAAAGTAAAGATGGGCAAGATGGTGCTCAGAAGAAGGTGGGCTGGGAAGTCTCCCTGGGCATCTGGCCACCCTGCTGGAGTTCTGGCTGTGGAGCCCAGTGATGTGGCCACATGAGCCTTGCTCTGGGCAGATGGGTTGGGCCAACAGAGTGCCAGAGATGGGACTGGGAGAAAAGGTGGATGAGCATGGAGAAAGACGGACACCACCAGTCGTTGGCTCCAGGAGCTGTAACAAAAGCAAATATTTGGAGGCTAGGATTGCTTAGCTTTCTCCTTGGAATCAGCAGACTCTCGGAGGCTGGGATTAATTTGAAGAAATTTACTAGCAGAGTTTGTGGCAGATAAAACAGTTTGCTTATTTCACACTTGTATGGCCACCTGCTAGGAACTGTTTGTTCAGTTTCGAATTCTTTAATTAAAATCAACATAAAACAGATTGAAAACATCCCAAGAAGGGGATGCTTGATTTGCTGGAGGATATTGCAGAAAGATGGAGCAAAGTGGCTCAAAAAGTGCTTCATCACCAAGCAAGCGGGCGGCAGGGAAGTGCAGCTTGGCTAACTTTGGGATTCAAGTGTGTTAGTGTGTGTGCCAGAGGCTGGCAGGAAGTGCAGAGAACTCACGTGAGTTTTCGTCCCACTTTGGGCATTTTTCATGATAGTGGTGGGCTGAGGTGGAAAAGTGAGAGGTTTTTTTTGCTTCTACCCCTTAGAAAAGGCCACTTCCACATTCAATCCTTCACTAAATAGTCATTGAATTCCTCTATGTCAGAAATTGTGAATAACATGCAACCCTTGACCTCAAGAAGCTCAGGATGGGTGAGGGAGACAGCAATTTTAACCCAGTACATGCTATGTGCTGCAGTAAGAGTTAATTCTGGGTGCCATGGGAGCCCCCAGTGCTGACCTGTGGAAGAGGCGAGGAGCTCAGGTTAGATTTCTAAGAAGATATGACATCTACCTCAGCTGAGATCCAATGAGTGGATAGAATTTACTCAAGTTAAAATGATGTATCAGTTAGCTACTGCTACAATATGCTGTGTAACAAACACCTACCATTTCTCAGTGGCAAATAACAAAACCATTTATCTGGTTCGTGTGTCTATGTATTGGTTGAGGGTCTGCTGATCTTGGCTGGGCCTGATTAGGCAACTCTGCTCCATAAGCCTCTTATCCTCCTCTGGGACCACCAGCCTAACCTGGCATGATTCTCTAATGGTGACAGAAAAAGGAAAAGAGAGAAAGCCCAATCACACTTCTTCTAACATTCCACTGGCCAAAGCAAGTCATATGTCTGCACCCAAGGTTAAGAGGCAGGGAAACATATTCCATATATTCCACCTCTTTAGTGGGATAACACACACATACCCAGCTCTTTGGAATGGTGGCCATTAATGCAACCCATCACACATAGGATGGATGTAGTGGTGGTGGTGGGATGTTACAGGATGAGGGACAGCATAAGCAGTATGAGGCTGGGCATGCTGGGCACTGTCTGTAGGAGCGTGCATATGAGGAGGGGCTTGCAAGACTCCTGGAAGGGCATGCAGGAGAAAAAGAGAAAGGTCTTATGTGTCAGCACAGTCTTTGGATTTTGTCCCCAGAGCAGTGAGGAAGCACTGGTGGGTTTTAAGTGGGGAGTGACATGGTCAGATTTTGCCATAGAGTCATCTCTCTGGCTAGCTTTCATAGTGGAGAACAGAGTGGGTAGGACAGAGGTTCAGGGTTAGAAGAGCAGTTGGGAGCCTTTCAGTAACCCAGGCTTCCACGGGACCTGATTTCATGATCAGGAGACTCAGGTTGTGACATCTTGTTTTTATAAAGCATTTTTCCTGGATGCTTGTTAAACTTTTAACTCATGGTATGCCAGCTCATAGCAAAAAGCCCTGCTGCTGTTATAGCAAATGGAATCAGTGGAGATGGTTAAGGAGTAGGAGGCTTGCTGGTCCTAACACATCCCATTCACTTTGGCCTTGACTCAGTAACTGGTCCCCTGAACCTCTCCATCATCTTTTCTCAGGCCCCACAGCTCTTGAGCAGGCAGAAGCTAGAGGCTGGTATCCTGGGTAGAAATTGCTCCACTCGGCCGGGCGTGGTGGCTGATGCCTATAATCCCAGCACTTTGGGAGGCCGAGGCAGGTGGACCACTTGAGGTCAGGAGACCAGCCTGGCCAATATGATGAAACCCCATCTCTACTAAAAATACAAAAAACTAGCCAGACATGGTGGCACACATCTGTAATCCCAGCTACTTGGGAGGCTGAGGCAGGAGAATTTCTTGAACCCAGAAGGCAGAGGTTGTAGTGAGCCAAGATCGCACCACTGCACTCCAGCCTGGGCAATGGAGCGAGACTCCATCTCAATAAAAAAAAAAAAAAAAAAGAGAGAGAGAAAGAAATTTCTCCCTCCCTTCCCCAAGCCCCATTCCCTTTGGGTCCAAGTGTTGCAGACGGTCTGCATACACTGCTGGGCACAGGGACTGCCTGTTGGAGATCTTGGGCCCTGGTGCCTGTGGGGAAGGCCAGCGCTGCAGGCTCTACCCAGTGCCCATTTCCTGACACCTGCTTTTAACGCCTGATTTTGAGCTAGCCACTTTACATTTTGCATCCATCCCCTACTGGCTTGGCATAGTGGGAAAGACACTGTAGTCAAAGACCTGGGTTTGGATGCCACTTCAGCTCTCTGCAGATCCCGGGATCTTGAACAAGTCACCAGAGCTCTCTGGGCCTCGATTTCCTCGTTGTTGGTTGATCTCAGCTGGTAAAGTCGCCAAATGTGGCCATGGGTGTGAAAGATCCTGGAGACCCTCTCACTCCTCAATTCCCTGCCCGGACACCCCCACGCATCCTGGAAATGGCAGCTGAAACCTACCTTCTCTTCCTGGAGGGCCCAAGCAGACCTCTGCCAAAGCTCCCCTGGCTTTAGACAGCTCCCACGGAAATGAAAGCCTCTCATCCGTGTGTTCTTGTATCTCTGAGCCCGCAAGCCCTGGCACAGGACTGGCAGCTCACAGGTAAATACATGTTGAATATGGAATGTAAACTCTTTCTAGCCTAATCTGGACTGGCAAATTCGCCCACTCCTTCTCCTTTCTCTTCTGAAGACACTTCCTTCCTATGCCTGGTGCTCAGGACTGGGATTCGCTCCGCAGGTGCTGGGCAGGCCTGTGTTTAGATTTCCCCTTCCTCCTAACCTGCAAGGACCTTTGTAAAGCACTGGCCCATGGGAACACAGAGGACTGGTTACGGCTTTGCAGCTGAGGCCCAGGATTCAAGACATCTTGACATCGCTGCTCACTGGCTGTGGCCGGGGTAACTCACTGAAATCCTCTGAGCTCCAGTATATGCATCTAGAAAACAGGGATGCTAATGATTTTATGGCTATTGTTAACTGTCTGTTTTGAGCAGTTCTTGTGTGCTGGGTATGAAAACCATCACCACCACCACCATTATCACAGTGCTGGGGCTGCCAGTTCTTGAGAGTTTGTTATGGTCCTGGCAGAGTTGACTTTATGAAGAATAGCTCATTAACCCACACAAACTCCCCCAAGACCCCCTTTCTTGTTTTAGGGTGCCTACCTGCCTGCTTTGCTGGTTGCTGTGAGGAGCAAAGGAAATGACGTGTGTGTGTGTGTGTGTGTGTGTGTGTGTGTGTGTGTGTGAGTGAGAGAGAGAAGGTAAAGGGGTGGGAAGTGGGGAGATAGGCATGAGGGGTCTGGATGGGCCCTCCTACCTTGTTTTAGGAGAAGCAGCTCAAGTAAGAGAAAACTGTTTGGATTCTGGAGTTGAAGAGAGCAAGGTTTGAATCCCAGCTCTGCCACTTTCTACTGTGAAGTTTTGAGCCAGACACTTAGGCACTTTGAGCCTCAGTTTCCCTATATGCAAAATGGGCTAAGATTCCCCACCTTGAAGATGAACGAGATGAGGACAATTACAAAGCAGTCAGCAGAAGGCAGGAAGCACATCAGATGCACTACACTAAGCCACTTGTAAAGTGGTTAGCGGGTAACCTAGTTCATAGGACATACTCAGAAATGAAACTCACTTTCTGTGCTTTTGTTTTTATTTGGTCATCATCAAATGGCTTTTGAGGATAGGTAAAGAGGATTACGGTCATCCAGAGGAGAAACTGAGGCTCAGCAATGTCAAGTGACTTGCCCAAGGCCACACAGTGAGCAAATCACCAGGTAGATCGTGACTCCAGGCTTGTCTGACACTGGGTCCTGCCCACCTCCAGTCTTGCTGACTTTCCTGACCCAGCCACCTGCCTCCCTGACATCTTTGTGCCTGCCTCTGGGCCTGAGGCAGTGGCTGGGAGCCTGTGGTGTCTGGTGGCTAGCCTGGATCCTCTGTCCTTGCCTGGCCCTCTGCACCCCATGCCCCCCATCACCAGCTCCCCCGACTCTGCTCCTCGGCCGAGGGGCACACTGCAGTGAATCAGCCTCCTTTGTGGTGTTGATTAGAGGCCTCCTCCTACAAACATCAAAGCTTC
Organism: Homo sapiens; assembly: GCF_000001405.40. NCBI lineage: Eukaryota > Metazoa > Chordata > Mammalia > Primates > Hominidae > Homo > Homo sapiens. The sequence goes on along the minus strand of NC_000011.10, from coordinate 116,651,755 downwards.
AATTAACATGGGCCGCTTGCAACCCTCTTGCAAAACTCTGATAAGAATAGAATTTTCTCTTGGAAAATGGATTTTTATTTAGTTGTGTGTACTGTTGGTTAAATGACCTACTCTATACACTGGCGCTGAGATTCTGGGGACAGTGAGGGGGCTCGTCAGGAGCTGGTTATCTGAAGGAAACAGGCGCTGGGCTGTTTAGCTGTCTAATATCCTGACGGGCGGGGGGCAGAGGCAAATTGAAAAAAAAAAGCCTTCACTCCTTCTCTAGACATGGGGAGTGGAGGGTGGTGTGCTGAGTAGGGGCTTTGCGGGGCAGGAAGGTGGCCCCTGCTCTCCTGGGAGTGTGGCTGGGTTGGTGGGCTCCAGCCTTGCTCTGCTGGGTGTGAGTGTGTGTGTGTGTGTATGAGCGTGTGTGTGTGTATATGTAGGGTGTGCAGCAGTCTCAGATGCTGCTCAGAGCATATGCTGGCCTCAAAGAGGACCCAGGGAGCTGGCTGCCTGGGTGTAGAGGGGGCACGATTCAAGAACACAGCAAAGCTGGGCGCACCTGAGCTGGAGGCATGGGAGGCTAAGGCTGGTAGGCCCCTGACTTTTTTCATAATCACTCCTCTTATTAAACTTGGCCTTCTTCTAGAGTGGGATGGATTAATGTTCAGAAAATGCTGTCTCCTCAATCTCATTGCTTCTAGTGGAGGAAAAGAAGCACTCTTCCCCTGTCCAGGATCCCTGAGAGGCCACTGACTTAGGCCCCCATCAGTCTGCAATCTTCTTGGTTCCAAAGACCCTTCCAAAAAGGGAAGCCCTCAATTCCTTCCAACTCCCCTTCAGCTTCCATTCACCGACAGAAAAATTCTTCCTATTGTCTAACCATATTTCCCCAGCTGCACTTTAAGTCTGTCCTGAATGAAGACACATTGGACAGAGTGAGAAACTTAGGGTTAGGGGAGTGGCCTGCTTGGGAGAGGGAGAGTTTGGGGTGGGCACGAGGGTGGACAGCTGGCTGGGGAAGGCAGAGTGCAGAAGAGCTGGTCGGCAAACTGCTCTTCTTCCTTGAGTTGGGGAAGTCTGGTGTAGCATGACTGTATTGATTCAATTATTCCCTACAATGTAATACTCTGCATCTGTGTGATAGCAACAAACAGAGTTGAAAGACATACAAAAATAAATGATCTGAAAGTTAATATGGCTGAATGGGCATCTATGAATTCGAGGAGAGAGGTTTTGTTTTACATTGTAAAATCAATAGCGTGCAGAACAATGTCCTAACTTCCCCTGGGGACCCCAGTGAAACCCGCCCGTATCGATTGCCATGCAAATTAATTGAATTCATGAAATCCACATTGCTGGGTAATTGATGCTTCTTATAATTACCTCCAAGTTATGAGCTTTTAGGGGATTGCATTGATTCCTGGGCCGTGGGGAGGGTGAGGGGAAGAGGCAGCTTCCTGAAACTGCAGCCAGTGGCTGTCCAGGTGGGCAGTGGGCAGGTGGAGGTTGACCAAGGCTTGAATCAGGGTCATTTGCCTGATGGTGGTGGGAGGCAGGGGCGGGTGGGATCCTCATCTCACAGTTTGCTCATCCAGCCCAGGTGAAGCTGGGAGTTTGAGGAGACATGAGCAGGTACTCCTGGACATTTGAAAGGCCCCCTGGTAGGAAGGCTTCCCTGGCATCTGGGGCTCCTTGAGGGTGCCAAGACTGTCTTCAGGGAGTAATAACAGCAAACATTTATTCAGCATTTATTATGTGCCAAGCATTGTTCCAAATACGTTGCAAACTCATTAAATCCTACAAACAACCATGAGGCATGTACTATTGTTCCCTTTGGTTGTTGAAGAAATGAGGCACAGAGAGTTAGGTAAGTTGTCCTAGTGACAGAGCTGGAAACCTTGACCACAGGCTAATCCATGAATGGGCTTCAGGAGCCAACCCCCTCATATCACATGAGCAGTCTGCACTTTGACGCATGTGTGTTTCTCAGAGGGAGAGTCTGTAACTTTTATCAGGTAATCACTGATTCAAATATCTGTTATATAAACATTGTTTCTATTAATTCCTTATATTTATACAGTGATGAATGTTTTAATTCATTCTTGCAGGACATACTGTGTGACCTTGGAAAAATCACCTAACTTATCTGAGCCTCTTCTACAACTGCAAAAGCCGGAGGTTGGGATGGTTGTTGTCCAGGTCTCTTTGCAGCTCTGGCATCTACGGGTGATGCAGGGCATTTGCTCATATGGACCTCCCAAGAAGCCCTGAGCCAAGGGGGATGCTGGGCAGATGAGGAACCATAGACACGTTGGGACTAGGTCTCTTAGGGGGAAGCTCATGCAACAGGTTAGTGGCAGGGACATGAGGACAGGTGAAGCCGGTCTCCAAGCCAGGTGTACCTCAGGCCTCTGTTTCTTGTCTTCCTAGAGACCCTCCCATGGGAGTCAGCCAAACCCAAGGAGGAGTCTGGTGCTGGGTCCTGGAGCCTGCACTGCCATCCCTCTACCTTGGAGCCACAGGGCAGCACAGCCAGGAAGAGCTCCCTTCTCTCTATTGCTGCTGTTTGGGAAAGTTGTCTCCTCTTCCTGGGCTCATTGCTTTTACTTGCAGAATGAGTTGACTTTGGGAGCTGTGGCTGGAGCCAGGGGCCAGGGATGTTCTTGGCCACAGGGTGGGCAGGCTGGGTTGGAACCCAGAGGGAAGCAAAGGCTCTTAACAAGTACTGTCTCCAGGAAAGTACTTGTGTAATGCCGGCCCTCTTCTTCCCTGGGCTTGGCAGAAGGTGAGGGCTGGCCATTCATGTCACCCTTCCCTCTTCCCAGGCTCGGCTTTGGAGCAGTTGAGGCTGAGCTCCAGAGAGACATGTCTCCTGATTGGTGGAGTCTGGCCTGGTGGAGGTGAAGCACCATGAATTACCATCCACACTAGGGACCTGGCCTGGTTCCATGTCCTTGCCAGGGCAGCCTGGGCTGGCCAGGTGGCACTCACAGCAAGGAGACTGTGGCTTAGAGTTCAAGGTGGAGGCTGGAGCACAGGGTAGGAAGCTTGGTTGTGCCTGTGGCTGGAGCTTCTACCTGGCTCTTGAGGACTTGGTGCAGGGTGAATGTGGCCATGAGCCCCTCATTGGGCACTAGGCAGTGGTTCTGGCTCTCCATCTCCTGGAAGCTTTGGGACTAGAAATGTACTGACTCCCTACAGGGCAGCTGCCTCTGCAGAGGGGAAGTTGTGTGGTATGCTCAGAGGTTTCTGGCACTGCTACAGCCTCCTTGCCAACCCCAGCCCATGGTGTGAAGGCTCCAGGCTCTGCTAGGGTGTCCTTCCTGGCAACAGCCACAGTCTTGAGAGGGAGGACCTGGGAGGCTTCCCTGACTCATCCAGGCCAACAGGTGGCCAGCTAATAGGCATAATTCTCCTGCCTTGATCTCCCTGTCCAGATCAGGGGTTCTTGAATGACCTTGATGCTGATCTTCTGGACCCAATGACTCTTTAGAGATGGTAGAGATCTTACAAGATTATCTAATTTAACCTCCTCACCAAAATGAGGTTCAAAGAGGTCATTTGGCTTGTCCAAGTTCTCATGGTCAGTAGGAATTAGAGCTGAATCTTCAGTCCAAGCCTTCTGACTTAAGTGCAGGACTCTTTCCATGACATCAAAATAATCTCCCAGCCACTAGCCAGCCATCTCTCTGGGCATCTCTGGTGTGGGGTGTTGGTGTGGGTGGAGGGAGGGTCCTCTCTATCCTCCTCCTAGAGAATCGTAAGACTTCACAGGGGTCAGGACATGGTAGAAGGCTCCTGCCTCGCTGGCTGTGTCTTTGCTCCTGGCTGCTGGACCCCCTGAACCCTGAAGAACACAGGCTTCTAGACCTAGCTAGGACACCTCTCTCCCTCTCTTCTGGGGAGAACAGCCCGTTTTCCCTCTGCACACACTAGGGCAGAGACGGTGCTACGGCAGCCTTAATAGGGGAAGTTGATGAATGCATCAGAAATGTGTATAATTAAGATTGAAAACTAATTGTGGGATGGTTGATGTTTCTCTCTCTCTCCTCTCTCCCTGCAGGAGAGGAATTCTCTCTGTATATACTGAGCCCCAAGGAAGGAATAGGGTGAGGTCTGGCATGGGGCCTGGAGTGAAGGAGAGCTGAAATCTTCCTTCCTTCCTTCCTTCTTCAACTCACTCACCCACCCATCCACCTACTTACCCATCTGTTCACCCATCCATCTATCCGCATCCACTTATCTACTCACACATCCATCCACACACTCAGGCACCCACTTATCTACCCATCTATCCATCTACTAACCAGTCCATCCATCCATCCCATAGGTTCTTCACCTACATGCAGTGGGCACTGATGTGGGAGGTGTACTAGTGGGTACAGAGGTGAACACTGGACGGAATGATGCAGCAAGTGATCAGGGAGGAAGACAGACTCTTGCCTCATGTCAGAATTTCCTGGGGTTTCCAACAGTCAGTTATTCAAGGAGAAGGCCTCAAAAAGAGCATAGACTTATTCTATAAAAGAAGTCAGGATCCCCATGTTGTTTACATTTTGTGCTACAAGAGTGTATTTAGTGTTGCAGGCCCTGGTGAAATTTTCATTGCCATAGTTATCCTAAGCATTTGAGGAGAGCCTACTAGGCCCATTCCCCTGAGACTTCATTTAACCCAACCCAACCCAACAACCAAATGGATCCAGTAGAGTTGCTAGCGCCGTTTCACAGATGAGGAGACTGAGGCTTAGGTAAGCAAAGCAAACATGCCTCAGTGAGCAACCAGGGTTGTCATGAGAATGGAATGAAGTCAAGGCCAAGTTTTAGTCTGCAAACAAGTTGGAAGATTGATATGAATCAGAAATAACCAGGGTGCTTTTAGAAATATTTCCTCTTAAGCTTCGGTACAAATTGATTCTGCCCTTAGGGATATGGGCCACGTGGGAGTCAGAAGGCAAAGAAAAGCAGACCCACAGCTAAACCTGTTCTCTTGGCTCCAGGGGCTGGGTGGTGCCACAGCTTAAGGGGCTCCGACTTTGTGTGATGCTGCATATTTATTTTATCATCTGATTTTCGTGTAACGAGGCTCTACCACACCGTGAGAGTATTACCCCACAAAGTAGGGTTTATTATCACCATTTCACAGATGAGAAACTGAGGCAAAGAGAGTGAAGGTCACTTGTGTAGGATAACCCAGATAATAAGTGGGAGACAGGAGTTTGAGACCAGGTGAGGTAAATGCCTCCTTGTGCTTACTTCTACCCTGACCTGCCTGCTGCCCTAGATGAGCCACATAGCTGTATCTATGGGGGTAGAGCCAGGAACAAGGATGACCAATTCCCTCTCACTGCCTTTCCTGGAAATACTGAACAACCCAGAACCTGCCCATGCCCTACACAGCCAGGCCTGCTCTGAGTGTCATTCGGAGCTCCAGCTATGGCAGGACCTGTTGATGCCCTGCCTGGGTCCCTATGTCTCATCTCCTCACCCCACTCACTGCTGTGGGCACTGACTGGGCCACCGCTGTGGGTTTGATGCCCTATTGGGGGTTGTGGCTCCAGATTTAGTCACAGGCCCCGGTATTAGCTATCCACTGTAACAAATGATCCCAGAACTCAGCAGTTTAACACAACAATAAACATGGATGATCTGATCCAGTTTCTGTGGATCAGGAACTTGAGAGTGGCTTAGCTAGATGTTTTTGGCATGAAGTCTTTTGTGAAGTTGCAGTCAAGATGTTGGCTGGGGCTCCCATCTCATCTGAAGGCTTGACTGTGGCTGTGGGATCCACTTCCAAGATGATTGACTTGCATGGCTCACAAGGCCTCCTGGCTGCTGGCAGGAAGCTGCTGTTCCTTGCCCTGTGGACCTCTCCATAGGACTGCTTGAGTGTCTCCAGGGCATGGCTTTTCCCTAGAATGAGTGATCTGAGAGAGACAGACAGAGCCCAAGAAGAAAAGGAGCACTGTCTTTTATGGCCTGGTTTCAGAAGTCACTCTGTAACTTCTAACACATTCTTTTTACTAGAAGTGAGTCACTAAGTCTGGCCACATTCAAGTGGAGGGGAATTAGGGTTTGTTTTTTGTTTGTTTGTTTTATTTTTTTTTTTGGAAGGAACACTAAAGAAAATTGTGGACACATTTTAAAACCAGCATACTCTCAACTGTTCTTTTTGGCTGGTAATGGTAAGCTACCCAGCTCTTAACCAGACACCAATCAGAGCTCCACCAAAGGTTCTTTGGGGATAGTTCCTCCTGACTGTGGCTCACAGCTGCTTCTGATCGTGGGAGGTGAGGGTGTCTTAAAACCCCCCTTCCAGTCCATTTCTAGCCACTTCCTTTTATTCTAGCTCACTGTTTTCTATTTATTCTTAATAACAATGATAGCTACCCTTAATTGAGTACCTGCCATGTGCCAGGCAGTATACAGATATTATCCATAATCCTTAAATTCTGCAAGGTGGGGAAAGGCAGGTTCAGAAAAGTTAGGTGATTTGTCCTGGGCCACACACTAGTCCCTGGCAGACCCAGGGTCACCCTGGGCTTCCCTGGCCTGCCTGCTGCGGGCTCCTGCTGCCCCCTACCTGATGAGCCTTCCCCTTGTCTCAGCCCTGCCCTGTCTTCAGGACCTGGCTCAGGCATGGCCTGTCGGGGAGGCTCCCTCTGATGGGCTCCTGGCTGGCAGTGAGTGATCTGGGAGTCCCTCCATGTCACCATCTTCTCGTTGTTTGTGTACACACCTTGTTTCCCTCACTAACCCGTGAGTGTCTTCAGGGTACATGTTTGTCAATGGTCCCTGTGTCCCCCAGAGTGCCCAGCAAAGCACCTGGCACATAGCAGTACTCAGGATTTGGGACACAAGTGATTGGAATGGTCCCCCCGGCCAGACAGCTGAGATTCATCGCCTTTAGCAGGTCTCAGGGAAAGGGTCAGAAACCCAGGCTCCCTGCACCAGTCTGCCGTGACTTTTTCCTGCCTGTGCCCTGCTGTCCAGAGCCAATGGCCCGGCCCCCCTCACTTCAACACGGTCATGTGGGCTGGCTACTCCTGGCTGCATTGCTGCTGCCCGCCCCGCTTCACCCCCCTTTCTCTTATCATAGCTCCCAACTCCCTGCTCTTTCTTCCCTAAATTGATTCTCAGCAAAATCTCTCTTTATTCTGACTTCTCAGACCTCTTTAGGTTTGTTCCTGGAATCTTTTGTCCCTCTCCCTCCCCCAGCTCATCCGGGTCACTCTTCTTGGCCTCTGTCCCCACCCGCCCCTCCCCGGATGGTAGGACCTGTTGCTGCTCTCCTGCCTGTGTCCCCACCCCCTGCCATGCCCCTCCCTGTGCCCATCTCCCCACGCCCATCTCCTTGGCTCTCGTCTCCAAGGTTACGTAGCGAGTTTGCCTATCTCTGCTCCCTCTTCTCGCCTCCCATGTCTGAGTGGTTCCTCCAGGGAGGGTTGTGGGGGGTCCTGGGGGTGGGCAGTGGGGAAAGATAGTCTTCCGCCTTCCCCCTTTTCCCTGGCCCTGTAACTGCTGGTCCATCCTTTGTCCCTCTCTCCTCCCCTCCCTGCTTTGTAACCTTCTCTCGGTTTTTCTGCTTGTCTCTTTTTCTCCTCTTGTCTCTTTTCCCCATCTTTCTTTTTTCTCTCCTCTCTCTCTCAATTTCCACCTCTCTCTGTTTCTGAGTCTCTCTCTCTGACATGCTCGCTATCATTCTGTCTTTGCCCTCTTCCTCTCTGAATTCTTGTTTCACACTCACAATAAAGAATTATCCCAGCTCCAGTTCCCTGGGTGGGCCCTCATCAACATCCCATCCCGGTCTCTTTAGGTGTTGGTGCCAAACGGTTTTGCAGGAGGACATTGAAAGTCTGAAGCCCAGTGCGGGGCTGAGTTCTATTTAGGGCCGGTCATGAAGTGCTTTGGGAAGGGGAGAGGTATGCAAGCATGTGTACCCCACTTTCCAAATATATGCCAGGCCAAAGGCAGACTGGAACCCCACCCACCTTCTGTGTGGCCAGGCAAGCCTGCGCAGGCAGAGGCTGAGGCTGAGAGACACCCCCAGGTGTCAGGGAGAATGCCGTCGGCCCACCGGAGGCTCCTGCGGGCTGTCTGTGCTTGCAGTCTACAGGTGGACCTATTTCCGTCACACCAGACAATGCTCACAAAGAGCCCAGCCCAGAACCTGGCATACAGCAGGTGCTCAGTAATTGCGTGTCTCCTTTCTGATTGGGGTCAGAGGGAGGTGCACAGGGCTTCTGGCCTCCTTGTCAGACATGATGCACCATTCTGGAATAAATAAACCTTTTTTTCCAAGAACCTTTTGAGGGACTTTTCCAGAAAAATTAAGAGAAGAATTTTTTTTCCTTTCAGAAATGTTCATTCCCCTCTGCTGAAATTTTCCATTTTTCTGACTTTCATATCTGTACCTAAACATAGTAAATGGCTTCCATATTTTAACATGATCATTACATCTTAATGCATCTTTATGTTCCTAAAGTAATAGTGATCTTATAAAAGACCCTAGAAACAAGACTGTGCATACATTTGGACCCCCTCACATTTTCCCCTTGGCCTCAATGTTTCTGCCCCTCCCCCCACTCCCCCTGCTTTATGTCTCTAGAGCCCTGGGAGATCAGGCTGACATGACAGGTACTAGAGTCTCCTAAATATGGGAGTAAGAAGGTGGTTCTCAGCTCAGACCCAGCCCAGTCAGGCCCCATCTGTCCACCCAGGATGGTCAGGTCCAACCAGGCCCAGCCAGACCTTGTCAGATCCAGTTAGGCTGATGGAAGCTTCAGCTCTTAGTGTCTTTCCTGGCCCTGTAGAGGGATTCTTTTTGGCTTCTTCCCAAATTCTCAGGACAAGGTAAGGAATCAGGGTCAGGGATGGGTTCCTAGCTCAGGTCCCTACAGGAATAGGAGGACAATCTGTACTACTCTGCCATTCTCCCCTCCCCTACAAATATTTGGGAACATATCTTTACTGTGCGCTAGGTCTAGGCCATCCTCCAGCCCCTAGGAATGCTTCTTATCTTCTCTGTTGATCTGTTACAAGTGCCTTTTCAAAAATGGATGTATAACTCACCTCTTCCTGGAAGCCTTCCCTGATTAACTCCATGCATCCATTCAACATGCATTTATGGAGTGTCTGCCACATACCCTGGACTATAATGGACACAGGGAATACCTTAGTGAACAAGATAGATAAAGTTCCTGCCCCTATGAAGCTTGCATGGGAGAGACAGGGAGTAAACAGAAAAACAGCTACCATGGGTGACAAATAGGGGATCTTACCCTAGCTAGAGGGTCAGGAAAAGGCCCAGCTCACTCTCAAAGGAAAAAGACCTTGTCTTGAGAGGGAAGTTCTAGTCCATCTTGGCCACAAACTAGTGGTGTGACCTTGGGCAAGTCACCTATCTCTGAGCTTATTTTCCTCAACTGTGAAAGAAAGGGTCCCTTTCTGCTCTAGAATTACGTGTTTACTTAAAAGCAAATTTACTTTCAGACAGGTTTATAAACAAATTATTTCTTGAGACTTTGGCATTGTAGAAAAATGTGAAATTCTAATTACGCATAAAGAAAAAATAATAATCACAATGAAACAGTCAACCTAACAAAATCATTCCCATCACCCACAATTCCACCTCTCAGAGACAACTGCTCCTGGCATCTTGGGAATCTCAGCTCATGCGGAAGCAGGTAGCAAACTGTCTGCTGAGGTCCCTGGAGGTGTGCCCTCTCCCACTCACCCACCTCCTTTGTCTCTGCTCTGCCTCCTTGCACACATCGCGGCATGGAGTGGGGGACCCCAGCCAGCCCTGGGCCCTTTGGGGCAATGGCCCACAGTTTTTTCCCAAAGGCATAAGGCGTCTCTTTGGCTGCAGGGCTGCTCTGACATCTTGGGCCACATTTGATGGACAGTCCGCCCTGCCAGAGCTTGCTGGGTAGACCCTCTCCAGGCTCAGAGACGCTGTAGCAACGGAGAATGGGCAGCTGGAGCACCTGGGGCCCTGTCCACCCAACCGGGCAGGTGGGGATGCAGTGCAGCGTGTGGACAAAAGATGGCAGCACTGCACTACCTCAGGCCCGAGCTACAGCGGGCAGCAGGAGGGTTCCGCCAGGCAGGTGTATGTGCCAGGGTGTATGCCTCATAAGCAACCCCACCTGTGTCCTCCTCTTAGGACCCCCACCCTCTGCCCACCTCCATTTCATAATAACTCAGTGATACCCACCATTTATCAGGCGTGGACACCATGCTTGGCACTATGCTTGCCTTCCAAGGAACGCTTTGAGGTACCACCTTTTACAGGTGGGGAGCTGGGGCTTGGAAAGATGGAGTATCTTACTCAAGGCCACACAGTAGAGCTAGGATCCAACCAGGTGTCCCAGTCCTGGATTCTCTTCCTTCAGACCCCTTGGCCCCTACTCTGACAAGCCAGGCTGTTTTCTTCTGTTTGCACACCAGTCAGAGCCCTGAGACCCCTTCTCTGGGCTTCTGCTCCTGCTGTAAACCTTGGGTGCTGTTGGTGTAGCTGCTAAGCTCCTGAGTGTGTGGGGGCAGAGGCGGGTCGGCGCCTCGGCTGCCCTTGGGTGTGTGTCCTCCATGTGGGGCAGGAGGGGGATGGAATAACTCACAGGAGGCTGGTGCCCAGTCCTGCCTGGTGCTCTCCCACCCCCTGGCTAGTGCTGACTTGTTAGGCTGAGGGAGCTGACACCCTAACAGCGCCTGTCAGACTCCAATGAGTTGATGATGTGGAAACTGGTTATTAAGTGTAATAACAGTGGTTTGGTTTTTCCACAGTTCTGCCTGTAAGTGCCTAAGTGACAGCTGGCTTGTGCCATGGTGCTGCATGCTAAGTGGCCTGAGGATGGGGTACAGGGGAGGGTGTGAGGGGCTCTTCTAAGGTTCTGGTTGGAGGGAGGCCAGGAGGTGCTGTTGCCGGTGCCTCTTCTGTGGGTGAGGCCTTTCAGCCCATATGGGCCCTGGCTTCTTGGCCTGGGTCTGGGCTGGATGGAATGTATGGATTCGGGACAGCAAACTAGGTGGTGATGTGTCCCCAAACCTAATGGGTCCTCATATACACAGTCCCCCTCACTGACCTTGGCCCTGGATCAACAAGAACTGGATTGGAAATCTGGAAACTTGGAGTTTAAGCTTTGTCCCTCGTTGCTTGTAACCTTAGGGACATGGTTTAACTCTTCCAGTTGCCCAGTCTTCACAATGAAGGGTTTGAACAGGGTTAATTTATTCATTTAACTACAAGTGTCAAACCAATGAACAATGGATAGAAACTTTCTGTTAGATGAATGGATAAAGAAAACATAGTAAATACATACAGTGGAATATTATTTAGCCTTGAAAAAGAGGGAAATCCTGTCATTTGCAACAACACAATGGAGGACATTATGCTAAGTGAAATATGCTAAGTGAAATAATATGCTAAGTGAAATAAGCCAGTCACATGTATATGATGTATCAGAAATTGATTCCATGTATATGACATATCAGAAATTGTCAAACTAATAGCAGCAGAGAAAAGAGTTGGCTGCACCAACAGCACCCAGGGCTTGGAGCAAATTGTCAGGGGCTAGGGGAAGAGGCAAATGGGGAATTGTTATTCCATGCATATAGAGTTTCGGTTCTGCGGGGTGAATAAGTTCTAGAGATCTGCTGTACAACATAGTGCTTGTAATTAAGAATCTGGTATTGTGTACTTCAGAATTCCTTAAGATCTCATGTTAAGTGTTTTTACCACACACACACACACACACACACACACTCAAAGGAATATGAGAAACTTTGGGAAGTGTTGGATATGCATATTACCTTGATTGTGGCGATGGTATCATGGGTGTTTGCATATGTCCAACTTCACCAAACTGTACACATTAAATATGTACAGTTATTTGTATATCAACTATACCTCAACAAAGCTGTTAAAGGAAACTTGCTCTTAGACATATTTTGTTTGGCCTATACAGTGCTTTAAATTTAAGCACCCACATTTAATATTCTAGAATTTCTGATAGAGAGCCACACTTCTGACCTTCTTTCAAAACTGTAAGAATTGGTAACACTGGGCCTGCATGTCCACATGGCAACAATTGGCTGCAATCTTTCTCCCCTCACACGGGGTTTACACTCTCCTAACTTGCCACGGTCCCCACCACTCCCTATTGTATCCCCCACACAGGGGCTGAGTGCCAATGGCTATTGACTTATTGCACCTGATCCTCCTCACTCACCTGCATTCAGTGCCTGGCCCTGCATCGGATAGTCACTGAGGGCCCATTTTGTCCATGGCATCATGCTCTTTACATCAGAAATTATGATGATAAAGAGCTTAGAAGAGGGCACTGGGACCTGGGTATAATGAGATCATAGACATCTCCAACATCATTTTCAGCTGAGAATTCTAGAGTTCTGTAATGTAAGAAGTCTCTGCCCCTCCCTCCCTGAACTGTAAAAATGAACATTTTCACTCAGGGTGATCTCCATCTCCATGCTCAGGTCGGGAAGGGAGATGGTTCCCTTCCCACTGTCCGCATGCCTCATCCTGACCCTACAAATAATTTAACCCCCTGGATGTGTGGGTGGGGAGCTCTCATAAGCTAGCCATACACTTTCTCTCTCTCTCTCTCTCTCTCTCTGTTAGTTTCCTCATCTGGAAAAAACACCACTAGGTTGTTGAAAAATTTGGAGTTCGGGGCTTGAGTTTTCCAGGCTACATACGCTATGACTGACCTCGGACAAGTCATTTCACCTCTCTGAGTCTCCTCATCTGCAACATGGGAATAAATACTATCATTCCTGTATAAGAAAATGTGTTCGGGAAATGGGAAAGTACTATACAAATGAACAATTGTTATTAATTTTATACATAGCAGAAGATATTTTCTCCTCCTTTGTATCAAGGGGATGGCAGAAGAATAAAGTGAAGTGATAGGCATGTCACTGCCTTGGAAGGGAAATTGTTCCAGTCCACAAGGGATTCTTGTATTGTGATTATTAATATAGTTCACCAAATGGTCTTGGCTGGGAGCCTGAAGGTGTAGCAGCTGCAGGGACTTGAAGCTCTCCACCGCTGTGGCTCCTGCCTGCCTGCCTTCTCAAGACAGGTTTTCCCCTTCTCTAGGCTGGCGTTCCTCTGTCTCCCAGAATCCAGCTCTGATCGTCCTTTTCCCACAAGTTCTCCTGGATGATCCCCGCTCTTCCCGCACCCTATGCCGCCCTTACTTTCTGGGTGCAGATGTCAAGGACTATTGAGTGCCATCCTGGAGGGGTTTTAATGATCACCTCATGATTCTGCTGGTGGACATACTATTTTTTTTGAGCCCCCATCATGTGCCACGTACTGAATTGGTGTGAAAGAGATGAATAAGACATATGAAGCTCTTGATCTTGTGGAGATGACAGTGGGGAGGAGACAGAGATAACACACAAGGGAACAAGTGAGTACAAATGCAGAGATAATTAAGACCGTGGTAAGTCCCATAAAGAAAATAAAAGAGAGACGATGTGCTCCAGAGTGCTTGGGTGGTGGGGAGTGGTGGTAACAGAGGGTGGTTATCTCTTCTTGGAGGAGCTGACGTGAGCTGAGATGTGAAAGATGGAAAGGAGCAGCCATGGGGAAATGGAAGGAGATGCATTCCAGGTAGAGGGAATGAGGTTGGCTTGTCCAGGCTTCTTAATTAACCGATGAAGACAGAGCAGGGAAGTGTCTTGCACGAGGCTGCACAGCTAGTCATCAGCAGCAGAGCAGGACTAAAATCCTGTTCTCTGGGCATCCAGGCCCGTGGTATGCTAATGCAACCCTTATTTCTTCTTTGCAAGCAGGGCCTCTATGGAGCTCCTCACCTGTCAGTCAGCTTTCCACACCCTAGCCAGGGTCCTCCCTGTGCCCCACCCTCTGTCCAGGGTAGCTTCAAGCTTGCTCTTCCCCTGCTCTCCAGAGGTAAATGGGACAACACAGGAGCAGAGAGAAAGCAGAGTGGTTGAGTGGTTTCCGCCATTCACTGCTAAGCACAATAAACCCAGTGGAATCCCAGCCTTAAAATGGCCTTGTTTAATTAATGCTAAATGACTGTGGGACCCGTATGGATTTATACATTAGATCCACATTAACACCAAATCGTTTGATCACGAATAACTGTTAAAATAATGAACACAGGCGCTTTACAACTAGATTAGAAAGATGGGACTCAGCCTCCTGCCCAGCCTGGGGGGTCAAAGCACCCTTCCCAGGATTCTGCCTCCTTTTCCTCCCTCTTGTTTGATAAGCTGTGATTTCCAAAGGGCATTTATTGAGCTGTCCCCATGCCCAGCGCTGTGTGATGGGGGTGGGATGGGGCACAAAACTTCCCCTCTGGAGCTTGCAGTGTCGGTGAGGAGGTGAGCTGTACACTTGAAAATGAAGCATATTACTAGAGAAGTGTGTTCTGGGAATTTACAAATATCTCATTTAATCCCCTCCATATTGGGAGGTAGGTACTATAATCAGGTCTCAATTGGCAGATGAAAGACCTATGTTTGTTACAGATGAGGGCCTTGCCCCAGGCCACCCACTTAGAGGAGGCATAACTGGAAACAAAATCTTCACTTAGCCTCCCCACCCCTTGTTAATTCCACCTGCATAGCCTTGCTTCCTAAGACAATGGACTAGAGAGCGTGGTCCTCGCCCTTGGGTAGACCTCTGGCTTTTTTGCCTGGGGCAGGTGGGGAGGGCGGGTGGAGGAGGAGGGCTTTGAAGGGTGCCTGTAGGCATGTGGTAGGAGTAGAGGGTGGTGGATGGAAAGAGGAAAGGGGGTTTCTTTCATCCCCCTCCCTCACGCAGCCCCCTCTGTCCCTCTTAATGTCTGTGCTCAAACTTTGTCCCCACAGAGTATCCAAGTCCTTCTGAGTGGCTTCTCTGACACTCTTTCCTGAGAATCAGGTTATTCAGTTTGGCTCGTGGGAGAAGGATGCGCCCCAGCACCAGTGAGCGTGGTGCGTGCGCAGTCTCATGCCCACACTGCCAGCCCTGCTGTTTACTCCATCACGCATGCATCCCGGGCTTCAGCAGGAGCAGGCAGCAGTGGGTGAAGGATGGCGAGCCTCGCAGGAAGGAGGCAGGATCAACCCCTTGCTGGGCATTTCCGCAGAGGGAGGAGTGGAGCCCAGCTGCCCCGCTCATTTCTCTGGCTTCTCCAGTCTCTAGAAACCTCACTTCCTACTGTTTCACCTGCCATGATTTTCCCCACAGGGGTCCTACCTGGACAAAGATGTTAGGAATGTCCCTGGGAAGGTTTGACAGCGGTCCATAGGGAGCTGTTGGAGCCAACTGGAAATGCTGCCCGGTTGGGGAAGGCAGAGCAAAGATTGCCACCCCTGTCCCGAAGTTTTGGAAATGAGGTTATGGTTTGGAGGACACACAGGCCCGGTCCTGGGGTTTTGAGCTCCAGGAGATGCTTGATAATCTGTCAAGTTTATTCCTGCCTCTATCCTTTGGCACAAGCTTTTCCATTTTTTTGCAGCTTGGTTAGGCTGTTATTTATCCCTTAAGGCCCACATCAGTCACCTCCTCCAAGAAGCCTCCATACTTCACTCTAAAGAATCAATCCCTTTTCTGCGTCTTTCTGGCACTTTGTCCTAGCAGAGCACAAATCTTGTGTTGCCTTCATACACACCTGCCTTCATACACACCTGCTTTCATGCACACCCACCTTCATGCACACCTGCCTTCATGCACACCCACCTTCATATACACCTGCCTTCATACACACCCACCTTCATGCACACCTGCCTTCATGCACACCCGCATTCATACACACCCACATTCATACACACCTGCCTTCATACACACCTGTATTCATGCACACCTGCCTTCGTGCACACCTGCCTTCATGCACACCTGCCTTCTCCACCTGCCTTTTGGGTGGCTGTGTGTTGCTGCTCACCCAGATGGAGAGGAAGGACATCTCTTCTGGAGTCTCTCTGACCAGAGATCCCTGCCTGTGCCAGTTCTGGCAAAGCCCAGACATTACCATTTGGGTGAAAAGGTGCTGGGAAAGAAAGAAGAAAAACTAGGGACTAGGAAGATTTTTCCATTCAGTAACTCATGAACTGTTAGGTACGTGTGTGTGTGTGTGTGTGTGTGTGTGTGTGTGTGTGTGTGTGTGTCTTGGACTCAGAAAGCCCTGGGGGCCTCCAAGGGGCATTGGGTTGGCATTTCCATGGGTTCACAGTCTGGGCTTTGTCCTCTTGGCTGGGCTGACCTGCCTGGCCACCTGCCAAATCCAGCTGCCTCCAGCAGGTGCCAGAGGAGCTGAGAGGACCAGGCCAGTTGGCAGGCGAGAGGTGACCCTGTTTAACCAACCACAGCTTGAACAAATGGGTACAATATTTTTGGTTCTTTTTCCCTCAGCCGGGGCATAAATCAGTTCTCTGGAGTGGGATCGGATCAATGTTTTGTAATTGGATTCCAAAAATGGAGATGAGCCCCGGGGAGCCTGAGGACTGACCACCTTCATAGGGGCTTGGCCCTGGTGGACCTGAGAGTGACGTGACCACCACAGGTGACCATGCTGCCTCCAGCACAGTGCGGCTTGTTTCAGTCTGCCTCTGCTTAGCTTAATTTAGAACCTAGGCTGAACATTTTAGAATTGATTCCCTAGGAAACAGGACCATTGTAGGATAAGACTAGATTATGGAGGGTCTGGGTACACAGTTTAGATTTACTTAAGGCAAATACCTGACATGCGTATCACGATTGTCCTCTTTGCTGCTATAGGCTGCATGTTTATGTCCCCTCACTCTTCCTATGTTGAAATCCAGACCTTCAAGGTGATGGTAGTAGAGGGTGGGGACTTGGGGAGGCAATTAGGTCATGAGGGTGGAGCCCTTATGAATGGGATTAGTGCCCTTAGAAAAGAGGCCCTAGAGAACTTCCTTGCCCCTTCCACCATGTGAAGTCACAGCAAGAAAGCACTGTCTGTGAACCGGGAAGTGAGCCCTCACCTGACACCAAATCTACATGTGCTATGATCTAGGACTTCCCAGCCTCTGGAACTGTGGGAAATAACCATTGTTTAAGTCATCTAGTAGTCTGTGTTAGTTTGTTATAGCAGTTACATGGTTTGTTTTGAGACAGGGTCTCTGTTGCCCAGGCTGGAGTGCAGTGGTGCAGTCTCAGCTCACTGCACCCTCCACCTCCTGGGTTCAAGCAATTCTTCTGCCTCAACTTCCTGAGTAGCTGGGAGTATAGGTGTGTGCCACCACATCCGGCTAACTTTTGTATTTTTAGTAGAGACAGGGTTTCACCATGTTGGCCAGGCTGGTCTTGAACTCCTGACCTCAAGTGATCCACCTGCCTCAGCTTCCCAAAGTGCTGGAATTACAGGTGTGAGCCACCGTACATGGTCGATACCTTTGTACAGTGAATCTGTACTTGTCCTCAGAGGCCTATTTCAACCCAGGGTTTGAGATAGCTGTTATAACTGCCTGGAGTTGGCACTTGAAGGAAACCTCTGGGTCCAGGTTTCTCACCATCCTTATAGAGAAACTGAGGTGAAGAGAGATGTGTGTCCACCCCAGGGCTATCCTTAATTTAATAGGCAGATGGGACACTAGTAAATCCTTGGGCAGGGGAGGGCCATGACAGAAGCAAGGAGAATAATTTGGCAACATGGAGCCACGTGTGCTGGAGGGAAAAGTGGGAAGCTGAGGGCAGGCTGGGACTAGGCTGAGGCAGGGAAAATTTAAAGAAGCATCACTGTCAGGGACTGATCCTGAATTTACAAGATCCTGAGGGTGATGATTCCTTACATTTTGCCCCCTAGGTGCCGTACTTTCCTCACCCTAGTCCTGGCCCTGGCTGAAAGACCAATTAGACGCTAACTTTTGCTGAATTCAGGCATCAAATGGAGCAGTGACAGCAGAAACACAGGAAACTGGTCAGCGCTGACGGGTTGTGCAGGAAGAGTCATCAGGACTTGGTGACATACTGGCCATCAAGGATAAGGGCAAGGGACAGCTTTGAGCCATGAGGTGACCATGAGGATGGTGACACCCTGACAGGAACAAGGTTAGGGCTTATCACTTGGGTTATGATTTTGGCTTTTGGTTGAGAGTGCAATGTTGGCCTATTCTTACTTTTTCATTAAATATTTTTTATTGGAGTCTAACATATATATAGAAAAGTGTACAGATTGTACAATTGCACATTTCTGATTTCCAGAAGGTAAACTGAGTCACATAACTTCTATCCAGATGCAAAAACAGAACATCACTAGAATCTCCTATTATGTCCCTTCTAGTCACTACCCCACCTCCCAAGGGTAACTGCTGTCCTGCCTTTTAACATCATAAATTAGTTCTGCACTTTGTATAAATAGAATCTTATAGTATATAAGGCCAGGCACAATGGCTCATGCTTGTAATCCCAGCACTTTGGGAGGCTGAGGCAGGAGGATGGCTCAAACCCAGGAGTTTGAGACCAACCTGAGCAACATGATGAAATTTGTCTCTACAAAATAATGATAATAAAAAAAATAGCTGGACATGTTGGGGCATCCCTGTAGTCCCAGCTACTTGGGAGGCTGAGGTGGGAGGATTGCTTGAGCCTGGGGAGGTAGAGGCTGCAGTGAGCCGAGATTGAGCCACTGCATTCCAGCTGGGTAACAGAGTGAGACCCTGCCTCAAAAAAAAAAAAAAAAAGAAGAAGAAAGAATCTGACAGTATATATTCTTTTGCATCTGGTAAATTTCACTCAGAGATTCATTCATATTCTTGTAATTGTAGATTGTTCATTGTCTTTGCTGTATAACATTCTATTGTGTGAAAAACTACCATGTAGCTACTCATTCAACCATTGATAGGCCTTTGAGTATTTTCCAGTTTGGGGCTATTATGAATAGTGGTGCTCTGTAAGTTATTGTCCTTTTGGGTTTTTTTTTTTTTTTTTTTTTGAGACAGGGTCTTGCTTTGTCACTCAAGTTGGAGTGCAGTGGCGTGATCTCGGCTCATTGCAACCTCCACCTCCCAGGTTCAAGCAATCCTCCCACCTCAGCCCCCTGAGTAGCTGTGACCATAGGCACTCCCCACCACGCCCGGATAATTTTTGTGTTTTTAGTAGAGATGGGGTTTCCTCATGTTGCCCAGGCTAGTCTTGAACTCTTAGGTCAAGCAATCCACCAGCCTTGGCATCCCAAAATGCTGGGATTACCGGTGTGAGCCACCGTACCTGTCCTGTCCTTATCTTTTGTAACAACATGTCTGCATTTCTGTTGAATATATATATAGGAATGGAATTGCTGGGTCCTGGGAATGTGTGTGCCCAGCTTTAGCATGTGCTGTGCTGGCTGACTCCTGAGTGTCATGAGGTATATTAGAGCCGGACATCCAAGAAGGAGAGGCCAAGCTGGGCTTAGAGGCACAAGAGCTTCACTGAGGGAAGGATATCTAAAAAGGACAAAGGGAACGGGGCAGGAGAAAGCAGGGATAGCCTCAGACCTCAACACTGGTCTGACCCTGAGAAAGGACAAAGGAAGAAAGGAGAATGGGATAGGAAGAATCTCAGGCCCAGTGCAGGTCTCAGAAGGTGTTGGCCAGGCTGATGGGGAGTGTCAAGACAAAGTTGCCACTAGAAGAGGCCTGAACTAGTACCAGCCGTGCTTAGTCCTTGGCTGAGAGCAGCCTGACGGAAGCGTGGCCTTGGCACTAACGTGGTGGTGGATCTAGAAGAATGATAACCACGCTCCCTGCAGCAGGAAATCTCAGCTGTGCACGTGCATGACTGCCATGTGAGAACTGTGAACTCTGTGGGAGATTGACAGAGTACAATGAAGTGTGAGGGTCTGGGATTTTGAATCAACCAGGCTGGGGTCAAGTCTCAGATCAATCATTTGTTAGCTGTGTGATCTCCACTGGTTGCCTAACTCTTCTGAGCCTCAGTCTCCAAGTCAGTATAATGGAATTAATAATGACTACCTCATATGATTGTAAGAATCAAATGAAATAGTACAACTAAAGCACTCAATGTATAATAATAAACAGTAGGACTTCATTATTCATTCAGCACATTTATTGAGCACCTTATTTCATTGAGTTCTTTGCTCAAATGTCACTTTTATAAGGAACAGTTCTAGGCTTGGAGGATGCTGCAGTGAGCAAAACTGAGTGTACATTCTAGTAGAGGAAGATAGACAATAAACAGACAAGCAAAATCTAAAATGTTCCGGAGAATTATAACTGTGACGGAGAAAAACCAGGAAAAGAGGGAAGGTTCTATCCTATGTTACTAGAGTGATTAATGAAGACTCCTTAAAAAGGTGACATCTGAGCAGAGAACTCAATGAAATAAGAGACCAAGCCATTCAGATGAATGGAGTATGCATTCCAGGCAGAGGAAACTGCAAGTGCTGAAGCCCTGGGGTCAAAGTATGCTTGCCCTGTTAGAGGAACAGCGCAGAAGCTGGTGGGCTGCAGCAGAGAGAGGGAAGCAGAGGGTGGCTGGAGATGAGGTTGGAGCTGTAGTGGGACCAGGAATTGCAGACTCTTGTGGGTTAGAGTATAGACATTGGATTTACACTGAGCAAGAGGAGAAGTCAGTGTAGCTTATGTAGGGTTTCCATTTCTATACATTGTTCTAACACATGTGTTATCTGACTTAATTTTTCATGCTAATGTTATGGGCATAAAGTAGGATTTCCTTGTTTTAATTTGGATTTCTCTTATGAAGTGAGGCCAAATAGCTCCTTATAAAAGTTTTATTCATTTGGGTTTCTGCTTCCACGGATTGCCTATTCATCTCTTTTGCCTACTTTTCTGTAGGATTTCCCGTCTTGTTGATTTGTGTTTCTTGCATGTTATATATTGTAATCCTTAATGATTTTAGACTTTGAAATATTTTCTATCAGTTGTCACTTGTTTGTTAATTGTGTCCATAGTATCTGTAGTAGGTTAAATAGTGTCTCCCAAGAATTCATGTCCACCTGGAACCTCAGAATGTGACCTAATTTGTAAATAGGGTCCTTGCAAATGTAACTAATTAAGGATCTCAAGATGATGTCCTCCTAGATGTAGGGTGGACCCTAAATCCCATGACTGGTGTCCATATAAGAGGAGGAGAAAACGCAGAGAGACAAACAAGAAGGACATGTGAAGACGGTGGCAGAGATTGAAGTTATGATGCCATAAGCCAGGGAATGCCTTGGGCCCTCAGAAGCTGAAAGAGGCAAGGAAGGATTCCTTCTTGGATGCTTCAGGGGGAGCATGGACCTGCTGACACTTCGATTTCAGTCTTCTAGCCTCCAGAATTGTGAGAGGATACATTTCTGTTGTTCTAAGCCACCCAGTTTGTGGTACTTTGATATGGCAGCCCTAGAAAATGAATACAGGCTTTGTTACTGGGAAGTGGGTGCTGCTGTAATACATACTTTTGAATTTCATGGTAGAAAAAGCCTGGTAGCATTGAAGAAGAGATTGTTGCTAGAAATATGGATGTTAAAAGCAATTCTAGTGAGGGCTCAGATGGAAGTGATGAGAATGGTTGAGAAAGCTTCTATAATCTTAGAGAATATATATAATCATATATATAGAAAGAATGTTGCTAGAAATAGGAACATTAAAGGTACTTCTGGTGAGACCGTAGAAAGAAATGAGGAACATATTACTGGAAACTGAGCAAAGGTGATTCTTATAAGGCGTCAGAGAACTTGGCTGCTGTTGGGCAAAAAGCAGAATTCAAGTTGGATGTTTAGCTGAGGAGATTTCTAAGCAAAATATGGAGGGTGCAGCCTAGTTTCTCCTTATTGCTTACAGTGAAGTGCAAGAGGAAAGAGATAAATTGAGGAAGGAATTGTTAAGCACAAAGGAACCAGTACTTTATGATTTGGGAGGTTCTTGGTTTCTCTGTTGAGAAAGCACACTGTGGAGAGAGCTCCAAAGCTGTGGCTGGACAACATTTTGCAAAGAGATTAGGTGTGTGACTCATGATTCCAATCAGCCATCACAGTAGAAGCCAGGAATAGAGGTGGGGTTAATCAGGAAGTATCTATGGAGAATGCTTCGGTCTAATGACGTGTATCCCCTTGGCATACACAGGAGACCCACAAAATTTTTGAGAATATTATACCAATAGGAACATGGCCAGCCTGGACTGACAGAGACTATGAAATGAAGAAAAGCTATCAGACTTCTGGGATTCTATAGACAGGAAACTAGTTGATAGAGCTGCTCAGCTGTAAACATATGCTGCTGTTAAAGGAAAAGGTGAATGACTGAGGACAGACTCACAGATGTGGAGTTAGAGGCCAGAGAGGCAGGCACAGAGGCAGGAGCTGTCACTGCAGGCCCAGATAACAACATAGAGGATTATCCTCAGACCTTGAACCTATTGACATTTTTGCTGCTGGGTTTTGGACTTGGCTGGGAATGGTGACCCCTTTATTTCTTTCAATTCCTCCCTTTTGGGATGGGAATATCCATGCCATGCCTGGATTTTATTTTGGAAGCAGATAACTTATTTTCTAGTTTCACAGGTCCACAGATGGAAGGGAATTTTTCCCCCGGGATGGATCATATTCAGAGTCTCACCCATACCTGATTTAGATAATTTGGTTTATGAGATTTGAGACTCATTCAGTTGATAATATTTAAATGCCATTTTAGACTTGGAATTGTTGCTTGATTGGGTTAAGAATTTTGTGAATGTTGGGATGAGGTGAATGTGTTTTGCACATGGAAAGGATGTAAACTTTGAGGGGCCAGAGGGCTGATTGTAGTGGGTTGAGTGCTGTCTCCCAGTAACTTATGTTCACTTGGAACCACAGAATATGGCCTTATTTGGAAATATGGTTTGCAGATGTGATTAGTAAAGGATCCTAATATAGTTTGGATGTTTGTCCCCTCCAAGTCTCATGTCGAAATTTGATCCCTAATTTTGGAGGTAGGGCCTGATGGGAGGTGTTTTGGTCGTGGGGGAAGATCCCTCGCAAATGGCTTAGTGCCCTTCCTGAGGTAATGAGTGAGTTCTTGCTCTTAGTTCATGTGAAAGCTGGTTGTTTAAAAGAGCCTGGCATCTTCTTGCTCCTGCTCTGGCCATGTGGCACACCTGCTCCCCCTTCACCTTCTGCCATGACTGTAAGCTCCCTGAGGCCTCACTAGAAGCTGAGCAGATGCTGGTGCCATGCTTATACAGCCTGCAGAATGATGAGCCAGATAAACCCCTTTTCCTTATAAATTACCCACTCTTGGTATTGCTTAATAGCAATGCAAAACAGATCAAACCATATCCATAACATGGTGATATGGTTTGGCTGTGTCCCCACCCAAATCTCATCTTGAATTGTAGCTCCCATAATTCCCACATGTTATGGGAGGGACCCAGTGGGAGATAATTGAATCATGGGGGCAGTTTCCCCCATACTGTTCTTGTGGCAGTGAATAAGTCTTTACAAGATCTGATGGTTTTATAACGGGAAACCCCTTTCACTTGGTTCTCATTTCTCTCTTGCCTGCCACCATGTAAGACATGCCTTTTGGCTTCTGCCGTGATTGTGAGGCCTCCCCAACCATGTGGAACAATGAGTCCATTAAACCTCTTTTTCTTTATAAATTACCCAGTCTCGGGCATATCTTTATCAGCAGCACGAAAACAGAATAATATACATGGATCCCAAGATGAAATCAGGTGGACCCTAAATCAAATCCTGGTATCCTTATAGGAAGAGAAGAGGACAGAAAGAGAACACAAAGAAAAGAAGGCCGTGTAAAGATGAAGGCAGAAATTGAAGTTATGCTGCCTGTTAGGGGTTGAATATCCCTCCATAGGTATTTTGAAGTCCTAACCCCTGGTACCTTTGAATGTGACTTTACTTGGGAATGTAGATGGTCTTTGTAGATGTAATCAAGTTAAAATGTTGTCTTTAAGGTGGGCCCTAATCCAATATGACTGATGTCCTTAAAGAAGGGCAGAGGCACAGGGAGAAGAGAGCCATGCAGTGATGGAGGCAGAGACAGGAGCAATGAACCTAGAAACCAAGCAAAGCCAAGGGTCAGGAGCAGACACCAGAGGCTGGAAGAGGTGAGGAAGGGTTCCTCCTTAGAGGTTTCTGAGACAGCCTGGTGGTCGGCGGCAAACACCAGAGGCTGGAAGAGGTGAGGAAGGTGAGGAAGGGTTCCTCCTTAGAGGTTTCTGAGACAGCCTGGTGGTTGGCGACAAACACCGGAGGCTAGAAGAGGTGAGGAAGGGTTCCTCCTTACAGGTTTCTGAGACAACGTGGCCTTGCTGGCACCTGGATTTCAGACTTCTAGCCTCCGGAACTGTGAGACCATAAGTTTCTGCTCTTTTAAGCCACCAGTTTGTGGTACTTTGTTACAAAAGCCCTAGAAAACGAATACAGCATCCTTTCAATTAATAGGAATCTTTAGTTTTGATATAGTCAAATTAGTCAATTTTTGTCTGTGGTTTTGGCTATTTTTGTTTTGTTTGTGAAGTCTGTCCCTGCCCAAGAGCATGAGGAGAGCTTTATTCATTTTCATTCAATTAGGTCTAACATTTTACCTTTCAGTTTTAGGTCTTTAATCTATCTGGAATTCACTTTTGTATATGGTATGAGGTGGAGATTTAATACTTTTTTTGGTGAACTCTCAACAAAATAAATTATCCTTCCTCCACTAATTTGTGACATCTTAATCATATGTCAAATTCCTACATATACACAGGTCTGTTTATATATTTTAAGTTCTGTTCCATTGGATTTATATGTCTGTTCTTGAGTTAATACCAAACTTTATAAAATCATATAGTTCTGCAGTATGTTTTAATATCTGATATAGCAAATCATCATAGTTTGTTCTTTTTAAAAAATTGCTTTAGCTATTTGTGAACTTTGAAACTTCATTTTTCCATATATTAATTTTAGAATCAATTTATCAACTTTCTAAAAAATGTCTGCTAGAATTTTGATGAACTTTCACTGAACTTAGAGATAAGTAAAATTTCGTTGAATTATGTGCAAATTTACAATTGGCTTGACCAAATTTAGTATCTAAATCTATACCTACCTGTCTGTCTAGATTGATAGTCTTGTCAAAATTGTATATCTATATTTCTATCTCATAAGTGGGTTATGTTTATCCTTCAAGAGGAGTATAATGACAATGTCTGATTGGCTCTCCTTTAATGATTTTAGTAGCCATTGATGATCAATGTCTAGATTAATTAATTATTAGGAGTTGCAAAAGGTGATTTTAATTTAATGTGCTTTGATTATTGATTTTATTGATTTCTACCCCTTCTTCTTTTCTGTGATCTTTTTTCCAAATTCCTAAGTCAAATACTTAGCTCCCTTCCCCCATCTTTGTTGCCTTTTATATGTATGTATATGTGTATATATATATATATATATATATATATATATATATATATATATATATATATATAACTATAGTTAAAGCCATTAATTTTCCTTAAGTCTTGCTTTAGCTGTATCCCACGTATTTTGACGTGGTGTTTTTACTGTCATTCAGTACTAAGTATTTTGTAATTTTCCCTATTAATTCCTCTTTAACGCAAGTGTTATTAAGTAGCTTGGTTTTTCAGTTTTTCTACCTCTGGTATTAATAAAAACCTGTCTTTTTGTTATTGATTCCCATTTTTATTACAGCGTTCAGAAATGGTTGAATAATCATCCTTTGTAACCTAGTTCATGGAGGATTTTTTTGAATGTTTCAGGTGAGTTAAAAAATAACATACTCCTCATGTCTTAAGTCTAGTCCTTTATTATATTTCAGTTTAAGGTTATTAGTAGTATTGCTTAAATCTTCTATTTTAGCTCATTTTTGTCTCCTTGATCTATTAGTCTCTGAGAGGGGTATGCTAAATTCCATAACTATGGTTTTTTATGTATCTCTTTCCCCCCATAATACTGTCAGTGGTTGCTTTATAGTCTTTGAGGCCATATTATTAAACACGTAAATATTCATGATCCTTATATCTGCCTGATCTATAGTTCTTTTACAGTTTATGACATCCTTCTTTGTCCCTTGTAGTTTTCTTCTTGGCCTGGAATTCTACTTGGCCTGATAACAAAATTGTAGTTTGATTTTTGCAAGGAATATCTTTTTCTTTTTGTACTAGTAAAGTTTGGATTCAATTTCAGTCAAAGAAAACCCAAATACCAATTTCCCAAATATGGTGGAAATTATTTCGTAGAAGTCCAGAAGAAACCTAGCATTCATGCAGCTTTAACATGACTGATAAAAGTTTATTTCTTAATGAAATACAGGCAGGCAAGAGCTGTTATGGTGGCCCCATAAAGTCCTTAGGGATCCGGGGTCCTTCCACCTTATCCTTCCACAGTCTCAAGGTTATGTCTCTTGTCCTCATGATTTAGGGAGAAGGAGGGAAGAAGGGGATGTAGAAGAGCATGCCCCCTTTAAGAACAGTATCTGGAAGTTTAATAAAGTCATTACTGGCTGGGCACGGTGGCTCACGCCTGTAATCCCAGCACTTTGGTAGGCCGAGGCAAGTGGAACACCTGAGGTCAGGAGTTCGAGACCAGCCTGGCCAACATGGTGAAACCCCATCTCTACTAAAAATACAAAAATTAGCCAGGCGTGGTGGCAGGTGCCTGTAATCCCAGCTACTTGGGAGGCTGAGGCAGGAGAATTGCTTGAACCTGGGAGGTGGAGGTTGCAGTGAGCCGAGATCGCGCCATTGCACTCCAGCCTGGGGGACAAGAGCGAGACTTCATCTAAAAAAAAATAAAAATAAAAAGTAGAGTAATTATCACTTCCATTGCTTAGAACTTAGTCATAGGCCACTCCTAGCTGCAAAGAAGGATGGGAAATGTAATGTTTAATCCAGGAAGCCATGTGCCCAGCTAAAAATTATGTTCTATGGGAGAAGGGAAGAATGAGTATGTTAATAATTGACAATTATCCATCTCTGCCATATCATCCCTTTATTTTTCAACTTTCCTGTAGATTTGTTTTTTTATTGAAATTTTTATTAATGTAACTGTAGATTCACATACATTGTAAGAAATAATATGGGGAGATCCCATGTACACTTGAACCAGTTTCCCCAGTAGCAACATTTTTACAAAACTCTAATATAATGTCAAAATCAAAATATTGACATTGAGAGAACACATCAATCTTATTCCTTACCCAGATTTCCTCATAGTAATCTCTATGTGTGCGCATTTAGGTTTTTTTTTTTTTTTTTTTAAGACAGAGTCTCGCTCTTTTGCCCAGGCTGGAGTGCAGTGTTGCAATTTCGGATCACTGCAAGCTCTGCCTCCTGGGTTCAAGGGATTCTCATGCCTCAGCCTCCCAAGTAGCTGAGATTACAAGCGCTCACCACCATTTTCGTATTTTTAGTAGAGACGGGTTTCACCATGTTGGTCTCAAACTCCTGACCTCAAGTGATCTGCCCACCTTGGCCTCCCAACACATTTAGTTCTTTATGATTTTGTCACATGTATAAGTTTGTGTATCCCACAACAGTCAAGACTTTGAATATTTCCATTACCACAAGGATCCTGTTCCACTCCTGTGGCCACACTCCTCACTTTCTTTTTCCTTTTCTTTCTTTTTTTTTTTTTTGAGACAGAGTCTTGCTCTGTCGCCAGGCTGGAGTGCAATGGCGCAATCTCGACTCACTGCAACCTCCACCTACCGAGTTCAAGAGATTCTCCTGCCTCAGCCTCCTGAGTAGCTGGGACTACAGGTGTATGCCACCACGCCTGGCTAATTTCTGTATTTTTATCAGGGACAGGGTTTCACCATGTTGGCCAGGCTGGTCTCAAACTCCTGACCTCAAGTGATCCACCTGTCTCGGCCTCCCAAAGTGCTGGGATTACAGGCGTGAGCCACCATGCCTAGCCTCGAGTTAATTTTTTATGGTCAAGTTTCAGTTTTTGGCTTGTAGATGTCCAATTGCTCCAGTATCATTTGTTGAGATGACTATTCCTCCTCCATAGAATTGTTTTTCACCTTTGTCAAAAATCAGTTGAGCATATTTGTGTATGTCTATTTCTGGGATCTCTCATTGATCTATGTCTTTATTCTTATGCCAATACTACATTGTCTTGATTACTATGGCTATACTTGTATACAAAGCCTTAATATCAGGTAGTGATTTCTCCTACTTTATTCTTCTTTGTCATAATTGTTTTAGCTATTGAAGGGCCTGTACCTTTCTGTATAATTTTTATAATAGACTTGTCTATTGTGATGGTTAATTTCTACGTCTCAAATTGACTGGGCCATGGGGTGCCCACATATTTGGTTAAAAAAAATTCTGGGTATGTCTGTGAGGGTTTTTCTGGATGAAATTGACTTTTGAGTCAGTAGGCTGATTGTCTTCACCAGTATGGGCGGACATCATCTGACCCACTGAGGGCCTGAATAGAACAAAAAAGCTTAGTGAGGGAGAATTTGCTCTCTCTGGCCAACTGTCTTCAAGCTGGGACATCAGTCTTCTCCTGCCTTCAGATTCAGACTCGGATTCAGACTGGAACTTACATTATCAGCTTTCCCGATTCTCAGGCCTTCAGATTCAAACTGGAATTTATAGCACTGGCTCTCATTCTCAGGCCTTTGGACTAGGACTGGAACAATAGTGTTGGCGTTCCTGGGTCTTTAGCTTGCTGACTGCAGATCTTGGTACTTCTCAACCTCCATAATCATATCAGCCAATTCTTTATAATAAATATTTGGTTTATTATAACTAGAGATTATATTAGCTCTGTTGCTCTGGAGAATTCTAATTAACACATCTATATTTAGAAAAACCTTGATGGGATTTTGATAGGAATTGCATTAAGCTTATAGATGAATTTTGGAAGAATTGACATCTTTACTATGTTGCATCCCCCACCCCATGAACACAGTATGTCTCTCCAGTTATTTAGGTCATCTTTGATTTACTTCATCAGCATTTTGTAATTCTCAGCATACAGATTCTATACATAAGCTTACACATAATTATTTCATTTTCTTTGGAGTGATTATAAATGGTATTGTGCTTTTAATTTGTTTCTGCATGTTTATTGTTAGTATATAGAAATATGATTGATTTTGTGAGTTTTATCTTTTTATTTTTTTGGAGACGGAATTTCTCTCTTGTCACCCAGGCTGGAGTGCAATGGCTTGATCTCGGCTCACTGCAACCTCCAACTCCCGGGTTCAAGCAATTCTCCTGCCTCGGCCTCCCAAGTAGCTGGGATTACAGGCGCTTGTCACCATGCCCAGCTAATTTTTGTATTTTTGGTAGAGATGGGGTTTCACCATGTTGGCCAGGCTGGTCTCGAACTCCTGACCTCAGGTGATCTGCCTGCCTTGGCCTCCCAAAGTGCTGGGATTATAGGCATGAGCCACCATGCCTGACTGTGTGTTTTATCTTTTATCAGTTTTGCTGAACTCACTTACTAGTTGTAGAAATTTTTCTTCTGTAGATTCCTTGGGATTTTCTACATAAACAATCATGTCTTCTGTAAATAGAGATAGAAGTTTTATTTCTTCCATTTAAATCTGTATGCCATTTTTTTTTCTCTTGCCTAATTGCAATGGTTAGAATTTCCAGTATTATGTTGAGTAAGCATGATGATAGTGGACATCTTTGTCTTGTTTTGCTCTTAGGGGAAAAGCATTCAGTCATTCTCCATTAAGGATGGTGTCAGCTGTAGGTGTTTTGTAGATGCTTGTTATCAAGTTGAGTAATTGCCCTCTACTTCTAACTTGCTGAGCGTTTTTATATTAAATGGGTGTTGGATTTTGTTGAATGCTTTTTCAGCATCAATTGATGTGATCAAATGCTTTTTTCCTTTAGCTTATTAATATGGTGGGCTACACTGGCTGACTTTTGAATGTTGGACCATCCTTATCTAGCTGGAATAAATCCCATTAAGTCATGACATATAATTCTTTATATACATTGCTGAATTCAGTTTGCTATTTTATTGAGCATTTTTTCAACTAATTTCGTGAGAGATACTGGTCTGAAGGTTTCTTTTTTTGTACCATCTTTAGTTATGTTATAGGATAATACTAGCCTCATAAAAATGAGTTGGGAAATTTTCCCTTCTCTTCTGTTTTTAGAAGATATTGTGTAAAAGAAGTGTTAATTATTCCTTAAATGTTTGAATAAATTTTCCAAATTTTGGGTGTTTGAATATCAGATGATGTTATGATTTTTTGTTTCAATCATCAAATATGACATAAAGCTCATGAAGAAAAGAATAGTCTTTTTGTATGTACTAATATTTCTGTCCTTTTGATTGTTCTTCCTTCCTGATGCTCTAAGATTCTTTTATCATTTCCTTTCCATTGAAAGACCTTCTTCAGTCAATATCTAAGTGTAGGTCTGGGGTCTGGTAGCAACAAATTATTTTAGTTTTCCTTTGTCTGCGAATGTCTTCATTTCACCTTCATTTCTGAAGCATATTTTCACTGGATATAGAATTTGCAGTTGATAGTTCATTTCTTTCAGCACTTCAAAAATGTCATGCACATTCTTCCAGCCTCCACGATTTCACATGAAAAATCCACTGTAATCTGGAATTGGTTTTCTCCTATTGGTAATGCATTGTTTCTCTCTGGCTGCTTTCAAGATTTTTTCTTTGTCTTTGATTTTCATAAGTTTAATTATGATGTTTCTTGACATGGATTTCTTTGTGTTTGTCCTGTTTTGGGCTTGCTTGGATTCCTGAATCTGTAGGTTTGCGTCTTTGACCACATTTGAAGAGTTTTTAGTATTATTTCTTTGAATGCCTTTTCAGCTTCACTCTCCTCCTCCTCCTGTTCTGCAGTTCTGATGATGTGAATATTAGACCTTTTGTTATTGGCTCCCAGATTCCTGAGGTTCTGTTCATTTTTATTTTCAGTCTATTTTCTCTGTGTCATTTAGATTGGGTGGGTGAAATTTACTTATCTGTCCTCACATCTACTGATTTTATCTTCTGTTATCTCCACTCTATTTATTGTTGAGCTCATCCGGGGAGTTTTTTAAAAATCCTGTTCTTATATTTTTTAAATCCTCAATGTTATAGTCTGTATTATTATATTTTTAAGTTCTATAATGTCAACTGGTTCTTTTAATATATATATATACATATCTATAAATATATTTATTGTAAAGCTTCAATCTTTGCTAAGAGTCTCTATTTTTTCATTTGTTTCAATAAAATTTGAGGCTGGGCACAGTGGCTCACACCTGTAATCCCAGCACTTTGAGAAACAAAAGGGGGCAGATCACCTGAGGTCAGGAGTTCGAGACCAGCCTGACTAACATGGTGAAACCCCATCTCTACTAAAAATCCAAAAATTAGCCAGGCGTGGTGGTGCATGCCTGTAATCCCAGCTACTCAGGAGGCTGAGGCAGGAAAATCACTTGAACCCATGAGGCGGGGGTTGTAGTGAGCTGAGATTGCACCATTGCACTCCAGCCTGGGCGACAGAGGGAGACTCCATCTCAAAAAAAAAAAAAAATATGCGTAATGGATTGTTGAAGCATTTTACAAAAACTGTTTTGTCAGTAAATCAACTCAAGATGGATCAAAGACTTAAATGTAAGAACTACGACCATAAAAATCCTAGAAGAAAACCTGGGCATTACCATTCAGGACATAGGCATGGGCAAAGACTTTATGTCTAAAACACCAAAAGCAATGGCAACAAAAGCCAAAATTGACAAATGGGATCTAATTAAACTAAAGAACTTCTGCATAGCAAGAGAAACTATCTTCAAAGTGAACAGGCAACCTACAGAATGGGAGAAAATTTTTGCAATCTACCCATCTGACAAACGGCTAATATCCAGAATCTATAAAGAACTTAAACAAATTTACAAGAAAAAGGTAAACAACCCCATCAAAAAATGGGCAAACGATATGAACAGACACTTCTCAAAAGAAGACATTTATGCAGCCAACAGACATATGAAAAAATGCTCATCATAACTGGCCATCAGAGAAATGCAAATCAAAACCACAATGAGATACCATCTCACGCCAGTTAGAATGGTGATCATTAAAAAGTCAGGAAACAACAGATGCTGGAGAGGTTGTGGAAAAATAGGAATGATTTTACACTGTTGGTGGGAGTGTAAATTAGTTCAACCATTGTGGAAGACAGTGTGGCGATTCCTCCAGGATCTAGAACTAGATATACCATTTGACCCAGCAATCCCATTACTGGGCATATACCCAAAGGATTATAAATCACTCTATGATAAAGACACATGCACACGTATGTTTATTGTGGCATTATTCACAATAGCAAAGACTTGGAACCAACCCAAATGTCCATCAATGATAGACTGGATTAAGAAAATGTGGCACATATACACCACAGAATACTATGCAACCATAAAAAATGATGAGTTCATGTCCTTTGTAGGGACATGGATGAAGCTAGAAACCATCATTCTCAGCAAACTATCACAAGATCAGAAAACCAAACACCACATGTTCTCACTCGTAAGTGGGAATTGAACAATAAGAACACATGGACACAGGGAGGGGAACATCACACACCAGGGCCTGTGGGGGTGGGGGACTAGGGGAGGGATAACATTATGCAGCAAACCACCATGGCACGTGTATACCTATGTAACAAAACTGCACATTCTGCACATGTATCCCAGAACGTAAAGAATAATAATAATAAAATGTTTTGTCAGATATTCCCAACATCTCATTCATCTCAGGGTTGGTATTGTGGATTGCTTTTTGTCATTTGAGTTATGATTTTTCTTGATATGAAGGGTAATTTTTAAATAATTGTAACCTGGAATTGTAGGAGACGCAGGTTCTTATTTAAACTTTTTCATTTTAGCAGGTGGTCACTCTGTTTAGGTTTCTCACACCGGTCTTGGCCTCTATATGTGGGTGATCACTCCAATGACAGGTAGATTTTCAGCACTTTCCTTGTGTTGTTTTGGTCCATTTGGTTTATCTGGTGCTGCTGGGGATTCCGCTTGGTCCCTGCTCATGCTGCCTGAGGGGTAGAAGGAATTTTGCAGGGCTGGGTCACAGGAGGGCTCTCCAGGGAGAAGGGGAGCCTCAGGCCTAGGAGGGAAGGACAGTGCTTTCCCAGGGGTGGTGTGTCTGTGGCACCCATCAATCACAAATTGGTGTTGAGCTTACCTGTTGTTGTCAGAGGAATTCTGTTTGATGTTGGGGAGGAATGAGCCTACTTCCCTTCTTTGCTAGGTTGGGGTTTGAGACATGGTGGGTCTGGTAACCTTCTCTTAGATGGGGGAGCATGAGATACCCTTCTACTTGTGATCTCCAGTCCTAGGTCACAGACCAATTTGCCTTCTCACCCCCTTTCAGAGTTCTCTTTTGGTTGCTTCTGGCATCATTTCCAAGGTTTATAGTTACATTTGGTGGGGACGAGCAAGGAAACAGTTCTACATCATGTTCTCCAGACTGAAATCTAGATTTTGTTTTAAATATGACTCTTACAGAAAATATATTGCTGGGTTTTGCTTTTTAAGATAATTATATATACATATGATTTCCCATCTTTGCCATAATTTTGATTTATTTTAGTACTCCTTTCTGTCATCTTATTTCATGTCTCATAATTTTTTACCCATTCTCTTTTATGACTTTCATTAATTAGAGTCTGTTTTCTTTTTCTGGTTTCAAGAATGTTCCATCCTCCCCACAGGAGGATGACACGATCCTGCCTATTTTCCTGTGACTTGCAGCACTTCCCTGTGGGTTGATGATACTTTCCTACCTCAGTAATGTCATGCATGGCTTAAGATTGGCTTGGCAGGCGGGGCGTGGTGGCTCACGCCTGTAATCCCAGCACTTTGGGAGGCCGAGGCGGGCGGATCACGAGGTCAGGAGATCAAGACCATCCTGGCTAACCCGGTGAAACCCAGTCTCTACCAAAAATACAAAAAAATTAGCTTGGCGTGGTGGCAGGCGCCTGTAGTCCCAGCTGCCTGGGAGGCTGAGGCAGGAGAATGGCGTGAACCTGGGAGGCGAAGCTTGCAGTGAGCGGAGCGGAGATTGCACCACTGCACTCCAGCTTGGGCCACAGAGCGAGACTCCATCTCAAAAGAAAAAAAAAAAAAAAAAAAGAAAAGAAAAAGGAAAAAAAAAGATTGGCTTGGCAAGTGGAATACGAATTAAAAAGATCTGTCCATGACGTCTGAGTAGCCTTAAGTACCATCATGTGGTTCCCGCATTGCGCTTGTCCCTCTGCCATCAGACTGAGACAAGGCCTGTTCCTTTAATTGGGTCCTAGAATGAGAAGAAACATGGGACACATGTATCCTGCAGCCAACATCTCAATGAGAAATAGACCTTTGCCATTGCAAGCCACTGAGATGAGGCAGCTTGTTACTGTAGCATGACTTCACAAAAGCTGACTGGTCAAAAGTAATTCATTCTGTTTTTAATTTTTCTGGTGGCTGCCCTATGAAGACCTCTAATTATATTTATTTTTCTTGTTAAGTTCTGAAGTAACTTTCTCCCCCTGAATGAGGCAGGGACCTGTCACCTTCATGATGACTCTCACCTTGTCCCACCATGTTAGATTTGTTTAAAATCTTAGTTCTAGATTGTTGTGGATTCACTTTTGTTTTTGATGCTTACATTTTTTTGGTTTACCTATATATTTCCCAGCACAATCCTTAATTTATTTATCTTCTTGCCAGAGTACTTCCTTCAAGACTTTTTCAAAGAGAATATTTTGAGATCTCATCTGCCTGATACTATCCATTATTTTTGGTCTTATTTTTAAAATGTAAGCTACTTGGATTAAAAAAATCCTAGGCTTAAAGTTTTTTTGCCTGGCAACACTGAAAATGTTACTCTATTTCCTTTTATTTTTGTATTCAGGATCACTGTTGAAAAGTCTGATGTAGATTTGCCTCTCGTTCATATGTAGTTTATTTGCTTTTTTGGGGGCAGGACAGAGTCTCACTGTGTTGCCCAGGCTGATCTTGAACTCCTGGGCTCAAGTGATCCTCCTGCCTTAGCTTTCCAAAGTGCTGGGATTACAGGCATGAGCCACCGTGCCTGGTGAATCTGCTATTTCTTTTGGAAGTTTTAAAAATGTTACTTCTTGCTTTTGATCTTAAGTTATTTTATAATATAGTTTTAAAAAAATCATCCTGTTTGGTACATTTGAACATTTTCAATCTGAGGCCTTTCAACTTTCTTTCAAGGATGTACTGCCCATCACTGAGTCGTTGTCACTCATTATTCCTTAAAATATTTCCTTCCCTCTGTTTATTTTTCTCTCCTTCTAGGACTCTTACTAAACACAGATTGATATTTTTACTTCTATGCATCATATCTCAACTTTTCTATTTTACAACTCTTTATCCTCTTAAAATACTGTTTAGCATCAACCTCATCTTCCACTTAACCTGTTTGTTCTTTAGCTGTGTCTATTCTGCTATTCAACCCATCTGCAGAATTCTTTATTCTAACAGTGATGTTTTCCATACTGGAATTTCCAATTGCTTCTGCTTTATAACTGCGTGTTCCCACTGTAGGCCACCAATATCCTCCCTTACCTCTGATAATAAGTATTATAAAGTTATTTTAAATTCTTGTTCTGTTTAGTTTTTTACTTCCTCTTTTTTGCTATAGTTTCTTAGGGTGGTTTTTTTTTTTTAAAAATAGAATTGCCCTTCTCAAATACTCAAATAGTTCATTAATTCCCCTGTGCATGCATGTTTCCCAGAGTTGTCTGCCACTTTGGCTGTTGCAGATACTAAAGGGCATTAAATGGACCCTGGGACCCTGCTTGTGCCTCTCCAGGTGACTTTAGGGTGTATGGGGTGGGGTGGAGTGGTTAAATACACCTCAGTGTGCAGAACTGTGTAGTGTCCAGTCATTGACCATGAACCACTGTCATCCCCTTCCCCCTGCTAGGTGACCCTAGCCCCCAGGGGTACTGCCTTCAGTTTTAATCCTAGTCTTTATGGGTGTGTGTGTGTGTGTGTGTGTGTGTTTTGGGTTGGAGGGGGCACTCAAGTTCTGACTTGTCTGCCGTACCCATTGTCAACTGCTTCCCCCTCTACCTGGGCTCCAGTACCACCTGCCTGTGACTCTACTGACTTGGCCTACCTGGGGCTTGAGCTGTTGTTTTCTGCCCTTTGGTGATGATAGCATGAGTAGAGGTCTCCTTCCCAAGGTGATGTGGGTTTCTACTGCAGCCGTTTCTACCCGTTCTCATGTCCTTGCTTTCACATTCTTGCCTGCACTTCTTTCTCTTGCTTCTGCAGTGACCACAAGGCTGGGCATGGGGAGGGAGCTCCTGGCCCCTGACGTTCACTCCCTTTCTGCAGATGGGAAGTTGGCCTCTGACTTTGCACTCCATCCCTGCTCAGCTGTGATTTTCAAGGGCTTCTTTGCCTTAAGTGGGATCTCCTTTCACAGGTGTGAGCAAAATCTTGGTGTGGACACACTCTGAATCCAGAGTGCCCCAAGTGGAGGACTGGGGCACTTCCCGCTGCAAGTGGAGCAGGAAGGGGGCTGTGTATTGTTGCCAGGCTAGGGCATCTCTGAGGACTAGAACAAACGCTGCGAGCATGAGCCATCTTCCTGTTTAAATGTCTAGTTACTCAGCCCTGAGGGAGCGGGACTCTGGACACCCCCTGCTTTTCTACACTGGTGGGTGAGGCATGGGAGAAAGTGGTTCTGAGGAGGGCGGGGGGCTGAGAAGACAGGTACAGCTTCAAGGCTAGACCCACTTGACCCCCACCCCCACTCCTGCTTTACACTCAGTTTGGACAGGGTCATGGAGGCAGCCTTAGTGATGCCGAGGAGGTAAGAGGGCAGGAAGGAGCCTCCAAGACCCCAAAGGCAGGTGACACACACAACGAGGTGGTTCTGGACATTCAATTCATTTATCTACTCACTGATAGGCTTGTTTGATCAACATTTATTGAGTGCCCACTAGGCAATGTTTTTGATTCAGGGATACTGCTATGAAGAGGTCACTACAAGAACCTGCCCAGTGGAACCGGCAGTCTGTGAGCGGGGGTGGGGTCCTGCAGTGTTGGGGGACTGAGGAGCAGGATCCTATTCCTCAGGGAGAGGCTGGCAAGAATCCTGATGGGGTGCTGAAGTCCTGGGAAGGGTGATGCCTTGAACTGTTTGATAAGGGCAGGGTGTATGTCTGACCTGTTTGTCTGCACCTCACCCTATGACAGCTGTTCAGACAGGGAACCCTGACTGGCCGACCAAACCCTGAGGCAGAAGTACCTTAGTCTCGACTGAGAGAGCAGGAAGCCGTAGGCTTGGTGGGCACATGGAGGCACCAGATGTCATCAGCACCTCCCCACCCTGGTCTACCTCTGCTCAGGAACTAGACAGCACAGAGCCGTCAAAGAAGGGCATCACGGGTTCTGACCTGGAGAGGAGGGGGCCCCAAGAAGGCAGAGCCTGACCCCCAGCCCTACTCCTCATGAGACCAGAGGGTCTGCTTGGGTTCCAGCCCTACCCAGATACTTCTCAGGCAGAGAGCCTCTGCGTGTCCTTGGAAAGTCTTTTAACCTCTTTCACCCTCAGTTTTCTCCTTAAGTCTCAAACTGGATGATCCATGTGTGATGCCCCATCCCTGAGATTCCCAAGTACAGTGAGGGACCCCCATTCTCATTCCCTCTCCCTCCTCTCCCCATGTTGGAGCCCCAGATGAAGCTGTATCACACTTTGTGGTGACAAATGATGGGCAGTGCAGTGTGAAGCCTCAGCTTTCCCATGCATCCTTCCTGCTGTTGATTTGCAGCTTGGAGTCAATTGGCTGCCAAGTCAAGTAATCAGAAGGTAATAGCCTAGTATCAGATGAATCCCCAGAGCTGGCAGCCAGGGCTGGAAAACCCCATTCCTGTGCCGCCTGCACCATTCACAACCAGCAAAATAATCGTGCAAAGCAGGCTCGGATCAAACCCAGCCTGACATGGTGCAGTGTAAGAATAGCCGGCACTCTAGTCTGACGTGGTTATTAGTGTCTTGCTTGGGGGCAAGGTTGCCCAGAGTGGCCGGCGTGCTGCGATTCACTTGCCGGTGCAGATCCATCGCCGTTCTTGAACCTGCGGGGACATCTCTATCCCGCTTCCTTGCCCAGCACCCCCTGGTTTCCCTCTGGCTCTACCTCATCGCCTGCTCCGCTGCCTCTTGCCTTCTCCCGTCTGTCCATCGTTGCTGAAATTCTCGCAAAGTGCTGATTTTATTGAGTGCGACAAGTGGCAGTTCATTAAAAAGTGGGAGCAGATGGGGAATGGATTGTGGAAGAAGATTAATGATGCACACAGACCACTAAATAGGGCCAGGTTTGGGAGTAAACACAATCACTCCGGCTCCCTCCGAGTGGGTAATCCTGCTCTGTCAGATCCGTTCTCGTTAGCTTGCTAACGTCGCAACGCCCAGGAGAGTTAAGGAGGAGTGCGCCAGCCTGCTCTGGTGGAGGGGCTGTGCTCTGGGCCAGGACAGGGTAGGGAAGAGGTGCAGAGAAGCTCCGTGAAGTCGAGGAGCAGTGCCCTTTGGGCTGAGGGCCCTGTCTGCGTATCTGTTATGAGAGATGAGGGGGAAAACTGGCCATCTCTTTTAATGGCTCTGTCAGGCCTGTACCTGGGCATAGGTGTACCCCACAAGTCGGGATTTTCTTATGAATCCCCAAGATTTGCCTGACTCCATCTAGAGGTTCAGGGAACAGAGGCCTATCACTACCCTTGCTGTGAAAATCCCTCTTGTCCTCAGTTGTCCGCCAGCTTGGCATGGAAATCTGGCCCAAGGGATCAGAGCCTTGGTTGTAGGAAGGAAACCTCCCAGAGAGGCAAAGGTGAGCTGCCTACCAAGAATCCTGTACTTAGAGTCCAAAAATTCCTTCTAGAGATTATACTGTCTAGACACTTGCCTGTGTGGTTTGGGACAGAACAATATGTCACCATTCTATTCTAGGATGGGGAGAGATAGTTACAGAGAGAGGACAACACTTCCTTCAAATGGCCTCCTGGAGCTTGTGCGTTAATATAATAGACACTTTTTGAGTACATATTGTCTGCTAAACCAGGGATGGCAATTAGCTGATGTCTGTTTCACTGTCCTTCCACGCTTTCCCATGGCAGTCATTGCAAATTGATTATAACGTTCTTTTCCATACAGGCAAGAGGAGTCCTCAGAATCCTTCTCAACTCAGCATTTAATAAGAATGAGAATTGAAGAAGGGTGACCTTCATGACACTCATTAGTACACAAGGTAAACACACTTGCTAGAAGATGTTCAACCCCTGGACCCCTCAACCTTTGCTGGAGGTGAGGGTGGGGAGAGGAGATTGGGAACAGCTACTCAGGCCTTGCCTTCCCTGTCTCCAGCTCTCCCCACAGGGATGGCACTTGTAGTATTGCTAAGACCAGAAGCTGAGCTGGGAAGTCCTGCTTGATGTCCTGGGACAGGAGAATTTGTCCCATCTGCTCTCTTTTCAGCCAGGGAAGCCCCTGCAGTGTCCTCCAGGGAAGGCTTCCTGGAGGTAGTGTGGGGATGTCTGACCTCAGCCTCCTATTCTCTGCACCCATCAGTGACTCTGGGCCCAGGGTCCCATTTGCCTGGTCTCTTCCTATTGCCGGGTGTCTCCTGATGTGCAATGTCAGCCTGTGCCACCCTTCACTCCTCCACGCATGTGATAGGCAGAGCCTGTACTCTTCCCCTCTCAGCCCTGGCTAAGGGGTTCTGGTCTCCAAGTCCTCTTTCCCATTTCCTCATTCCACTCACCCTCCGGAGCTGGGGGTTATCTCCAAAGCTTGACTCCAATACAGCGGGAGGTGGGATTCCCTGGCTGTTGGAGGAGCAGGGTCCCCAGCAGCAGATGTCTTTCTCTAGTTTTAGAACCAGGCTTCATCTTTACCTCCAAACCTCCTCTTTCATTGGACTTCCTGAATTTTGCTTCTGGACTATTTATTGGCTCAGGCCCCTGCACTCAGTCTCAGAATTATCTCTGATTCCCTGTGCTAGAGACTACTAGCTCCTCTCCAATACCCATCCCTCCTTTCTCCTTAGTAACACAACTTGAATGTACTCAGGGCATGGCAGGTGCATCCAAAAGACTACGTTTCCTACCCTCCCTTGCAGCCAGTGCTGGCCATGTGCCTAAATTCTGGTTAGTGAGATGTAAGAGGGAATGTTCTAAGAGAAAGTGTGAGGGTTCCTTAAATGGAGCTGACTCAGAGGGAGACTTTTGCCTCCTGCCCCCTTTCTTCTTCCTGCTGCCTAAGATGTAGAAATGATGGCAGGAGCTCCAGCAGCTTTTTTGGTCCATGAAGTGACCTTGGGAATGGAAGCCATACACTGGGGTGGTAGAACAGAAAGTAAAAGAACCAGGGTCCATGTTAAATCTGGACCCATCATATCAGTCCTGGCCTGGCTTCCTCCAGACTTCTTTTAGGCATGAGACGCTATCTTGGGTTTCTGTTATGTTCAACCATACCTAAGTCCAGCTGATATGCTCCTCTTTCTGCTTCGTGCACCCCTGTCTAGAGAGTAGTAAAGCCCAGTGGTCTCTTTCTCCAACACACCTCGTGCACTCTCCTGGCCATTCCCTCAGTTTTGATCATGTCATTACCCAAATCAAATACCTTTCCTAGAGCCCCATTATCTTCTAAATATCAAGTTACTTCCCCTGGCAACCAAGACCTTCCATCACTGGGTCTCAGCTTATCTTGCTAGTCGTATCTCCTACATCCTGTAGCTCAGCCAAGTGGATTTCCACCACCCCAGACACCCCCTGCTTTTCTACCTCTCCTCCTTTGCTCTGTTCCCCAGCTTGGGATGCCCACTTCCTCAGTCTTGCCTGTCAAAATTCTACCCATAGTTCAATGCTTATCTTAAAGTTTCTTTTTCCATGAAGCCTTCCCAGAGCCTCTGGGCCAGGAGTGATTATTCTCCCCTCTGAACTCCCATAGTAAATTATTTCTAGCCCTCAGGATCTACCTGACATTATTGTCTCTGTGGCTATTTTGACGTTTTACCAGACTGGAACCCCTGTAGGGCTGGGTTGAGTCTTGTTCATTTCCATATTACCCAGAGAGCCTGGCCCTGGGCCCACACGTGGTAGATCTTTGGTAAATTTTGGTCAACCGAAGTGATACTTACTTCCTACCTCTGGCCTCCGTCATGGGCAACTGTGCAGAAGTCCCCTCCTGAGGTGGTGGGGCTGGCCCAACCCCAGCTGCCGCTCTCCTCTGCTCACCCTTCACTGTCACCAGGTGGCTGTTTGGCACTGGCTGCCAGGAAGGGGGTGGGGGGTAGGACCTGGGCCGGCAGACAGACAGGTGCTGCTGCCAGGGAAAACAGAGATGTCAGGTTGACGTGGGGGAGCTGGGCTGCTCATGAGATCTGGTAAGCTTCTGTCACAGGCTTGTTCCCCTGCGGTGACAGGCCTCACCTCTCCCCACCTGGGCCCTATGTGCACATGCCGCCCCCGCCCCATCTCCTGACAGCACTGACTTATCTGGTTGCTTCTTTCACTCACTAATCCAAAGGCCACTGAGCATCAGGGCCATCTCCACGGATTACAAGGCCATTTGTCTTTTAGGAGGGACGGCTCCTCCCTGGTAGGACAGCTTGTGGCTTTTTGTCACTCTGTGGCTGCATTTGCAGTTGGAGGAGCCAGGAGAGAGACGACTGGCTTGTGCCAACCTTGGCCCTGGATTCCAGGGATTTGGACCCCCTCGTGTTTGCAGCAATGAGTTATACCTAAGTGAAGTCTCAATTAAAACAATAAATCATTACCAGGATAAAGTGTAGTGGGGCCACAGAGGGTTGAATCCAAGTTTGAATATGATAGACCTATAAATTACAGCGATGAACAAAGCTGCTCGTCAGGGCTGTGGGGACTAATGAGCATGCACACGGACAGGGGTTTGTTTGGCCACGTTTGGAGGCTGGAACTTTTCTACTCTAAGAGTAGAGTAATATGGCAGTTAAAGCACAGCCTTTGAAGTCGAACTGTCAGGGTTCAAATACCTGCTGGGCTAAGCAATAACTGTACTTGGGCTTCCTTAACCTTTCTGGATCTCAGTTTTCTTTTCTTTTCTTTTCTTTTTTTTTTTTTGAGATGGAGTCTCGCTCTGTTGCCCAGGATGGAGTGCAGTAGTGCGATCTCGGCTTGCTGCAAGCTCCGCCTCCCAGGTTCACGCCATTCTCCTGCCTCCGCCTCCCTAGTATCTGGGACTACAGGCACCCACCATCGCGCCCAGCTAATTTTTTGTATTTTTAGTAGAGATGGGGTTTCACCGTGTTAGCCAAGATGGTCTCGATCTCCTGATCTCGTGATCCGCCCGCCTTGGCCTCCCAAAGTGCTGGGATTACAGGTGTGAGCCACTGCGCCCGGCTGGATCTCAGTTTTCTTATCTGTAAAATGAGCATTCACAGATTTCTCGTGCAGATTGTATAATACAGGTAAAGACCTTAGCAGAGTTTCCAGTGCATGGCAAATGCTTAATAAGCTGTGATTATCCACTGGAATGTAAGCTCCCAGAAGACAGGGATCTCATCCATA
Source organism: Homo sapiens (assembly GCF_000001405.40). Lineage (NCBI taxonomy): Eukaryota > Metazoa > Chordata > Mammalia > Primates > Hominidae > Homo > Homo sapiens. Next base: position 116,609,265 of record NC_000011.10, on the reverse strand, counting down.
CAGATCATCTCAACATCCCCAGTACAACAAGCTGGGCCTACCACCTGGGAGAGTCAATTACTAGTTATGAGATGAATAAATGTGCATCTGGAGTGTCAGCTTTGCAAGGAATGGACAATGTTTTTTTCTTGTCTCCTATCTCCCTTAATATCTGCTATAGCACCTGCACACAATGGATGCTTCATAATTAGTGATAAATATAAGTACAAAGTATCCTTGCAATTTTGGAAGGTATCTTATCTATAATAAAGAGTAACAAAAGATATCAACCAAATGCTGACCCATGAGGATTTCTCGATCTTCCCGAGTTTCTTCTAGGTCTACGGCTTTCTTCTAGGTCTACGGCTAAGTCACCAGATGGTATCATGGGAAGGGTCCAGGACTGGATATTGGGAGATACAGATCCTGTTCCCAGATCTTTAATTGTTTTACCATTTGACCCTGGGCAAGCTGCTCCCAACTCTGAGCCTCGGTTTCCACATCTGTAATGGGAGGGGGTTTGTCTGGATACTTTTCCAGGTTTCTTTCAGTTTCAGCCTTATGGGATTCTCATTTTAAGCTGCCAGGCTCCTGTCAGACCTAACCCTGGGCCGTGTTTGTTTCTGTTCATGCTTTCTCTGGAACTGTGACCCAGGAGTGTCCTTTTACTTTGTGTCTCTCAGGGATAAACCAACTGTGCAGGTTGAACAGGTACTATGGAGGCGGGGCCTGGCTCCTCCTGAGTGGAATCTGGGGGAGAGAGCTGCCATGGCGGGGCTGAAGGGGCACTGTTGGTGGTGATGGTGGATTGTAGTGAGGGTCTCATGTTTCTGAACCACTTAGACCTGATCCCTGGGGCACCAGGGTAGGAAATCCACAGCCAGACCTGTTGCCCCCTCCTTACTCCCAGTGCTAGGGCACAGAGGGTGCATGTGTGTAGTGGAGGGCAGGGGGAAGAAATCAAGAGCCAGCATTGTCATCATGTTCGCCCCAGCCATCAGGACTGTTTTCTGTGCAGAAGTCTCATTGGAAAGTATCTAGGCTGGGCCCGTTGAAAATCCCTCCTCTGTACCAACACGGCTCAACACTATTCATGTTGCGTGCTATCCTTTAGCCAGCTCTGACCTTACTCTGTCACTAGAGTCTGCAAACCCAAGGGCACTCTCTTTGTGGAGTCCAGGGTTTTGTGGCCTGTGAATTCTACAGAAAGGATGTCTTATTTTCTCAAGTCTCATGGAATCACCTGTCCAAACTCAGTTATGCATGCCAGAGGATGGGTGTATGGCTGCCTCTCAACCCTCTCAGTTCCTGGAGATTTTGTGTGCCATGTGATGGAGCAGCTGCGAGCCTGGATGGGGCAGGGAGTGACAGAGAGCACCCTGAATGTCCAGGATCAAGCTGTGGCTCTGCTGTGTGACTTTGGGCAAGTCACCTGCTCCCTAAGCTTCTGTTTTACAATTGATAAAATAGGCATAGTGATAGATGCTTTGTAGTATCCTCTTAAGAGCAGATGAGATAACGAGGATGAAAACGATGTTGCAAGCTGTAAAGTGCTGGGCATGCATTAGAGGTGGCATGGGGCTGACATAAACTAGGGTCCTGGCTCCTGGGGATGGGCAGCCCCCTTTGGAGCGATCAGCTCATTCCCACAGAGCTTGCTGTCCCCCAGGCAGATCATTCCCCTCCCCTAGAGCTCTCTGTTACATTTTAATCCACCTAATTGAAAGACCGCTGGATCAGGCAAGGAACTTATCAAAGGGAAAGAGAGAAGAGCCTGGTGCCATTTGGCTCCCTGCACATTTGTCCTTTCAAATCCTTATAGATAATTCCATTTCTGTGTTAGGATCAAGACTAGAAATTTGGATGAGAGGGAGAGGGAGGGACAGGAGAAGGAAAAGGGGGAGGAAGGGATGGAGGCCAGAGACTAGCAGAGGCCATCAAGGCTTATGAGTGTGCTGGTTTGGGGCTGTTGGGTAGAGGGGCACTGGCAATGCAGGAAGTAGTGGGGGTGTAAGGAAGCCTGCAGGGCATTGCTCAGCCCACATGGGACCTTGCTGAGCAGGCAAGTGGTGGTGACACCAGGCAACTGCAGCTCCTCTGCCTCCCAGAGATGAGGAGGCTCACACTGCCCTGGAGCCAGCTTTCAGACATGCTACTTCCTGCACAGAAGTCAGTGTAACACTAGGCACCTGCTAGGTTCTATGTATGTGCCCCCCTCAAATTTATGTGTCATATGTTGACACTTAAGCTCCAGTGTGATGGTATTAGTAGGCAAGGTCTTTGAGAGGTGATTAGGACATGAGGGTCCCACCTTCATGAATGGATTGGTGCATTTATAAAAGAAGCCTGACGGAGCTTGTTCACCGATTTTCCCTTGCCACTTCTGCCACATAAAGACACAACAAGAAGGCACCATTTATGAGGACTGAATTTACTGGTGTCTTGATCTTGGACTTCTCAGCCCCCAGAACTATCACCAATACATTTCTGTTGTGTATGAATGACCCAGCATAAGGCATTTTATTATAGCAGCAGGAAGGGACTAAGACTCTGCCACATTCGTGGGGGAAGAGAAGGGCATGGTGGCAGAGACCTAACAAGGAAATCCTCTAGAAGGACCCAGCCCAGCCTCACATAGTGAATGCAGAGTGTCTGCCTTCACTGGGAAAGGAGTGACGGGTATGGGCATTGGGAGAGGAACAGGATGGAGGGGAAATGGCAGGGAGGGAAAAGGTGGGGTCATACCAGAATATGGTGGAGGCTATTCATAAAGTAGAAAATCCCATCCCCAAGCAACCCCAAGATAATGTTATTATTATATTTTGTGATGGAAGAAACTATGACTTGGGGAAATTTAGTACAAGCAAGTGGGGGTAGGCTGAGCCTTTGAGGGTGGGAGATGAGTGGGCCCAGCACAGACAGACTGGGGCAGCCAGGGGCAGGGTGGGTGGAGTAGGACAGAGAGACAGTGGGGCTGGATGGGAAATCCTTCCCCTAAATTCTGGGAGGCTGGACTCCTGTGTCTATGCATCCCTTATGCATCTGGAGGAACAGGCATGCAGGAAACAGGGCACAGCACTTTGCCTGGGGATCTTGCAGTCCAGGGAGAAAGGCAGATGTGCACTCTGATAAATAGAATGTAGTGTGTGAGTTAGTGCTGGAAGGGGACGCATGAGTATGCACTGGGTGAATCCCGGGGGAAGCTATTGATTAGTTTCCTGATGAGGGGTCAGGGCCAAGAAAGGTTTCACAGAGGAGGTGGCACTGCTTCTATTGAGAATGAAGAGATTGGTTCTTAGGGTGTTGATACAGGTCAGTGATTTTCTAGGAGGAAGGTGTGTCTGCCCTGTGATTCAATATTTTATCACATATGATTCTCACAACAGCCAAGTCTTTATCCTTACCTCCACTTCACAGGGAAATATTGAGATTGAAGTGATGTAATGTGGTTTATGTCTTTCCCACCTTAATCCACTGACTGGGAGGGCTCCGTGTGAATGGGCCCTCTTGCAGGGGCATTGGTGCCCTCTAGGGGACTGTGGCAAACAAGAAAAGCATCAGCACCTTGGACAGGGCCCAGGGGCTGGGGAAGGTCCAAGTCTCAGGTAAGACGTTGGAATCCAGGGCGATGATCAGTGAAGCTCCTTTCCAAAACCCAGGGCCCCTGGAGTGGACACCATTATTTGTAAGATGATATAATCTGAGGTGCAAATGAACGTGAGCTGACAGACCACTGGGCTGATCTGTGACTGCTGTATTTGGAGATAGGTCTGTAGCACAGGGGATTAGTTAATGTGCTACTGTGTATGTGTGTGGGCGGAGGGGGGGGGGAAGGGTGGGGGGGAGGTGCATTTTGTCCCCATGCTCCCAAAGTCGTATTACCTTTGAGGGGCTGGGACAAGCTTAAGAGCCCCTGTAACATGCAAATATGTTAGCTGAGAGGAGATGTAGCACAGGTCAGTATGTTTTGATGGAGGGTTGATGAAAGGTCTGGATCAAGGGCCACTGTCCAGGGGGAGTGGGCTAGGGGGTGTACCAGAGTAAGAGGCCCCGTGGTATCCAAGGAACAGCAAGAAGGGGCCAAGAGTGGGTGAGGGTGGAGGATTCACTGAAGACAAACATGATAATGTTGCTTCCATGGTCTATGCTAGAGGTCAGGGTGGGATGGAAATCTTGGTCAATGAATTCTGCATTCCTGAAAAATTTATAAATGAGAAAGGTCACACAAAGACACATACATCTGAGGAGACCCCAGGAGAGAGGAAGGAATGCACAGCTACATACATATCACTAACTACACAGGAATGAATGAGAGGCCTGCTTGCACTGTTATCTGCACATATGCTGTTGACCGGACATCACAGGGTGGCATCCGAAGCTTGAGAATGATGATGATGATGAAGATGATGAGGATGCTGGTTTTCAGCTTCCTAAGTCTTCTGTACTCTCATTTAATACCTCCAAAAATCATGTTAAGTAGAAAATATTCTTTCCATTTCTCAAGTGAGAAAACAGAAGCACAGTGTAGATTAAATAACTTGCCTCAGGTCATACTGTAAAGCAGGACCAGAGCTCCCACTTGAAGACCCCAGGTCTTCCAATTTCAGGTCAAGAGCTACTTTTACTGGACCTCAGAAAGAGCCAAGAATCTCAACAACTCCTGCTTCTATGGCCCAGAACCACTTATCCAGGGCACATGGAGAGTCTGCAAATGCACTTGGGAGGGTTCCTCTAAGGACACAGACGTTGGAGAAGGCTAAACCTGGGTTTGAATTTTGGCGCCTCCTCTCATCGCTGTGTATCTTGAGTGAACTAGTCAGTTTCTCTGAGCCTATATTTCATTAGCTGCAAAATGGGGATAGCAAAATTGATACTGCAAATTGTATAGAATAAAAGAGGAGACGACATAGGAGTGACTGACAGTGCATAGAGTTACAGAGAATTCTATTTACTCCGAATGTCCAGAATCTGCCCCATTCCAGTGGGAAGCGGTTGACCTGGCAGTGGAGTGTCCTTCTTTGGAAGAATGCCACTGGAGGGGAGGTGGCAAGGGGAATCTGGCAGGGCTTTCCTGACCTCGGAGCCCGACCTCTTTCTGACCCGGGGGACCTCAACCCTGGAGATGCAAAGCAGGGCCTTATGGAGACATCCCATCCGGGCTGAGGCCAACTCCCATGGGCAGCAGCCAGGGCCTTCAGGAGGCAGTCTGATGAGGTTTTGTGCCTAGAACCGCAGGGTGGGGGAACAGCCCCTCCCCGCCCTCCAGGTTCTGCCTGGGGCTCTGCCTGCAGTTCCCGGTTGTCAGCAGGCAAGACACGGGGCAGCCGTGTGGGCACCGGTGCATGCGAGGTGATTGCCCCTTTAATGTTTAATGTGCTGAAAAACCATTAGACCCCGAAATGGACAAGTTCTTGGTTGGTAACATTAATTATTGTTAAGACTCGGTCACGCCTGCTTATTAGCAATTATGCATGGCATCTCCCAGGGTGCTCTGGGCCTTCTTCCCCTTCTTCCTTCACCTGGGGACAGCAGGTTTATGGACCACTGCCTTCAGGAGGCTGGAAAGGCAGTGCCAAGCACACAGGTGGTTGCCATCACTCCCCTCTGTAGCTTGGGCTTACTTAGGGCCAAAGAGGACCATCAGCATCTTCTGAGAGGGGAGGAGAAAGACCTTCCCATGCAAATTGGGAGGGTCAGAGGGATCATTGGATAGCATGATGCCCTTCACAAAGTATTTTGCTTCCATTATGTCATTCCTTCTATCACCCCCTTTTTTTTAAAGACAGTCTTGCTCTGTTGCCCAGGCTGGAGTGCAGTGGTATGAACTCAGCTCACTGCAACCTCTGCCTCCCAGGTTCAAGTGATTTTCCTGCCTCAGTGTCCCAAGTAGCTGGGATTACAGGTGCCCGCCACCACGCCTAGCACATTTTTATATTTTTAGTAGAGATAGGTTTTCACTATGTTGGCCAGGCTGGTCTCAAACTCTTGACCTCAAGTGATCCACCCACCTTGGCCTCCCAAAGTGCTGGGATTACAGGCATGATCCACTGCGCCCAGCCAACACCACCCCAATTTTATATATAAGGAAACCGAGCCTTAGACGCTTAAGTCATAACAGTCACCTCTTAGAGTACCTGCCTTGCCTACACCTTGTTCTTGGACAACTGGCCACTGAAGCCTTGGGTCTAACTACCATGAAAATCCTACTTGATTTCAAATCCTCGCCTCCCCTCACTCTATTTTCGTAGCTCCCTGGACCAGGGATGGAGCTGGCCAGAGCTGGCCACTCAGAGGCTGTTTCCTGGAAATAGGGAGTTGGGATGCTGTCTTTTGGATGGTAGACCTGGGAGAGGATGTAGAAAAAGGAACACATCTGAGATCAATGCACAGAGGAAGAAAAAGAGAGGCTAGGGAATGGGGAGGGGTGGAGAGAAAGAGACAGAGAGAATGTGAAAGCCCAGAAGGACACAGAAAGCAGCCTTGGATCCCAACTCTCCACTCCCTTGTAAGCGCTGGCTGTACTCCCTACTCTCCGGTTCCAAGAGATAATCCCTTATCCTCCTGATAACCCCCACCTGCTCTTGCTTGAGATACTTTCCTATCCCAAGTCCCATAGTAGGGCTCAGACCTAACGATGCTGAGGCCAGCCCTGGTGGTCAGCTGGAGATTAGTGGGCTTTGGTGTCCCCTTAGACTTCAGGGACCAGCTGGGTCCCAGGAGAACAGCGGGCGCAGATCTAGGATTGCAGTCTGAAAAAGGGGCAGGATGGAGGCAGCCCCTCACCACAGACCACTGGCAATGTCTGCATTCTGCAGAATCTTCCCGAAGGACCACCTCTCTCCTACCACCCCTCGCCCAATCCCTGACACCCTAACACTGGGTTGTGTGCAGGTGAACTGCAGAGAAATGCCATGTGCTGGCAGCCTGTCTCTGGCCCTGATTTTTAAGGAGGGGAGGGGAAAGAAAAGCAGAAAGAAAAAAGTGAACATGAGTAATGGGCCTGGAATGAGGCATGTGAGATAACACTGAATAATAACGCGTCAAAAACTACAAGATGTATTTTTTTTATTTCCCAGTGGAGTTTCCATTGCGCTAATCCATCACTGTAGAGCAGGCAAGATTATGTGTCCCCAAAAAAACTCTGGGAGATAAATGTGAGTAAATTAGGGTTTATTATATTATTTGGGGTGATATAATTTCCAAGCGAGCCCTTATTAAATTACTTCCTCTGGTGCTGACACCTCCTGCCTCACGGTCTCTGCACCTCCGCTCCACTTTTCCTGTCTGAAGCTGCTTTGTATTTTAATGTCTCTCATCGTTTTTTGGTGGGGGTGAGTTGCCAGGGGAGAGAGCTGGGAGGAAGTGCTGAGTCACTGCTGTCAGGCTGAGTTTCTTCCTTGCCAGCTTCTCTATGGTCACAGAGCCATGGGCTCACACATCCATGCTGGTAAAACATGGAGCTACCCAGTCTACACCCTCATAGATGGGGAAACTGAGGCTAAAGGGAGAAATGTGGCTTAGGTCATGCAACTGGGTAGACTCAAAGAGTCGAGACTGGTACCCACGTGCTAACTTCCAGGCCTGTTCTCCATCTCTGTGTGGGATCTTGTTTTGTCTGTCAGCCTTGGCTTCAGAGCCACTTCAAGTCTAACAGCAGAGGCCCATGGAATTTTGGGGTCTTAGTCATCTATGAAATATGCCCAGTGACCCAAAGAGAGAGATGAGAGAAGACCTCGTATAGTCTAGGTTTGGCTCGATCAGAAAAGGCTGTACAACTTTACGCAAAGGACTTGACCTCTCTGAGCCTTTATAGTAGGTACACCACATTACAGTAAAAGGGCTTGGAGCAGATGAGCGATTTGCAGACATGTTTTTAGCAGTGGAACCTCTTAAAAATGAAATTTTATGAAATGAACTCTAACATATAAAATATTTAAATAAGGAGTTACCCTGATTGAAGAAGGGGACTGTGGGGTGGGGAGGGGGCCCTGATCCATCCCAACCCTCAGGATTCCTGCTTGCTTCTTACCCAGTTTGAAGTTACAGGGCCCAGTTTCAGCATCTGACCCTGATTTCACTGTGCAATGCCCTCCTTGCATCCTCACCGAGACTGTGCAGTTTCTAGAGATGAGCCACCAGCATCTCCTCCAGCCCTGTCTCAGCAAATGCCATGTGAGGCAAATGCCACGTGACGCATCCACATAGCCCTGTTCTCTTGATTTCAGGAAGTGCAATCCAATTGAGCTGAACAGTGGTTAAGGACATAGTTTTGCCATTTATTAGCCGAGTGACCTTGGGCCAGTTGTTGTTGTTGTTATTTTAGATGGAATCTCACCCTGTTGCCCAGGCTGGTGTGCAGTCCCACAATCTTGGCTCACTGCAGCCTCTGCTGGGTTCAAGGGATTCTCCTGCCTCAGCCTCCTAGAAGCTGGGATTACAGGTGCCCGTTATCATGCCCAGCTAATTTTTGTGTTTTTAGTAGAGATGGAGTTTCACCATGTTGGCCGGGCTAATCTTGAACTACTGACCTCAAGTGATCCACCTGCCTCAGTCTCTTAAAGTGCTGGGATTATAGGCATGAGCCACCATTCCTGGCCAAGTTATTATTAGTTTTAATCTCCCTGAGTGTCTTAGTTTTAAAATGGGATAATCACAACTTTGACTTCATAAAATAGGCTTAAATGAGAAAATACATATGAACAGGTAGCATGGTACCACACATACTGTAAGTTATAGTTACTATCTTCATGAATTCTACCACATAGGTATTTTTTCGTGAGGCTCGTATGAGATAAAGGCTTTTCAGTACCCAATAGATGCTTAACAAATTACTTTTCTATTGCTGCACAACTTATTATAAACCTACCAGTTTAAAACAATACATACAAATTCATAGACACAGAAAGTAGAATGGCGGTTGCCAGGGACTGAGGAGAGGGAGACATGAAGAGTCATTTAACGGGTGCAGGGTTTCCATTTGTAAGACGAAAAGTGCTCTGGGGACAGATGGTGAGGGTTGCACAGCAGTGTGAAGACACTGAACACTGTTGAACAGCGTATTTAAAAATGGTAAAGATGGTAAATTTTAGTTAGGTATATTTTACCACAGTTAAAAAATTTTAAGGAGGACAAAATGAAAACAGCAACAGCATCAACAAAAAGCTGCACGCCAATGTATGATGTCCCAGTTCTGTAACTTAGAGGTGTGGTATGGCTGAGAGTGTCCATGAGGCTGAACTCAAGGTGTGGGGCTGAGTTTCCATTTGGAGGCTCTGGAAAATAATCCACTTCTAAGCTCATTTATGGTGTTAGAAGTCGTAGGACTGAAGTCCCCATTTCCTTGCTGGCTGTTGGCTGGTTGTCACTTTCAACTCCCAGAGGCCACTCCAGGTCCTCTCCATGCAACTCCCTCCACCTTCACGCCAGCAAGGTGTGTTGAATCCTTCTCATGCCTCCCGTCTCTCTGGCTTCCCTTCTGTGGCCAGCAGAATAAGCTCTGCATTCATTGATTCATTGATTCATTCATTTATTGAGACAAAGTCTCACTCTGTCGCCCAGGGTGGAGTGCAGTGGTACAATCTTGGTTCACTGCACCCTCCACCTCCCAGCTTCAAGCAATTCTTGTGCCTCTGCCTCCTGAGTAGCTGAGATTACAGGCACGTGCCACCACACCTGGTGAATTTTTGTATTTTTAGTAGAGACAGGGTTTCACCATATTGGCTAGGCTGGTCTCGAACTCCTGACCTTAAGTGATCCACCCACCTCAGCCTCCCAAAATGCTGAGATTACAGGCATGAGCCACCGTGCTGGCCAAGCTCTGCTTTTAAGGGTCTCAGTGATTGGTCAGTCCCACCTGGACAATCCCTGTCTCTTAAGGTCAACTGATTTGGGAAGTTTTATCTGCAAAATTCCTTACTGCAGCTCTGAGGTTCGTGTTTGATGATATACCCAGGGGTGAGGAATCTTGGGGGCTGGCCTGGGTGTTTGTGGGGTGGGTGTGCTGTGTGAGCGGGAGCAGAGCTGGTGGACGTGGAAGATGCTGGAGCTCCCCACTGAGGGAGGGGCTGCTGAAGGTGTATAGGGACAGGAGTGGCCTCTTGGGGTAGTTTAGGAAGAGAGAGAATAGGAGCACTTTGGACCAGAGTAGTCTGAGGAAAACAGAAATATACTTCTCCTTTTGCCTGGAAAAGAGGAGCATGGTTCCTTTCTCCCTTCACTCCATTACTCTTCATAGTAGATATTGTGGAGTGCCTACAATGAGCCAGGGCTTCACTGGATTCCGAGGACAGAGTGGTGAACAACATGGATGGGACCCGTCTCCTCTTCCTGCTGAGAGTTTTCCCGAGGGGAGAGATGAAGCAGAGGAGCTTCCTACACAGAGGGGAATGCAGTGATAGGGGAGGCATTGGGTGCTATGGGAGCCCTGGGGAGGGTCCCGACCCCAGGTCCTGGTTTCAAGTGGATGAAGCAGGAGCTCCTCATCCCCTTTCAGGTGGCTGGAAGGTGGAGGAGTGACAGAAGTCCTGTGAAGGGCTTCCAGGGGGCTCTCACCCAGGCCCCTTCTCCCTTTCATGCAGGAGGAAGGCTGGGCTGGTGCTGGGAGGAACTCAAGATGGCCCAAAGATCACAATTCTGGGAGCATGGGAGCAGGGGCGGCAGAAGGAAGTACAAAACTCTGTGATCCTCAGAGTCTGGCCCCTGGTGAAGAGCTAAGTGTCTTTTTGCTGACAGCTGCAGCAAAAGGTACAATCATTAGAAGGTGGCATTTTGCATTAAAATTGTCCCCATCAGCCAGTGACATTTTCTTGTTCCTTCTGGTCAGGAGACCTTTCAGTGCCACAGATTCAAATGACTCAGACGTCAGAATTTCTTCCCTTCTGGGAGAGAAACCCAGTGTAGTCACCCTGGGGTGGATGTACGCATGAGCCAAGGTTAAAAAAGCAGGTGAACTGGTGAGCACAGCAAGGACCACAGGCTGTGTGTGAGAGCGTGCAAGGAAGCATCAGTGCACATCTGTGTTTTGTGAAGCTGAACCATTTGTGCCTATAAGGATGACAAGCCTGGGGTATCAGGCCCAGCAGGCATGTGCCCTGCCAGTGCATTCATTCTGTGGAAAGAAGGACACACACACAGAGGCTCACGTGTGAGCATGTGTGCCAAAGAGAGAAATGAGCAAGTGTGCACAAGAGCGTGCACACATGCGAGTACAAGTGGGCACCCACTAGTGTCTGGGCACATGTAAGCTGCCCAGCTCACAGCAGTTGTTAGGCGGTCCACCTGAAGGGCAGTGGCTGTCTACCCCTGTCCTTCCCTACTTCCATATCCTTCCCTGTCTCAGCAAGGGGCACCACACACACCCAGTTGTCAAGAGAAACCCAGGAATCCTCCTTCCTTTCTTTCATCTAAAGTTCAAATGTCTTCTCTCCAGATAGGCCTTCTCTGCCCACAGCAATGAAAATAGCTCCCCGTCCCCTCTGTATTTCCCATCACTGCACAAGCTTACTTTCCTGGACGCATTATCTCTATGGGGAATTATCTTGCTATGTGGGTGTGTGTGTGTTCACATCCTCCTGCCCCCTCCAGAATGCAACTCCCTGAGAGCAGGGCTGTCTTTCCTGTTCACTTCTGTACACTCAGTACTAGCCTGACTCGTTGCCTTGTGTTGCCCCAGGGCTGACTTAGGCGGGGTGGGCTAAGTATCCTTTGGTGCTACGGATGGCATGACACAGAACAAATTGGCCTATGAGAGAGTGAGCTCCTTGTCACAGAAAGCATTCAAATAGAGACAGAACAAACACCGTTACTTCTCACACCTACAGTGCCATATTGTGGGATACAATGATTGTCAAGACTGGTCCCATTTGGCCTCTCCGGCCTCACTGTTTTCTGATTGTGTCCTGTTCATTGACACCTCCCTGTCTGCTTGTGCTGTTATTATGCCTGGAAGGCCCTCCCTTTATCCCTTGCTTGGAAACTCATTCTCACCTGTATTTGAAAAGTCATGCTCTATGAAGTCACCTTCTACCCATCAGACAGAACCAAGTCCTCCTTTGTCCTGCTCTTGGGTTTCTTTTGGTGTGCCTGGTTGTAGCTCTAACCACTGTGGATATGTTTCCTTGTGTGTTCCTGGCAATAGGCCCAAATCTTCTACGGCCAAGGCCGTTAGCTCAGCATCCCCAGGCCTGGCATGGGGCTGCCATGGTACCCAAGGGATGCTTGGCAGTTGTTTGCAGCAGAGGCATGATGGGAGTTTTGGCAGGCAGGTAAGATATACAGCTCCCCTAGTTGACTCTTCTGCCCCTGGCGCATGCTTCTCAGCTCCTCTGATTTTGCAGTCACCTGTTGGTCCTTTCTGCTGACGCTGGGCTCAGCTTGAGAGCCTCTCAACCGTCTCCCCAGAAAAGATGTTGAACATGTTACTGTCCAGATCCCAGATGAGCCCAAGTCCCAGCTCAGGCTATTGACTGAGAGCCAGTGCCTGGTGGGGAGCCCCAAGCCCGAGTGCCCCTTACAGGGCCCAGATGGATTGTTCTGCGGAGACCCCCACAAAGAGATAACATCTTTTGAGAGGCTGGGGCTGGCTGAGGATAAAAAAGGTGAGCCCTAAAGATCCTCACTCTCAGTCTACACCAGAGATACAGAGGACAGAAGCAGGAGCAAGTCGGGGAGGATTAGGGAGGGGTGTTCTAGGGGTGAGTCAGCCTGGGCTCATCCATGCTGAGCGTTTAGGGGAGCTTGGGCCACCTGAGGCAGAGTGCCAGTGTTGGGGCAGGCTGGGTTCACAGGGTGCATGTCTGCAGTAGAGAACACTGGAGGGACACTGTGGAAAGGCACCCTGAACCTGCAGTCGGGAGCCACGGGTTCCAGTCTGGCTCTGCCACTTCCTAAGCGTATAGCCTTGGGCAAGAGTCTCAAATTCATCCCAGCCTCAGTTTTCTCATCTGCGAAAGAGGATCCTAGGAATTTAGCACTGTGCTGTGCACTAATGATTTAATCTTCATGACATCTCTGTGAGGTAAGTAGTATTATATTTCCCAGATGAGGAAACGGAGGCTTAGGCCACCTAATCTGCACCGAGCCACACAATTGCCCAGTGCTGGGGTTTGAACCTGAACCCTGTCTAGCTGTGAAGCCCAGTTTTCAGCCACTGCTCCACATTGCCTTGCAATGCCTGTGGGGCCTTGCTCCCAGGGTTGCTGTGACCATCTGAAGAGATGATAGCTGATTACGGCTGAGGGGCCCAGCATAGTTCAGGTGCAGGACCCCTACAGTGTGGCCTCGGGCTCAGGACACCCACTTCTCCCTGACACTGCTCCCCTCCTCCTCTCCTCCTCCCAGCTCATGCTGGGCTGCCCCTGGGGGCAGGTGCAGGCTGGTGCCCTCTCTGCCTGCTTCTGCTGCTGCTAAACTTTACACTGGGCTCTGTCATTAGCCCGACAACAAGCTCCCTGTTTGACTAGCCCTGTCCAAATTTGCTCGGTGCGAGCAGGAGCCCATGGTAAGTAAACGGTTTTCTGTGGATATTTGAGCACTAATGAAGAGGCAGCGAGCGGGGCCCATTAATAACTGAGGAGATGATTGTGTTTGCAGAAGGCCCGTATACAGGGTGTCAGCCTGCCAGGCAGGGCCCGCCTCCTTATTGATTTCCCAATAAGCCGAAGTGGAGCTCTTGTTCTCATCCCAGGCGGGAGGTATCCTCTGTGCAGCCCCTGGGTTGGATCTCCTTTCCCTGGGTGCTGGAATCCTGGAGAGGCACTCAGCCTGGGTTTCAGGTAAGAGTAGGGTTTTCATTCATTCGTTCATTCATTCATTCATTCATTCATTCATTCATTCAACATGCATGGATTGAGTATCTTTTATGTTTGGCCACTTTACCAATAGACAAGTCCCTATCCTTACCTAGAAACACAGCCTGCCTTTGACCTCAGTGGGGGACTTCGTCCTTGATACCTCTGGGCAGACACGTAGGCAAAAACTGAGTCCTTGTCTGTTTGGACTTTGGATCATGCACCAGGTGGTACCTGTCATCATATGCTGCCCATCAGGGTCCCCTGCAATCATTTTGAACTGACCAACTCCCTTGTCTGTGACAGGAGATGGCCCTCTGAATGGCCCTACAGGATGGCATCTTCTTCTCCATGTTGTCCTTTAACCTTGAGATCCCGCAGGCTCAGCTTGGGAATTTCTGGCTTTAGGTTGGGAGAAGGGCTGCTGGGCAGAGCGGAGGCCCGTTTGTCCTCCTCCCCGTTGGGAAACTTCCAGGTCCTGAGCTCTCCAGGGAGATGCCACAGCAGGTCCAGGTCCAGGGTTCCAGAAGGGCTGCCAGGACCCCCAACCTGAGCCTGGTTGGGTGGGTAATTTCTGGTCTGTCTTGCAGAGGACACCAGGACGATCAAGGCCAATATCCTAGCTGATGAGCTCGTATTCTGATAGAGGAGACTGAACTGTAAGCAAATGATTGGAGAAAAAAATATGTTGAGAGGCATGAATCCAGGGATGTGGGAGCAGAGAGGGTGGAAGAAGGCAGGAAAGACTTCCCAGAGGAGGGACATTTGAGCAGGTCCTTTAAGGCTGGCTGGAGGCTTATAGAAGCCACAGTGACTGATCCCATTGGTGGAGGAGGAACAGGATAGTCTGCCATTGGCTGCAGTCTTGCAGCAAAGAGACCTAGACTTGTGTCTCCTGGCCCGGGTAGGTTTGTTGGGTAGGTTCTTTAACCCTGAGATCCAACAGGCTCAGCTTGGGAATTTCTGGCTTTAGGTTGAGAGAAGGGCTGCTGGGCAGAGCAGAGGCCCACTTGTCCTCCCCATTGGGAAACTTCCAGGTCCTGAGCTCTCCAGGGAGATGCCACAGCAGGTCCAGGGCTCTTTCCTGTCTTCTACCACCCTCTCTGCTCCCACAGCCCTGGATTCATGCCTCTCAACATATGATTTTTTTTCTCCAATCATTTGCTTACAGGTCAGCCTCCTCTATCAGAATATGAGCTCATCAGCTAGGATATTGGCCTTGATCATCCTGGTGTCCTCTGCAAGGAGACTTGTGTCTCCCGGCCAGGGTAGGTTTTTTCCTAAGAAAGTCCTCTCAGAAGGTTCTTGAGTTGGGATTGGGGTCTCGGGGTTGAGGCTGGGATGAGATACTCCCAGAAACAAATCCTCCTGGACTGGGTGTTAGTGTTTACATCTCTTGCCCCATTAGAGTACACATGTGAAAAGATGAAGGAAGGTGTGGGGTAGAAGTCAGTAGACTCAGATGCGCATCCTAGTCCTGCCATTAGCTGGGAGAGTGACTCCCTTCTTGAAGACTCCATTTCCTTGTCTGTAGAATAGAGCTGATAATACCTACCTCAAGGCATTCTGGGGAGAACCGACTGGAGTAATAAGTGATAAAGAAAAGCCGTGCTGCTCTAAGAGGCTGTCAGTGCACTGAGAAACGCAACCCGAGCATCTGTATTTAACTTTGGTCCCTAAACAGAGACACATACATTCCACACACACTGTACCAATCCCCCCTTGCTACAGCCTTGGGCTCAGGGTGCATCGCTAGATAACAGAAGGGACTGTACTACTGGAGCCCAGGGCCAGAATATAATGCTGGGGTCCAAGGAAATGAGTGAGGAGGACTGAGGCAGATGCTGAGCTAGTCGTAAGGAAGCCCGGCTCGCATGGCATCCTCTCTCATGGGACACAGAGGCAAGGCTGCTGGCTGAAGTATCCTCTACCAGAGGGACCCTAGTGCTTGGGACCAAGGGGGCAATCCAGAGCCTCCCTGGGGACCTAAAAGAATTTTGAGAATAAGCGTCTATACTGGGCCGGCTCCCTCAGCCTTTTCTTCTAGCCCAGACTACCTACTATTTTTCTTACCCATTTTCAAGTTCCAGGAAGTCCAGCCAAGGGCTGCGGAGAGGCAGGCCTTCTGCTGGGCTGAAATCTCCAGATCAATGGGTGTCTCTTTGGCCTATTTATTCTAAGGCAGAAGATGGGGTCCTGGCAGTAGAGACCTCCTTTCTACCATCCTCACGGCCACACTGCTTTGCACGCACTACTTACTGTTTGTCACTGAGAGATGAAAAGCACCAACCCCAGTGCCCCCATCAATTCCTATCCCCCAGGCCCAGGAGAGTAAGGAAGTTTGAAATGGAAGGCTGCTCAATTATGCATCTGGGCCCCTTTCCCAGGGTGGGGACCTGTCTCTCTCCTGGGGATCTGGTCTATACCCAGCAGAAGAACATCTTTGGTAAGACAGAAAAAGTGACATTCAGTTATACTTGTGGTTCCCAACCCTGATTGTACTTTA
Source organism: Homo sapiens (assembly GCF_000001405.40). NCBI lineage: Eukaryota > Metazoa > Chordata > Mammalia > Primates > Hominidae > Homo > Homo sapiens. Next base: position 116,592,993 of record NC_000011.10, on the reverse strand, counting down.
GAATCACCTGGAGATTGCAGGTGATGCCGGGACCCCACTCCAGACCAATTAAATCAGTGTCTGTGGGGTGGAGCCCAGGCATCTTTATCCTAAAAAGTGACCTGCAGCTGGGAATGATGGCTCATGCCTGTAATTCCAGCACTTTGGGAGGCCAAGGTGGGAGGATCACTTGAGCCTAGGAGTTCAAGACCAGCCTGGGCAACATAGTGGAACTCCATTTCTACAAAAAATCAAAAGTCAGTCAGGCGTGGTGGTGCGTGCCTGTAACCCCAGCTACTCAGCAGGCTGAGTTGGGAGGATTGCTTGAGTCTGGGAGGTAGAGACTTCAGTGAGTTATGATTGTGCCACTGCGCTTCAGCCTGGGTGACAGTGAGACTCTGTCTCAAAAAAAAAAAAAAATTCTGCCTAAATGGTTTTGATGCATAGTGAGGGCAGAGAACTTCTGACTTGGAGAAGGTTTATCTTCTGGGTATTGTCTCTCCCGTCCTGCACGTAGGACTTACAGTATCTGAAGTCTCCTTTGATTTCCATCAAGGGGAAAAAGGGATGAAACCTACTGCCTGAGTGCCTGAGACAGAGGTCAGGAGGAAGAAGCACCTGGACCCTGGGAGGGAAGAAGAGAGGACCCAAGATCTAAGAGGGGATGAGGGAGCAGAAGGATGAACCCCCAGATATCAGTCGAGGAGACTTGGTAGGGAGGGAGGTAGAGAGCTGCTTTGTACTCTCTTCTGGTCTGTGTGCATGCTTGACTGTCTGATGAGAAGATTTATTTCTGAGAATGGGCTGACCTTCTTGTGCTTCCAGCTGCTAAGAGCACAGTTAGGGGTACATTTGGGGAGTTACCCTTTGGAATTTTGGATCTAACATCCAGGGCCCTGCTGCACTGCAGATGAACACTGTTTGTGCTGAGATTCTGTTTTCACACTGTCTAATTGCTGGACTCAGGGTACAGAGATGGAGGGAGAGTCAGTATGAGCTGTGGAATGCCACCAGAAAGCCCTAGGGATATGGAGACAACCACACTGAGATGGGAATTGTAATTTGAGAAAGAATTTCCAGGTGAAGAGCCAGACTCCTGGGACACTCAGAGCACTGGGAAAAAAAAAAAAGACTAACAAATTCCTGTGTGAAATTTTCAGCTGGAAATTTTTTTTAAAAATGTAGCCTTAATGGACAAATGGACACCTAATTCCTGAAGACGTTCTTTTTTTTTTTTTTAAGGCTAGAGGAGGTCAGGGCAGAAATGCAGGAACTTATTCCTGGCTTTTGTCCTGCACCATCATCTGAGGCCGGACCCCCTGGGGTTCTGGCTGCTGATGAGGAACTGGATATTGAGGGTCAAGTCAGCTCTGGAATCACTGGTACTAACTGCCAGTTGGTGAGAACCAATAGTTCTTCCAGAAACTGGAGGATGGTACTAGGAATATGCTGCTGAGAATGAAAGAAAAAAGGTTTGAGTCATAGTAGAATCTGTGTAGAAATGGCACAGGGTGGCCAAGCTTGTGTGTAGGGAGATGCCGCTGTTCAGGGCACACAAAGAGTAATTAATATGACCCCTCACAGGAGCTGTTCGTGGACCCAGAGGCATGCAGACTCACGTGTCTGCGCAGTGCTGGCCCCCTGCCCTGGAATGAACACATGGCCATGTGGGAGGAATGGCTTTCTCCTCCCTCAGCATTTTACCTTGGCCCATATAGAGGAACTCCAGCCCTTTTGGAAACAGTGATCAGAGCTGCTTCTGCTTATCCCTCCATGCTCTCAATTGCTCTCTCTCTCTTTCTCCAAGTGGGTAATGTGATAAGAAGTGGGGCCGGCACAGGGGTGGCACAGGCACCCTTCCTTGCTCTGCTGTCAGGGCCGCCCTGCCTTCAGGGAGCCTGCATTCCACCCGTCCTCACTGGAGCAAGGTCTACCCCTGCACAGAAAAGACGTGCAGTTCTGAGTGCAGGTGAAAGTATCAAGAGCCCAGCTGTGGATGTAGACCCAAGCTATGCTTGCCAACCCAGCCTTCTGGGTAACAAAGCCGATGATGGCTCCTGTTCCCATGAAAGGGACAGATATTTCAGCCAAGCAGCAAAGAATTGCTCACTTGGGTTAGGGGAGAGAAAGCGTTGAAGGAGAGGAAGGTGGCATGAGTGAAGTGGTGGAGGTTCCCAGAGAAGGGAACTAGCAAACAAGGCAGAAGGAGAAGGCAGGAGGCTGGCCACCATGGGCCTTGAGTGCCACGCTGAGAAGTTCAAGCTTATTGGACAGACATATGAGAGCTACGGAAGTTTGTTTATGACAAAAATCAGAATCTAAGATTCTGATAACTTGGCCACTGAATAGAAGGAAGGAGTAAGAGAGGTCATGGGGGGGGTGAGGGGTCATGGGGAAGTCTGGGGTTTCGAGTGTGGTGGTGTGAAAGCTGCAGATGGCATCTGAGAAGCTAGGGGGTGAGGAGGAGGAGGGTGGGGAAAAGACAATGACCTTGGTGGCAGACATTTTGGGACTGAGCTGGTGTAGGACAGCCAGAGAGGAATGTCCAGCAGAAGCCTTGGGAGGGAGGCTGGAGCCCTCTCAGGAGGTGGGGAGGCCTGGAGTTTAGATAGGAGAGCCATCATTATGTGAGAATGGAGCCGTGGAGGGAGAGAGGGCATGGTGGGAGGGGGCATCTGGAGATACGGCGATGAGAACACACTCACATGGGGCTCAAAGGCAGAAAGAGGTGGTGAAAGGGGCAGACAGGGATGGCCAGAGGGGCAGAAAGTGGTAAAGCAGCCATGGAGTACTGCCCAGATCAAGGCCTGGGAGGGCTCCAGACTCTGAGTTGAACTTAAGAAGAAGAATGCTGTCCAAAGTGAGAAATGCCACTCAGAAGTCAGAGAGGATGGGGTCTCAGATGGCTCTTAGAGGTGGTCACTGGGGGGTCATTAGTGTCCTCAGCTGTATCAATAGCCAGACTGCAGGGGCTTGAGGGACCAACAGGTGGGGAGGAAGTAGAGGGGCCAGGTCAGACCCCACTTGGAAGTTGGTAAGGGTAGGGGAGAGGGAACCAGAGCTCAGTAGTTCAAGGGAGAGGCAGGTGTATGTGTAGAAGAGTCTGGGAATGGAAGGATGTGTATGTCATGGTTTCCTCACTGGACTTCCTCTTGGGAACTGGATGTTTCCCTTCCTCCTGGCAGGGGATGAGACAACAGCCACCTTAACAGGGCTGGATGGTTGGCCAGGCTGCTGATTGCACAGTGAGTGTGGGGACGACGAGATTCACCAGGAAGCGGTTGGGACTGCTCCAGGCCTGCTTCTCTTTATGCCCATGGCTGGTGGCTTCATTCTGAGCTCCTGGGAGGGGACCAGGTTCATTCCCTCCTATCTACGTACCTCTGTCCTTGCTACCTGGCCCACAGGGAGGCAGCAGTCCCAGCTCCTTACCTGTTGCTGCTGCTGCAGACACCACCTATGGCTCTGAGAGTGCTCAGGAAAACTGGTGGGGCCATGAGTTAGTTTGAGAGGCACATAGCAGTGCTCCTAATTAGAAGTACTCCAACTGACTCCCACACTGTCCTCAAAATCATCCTTCAACAAACGAGACTCCCCTGTTTCTCACTGACTAAGGTTCAAGCTCCTTAGCACAGCCGATGAGGGCCGGCACCATGTTAGCCCTGCGATTTTTTCAGCCAGACTTGGATTTCTTATGTGCCTTGTGTCCCCAACTCTCCAGTCCTGCCAAATGTCTCCTGGTCCTTTGAACATCTTGCTATGCTTTTTCAGATGCTGAGCCCAGTGCCTGGGATCACCTTCTCCCTCTTGTCTCACAGATAAGTCCTGCCCATTTTTGAAGACTGATATGGTTTGACTGTGTTCTCAGCCAAATCTCATCTTGGATTGCTCCCATAATTCCCATATGTTGTGGGAGGGACCCAGTGGGAGATAATTGAATCACGGGGGCAGTTTCCCCCATACTGTTCTCGTGGTAGTGAATAAGTCTCATGAGATCTGATGGTTTTAAAAGGGGAAACCCCTTTCACTTGGCTTGCTTTCTCTCTTGTTTGCCACCATGTGAGACATGTCTTTTGACTTCCACCATGATTGTGAGGCCTCCCCAGCCACGTGGAATGGTGAGTCCATTAAACCTTTTTATCTTTATAAATTACCTAGTCTTGGGTATGTCTTTATCAGCAATGTGAGACCAGACTAATACAAAGACCCAGCTCATAGGCCACCTCCTCTGGAGAGCTTTCCTGTTGCCTCCCTTTCCTTTGGAGATCCTATCATGGATATTGTTGACAGTTTACCAAGTTCCAGTTTCTTTTTTTTCTTTCTTTTTTTTTTTTCTGTAGAGGTGGGGTCTCACTATGTTGCCCAAATTGGTCTTGAACTCCATGCTCAAGCAGTCCTCCCACCTTGGCCTCCCAAAGTATTGGGATTACAGATGTGAGCCACTGTGCCCAGCCCCCATTTCTACTTCTAAAAATTCACAACAAACCTGATTTTGTTTGGGTGCTCTCCACTCTCCCACATAGCCAGAGGCTTTAGGGGAACGTAGACTCCCCATGACTCCCGAGCTTCAGGGTTGAGTCTTATTGGTCCAAAATAAACCCAGTCCCCATGCCAGTGACTGGTTCAGGAATTGGGACTGTATCCCATATTTGGGCCAATAAGATGCACAAAATGTAGATTAGGGAGCTTTATGAAAAAAATCTTATTGCTTCTAGAAGAGAGCTATGGGAAGAGAAAAATTAACCTTCTTCTTTTATGCTGTACACCGTTAGGTCTGGAAGGCATGCCTCACCAAACTGAAGTTGAAGCCAAAACCTGGAGGAAGGATAGAGGGAAGACAGAGGCCGGGTGCAGTGCCTCACACCTGTAGTCCCAGCACTTTGGGAGGCCATGGTGGGTGGATCATGAGGTCAGGAGTTCAAGGCCAGCCTGGCCGACAGGGTGACCCCCATCTCTACTAAAGATACAAAAAATTAGCCAGGCATGGTGGCATGGGCCTGTAATCCCAGCTACTCGGGAGGCTGAGGCAGGAGAATTGCTTGAACCTGGGAGGCGGAGGTTGCAGTGAGCCGAGATCACACTGTTGCACTTCAGCCTGGGTGACAGGCAGGGCGAGACTCCATCTCAAAAAAAAAAAAAAAAAAAAAAAAAAAAAAAAGGACTGGGGTTTCCAGTCTTACTGTCAAGCCCATGCATCAGCCACTCCTGCATCCTGTCTGACCCCTGGACTTCCTACTACATTAAATAACACATTTTCCTTATTATTTAAGTCAGTTTTGTTTTTTGTTACTTGCAACCAAATGCTTGCTAACGGACACAGTTCCAGTAGTCGTTTTTTTTTTTTTTTTTTTTTTTTTTTGAGATGGAGTTTTGCTCTTGTTTCCCAGGCTGGAGTGCAATGGCGTGATCTCAGCTCGCCACAACCTCTGCCTCCCGGGTTCAAGCGATTCTCCTGCCTCAGCCTCCCGAGTAGCTGGGATTACAGGCACCTGCCACCGTGCCTGGCTAATTTTTGTATTTTTAGTAGAGACGAGGTTTCTCCATGTTGGTCAGGCTGGTCTCGAACTCCCAACCTCAGGTGATCTGCCCGCCTGGGCCTCCCAAAGTGCTGGGATTACAGGTGTGAGCCACCATGCCCGGACCCCAGTAGTAGTTTTTACATGTTCAGTGAGATCATGTTGTATTCCAGACTGGGAGATTGTCACCCGGTCACACTCATGTCTCTGTCCCTGGATCTTGGAATGCAGGTAAAATGTGGATTGAATAAGTGAATGGATGGGCTCAGGCATTAGGTTGTTCTGCCCTGAGTCCGCGGTAGCACCAGTTCCCTCCCTCTTCGAGAAGTTTCAAATCCTTCACCAGCATTCTGTCCTTGCTCCCTTCTTGGTATGGCTGGCCTGAGTTAGAGAAAAACCAGGCTTCAGGGACTTTCTTGATGCCATGCTGTGGGCTGGCATCCGAGCTGGGGCCACAGGTTGGGGTTTTAGGGTCCTGGACTGACACTTAGAATGTGCCAGGAACTGTGCTAAGGAGGTAGAGATAAATGGCATACAGTCCCTGCCTCACAGATTCAGTCTCCAGTCAAACAAGTCAGTAAGGAAACACAGAGGCATGATACAATTGCAGCTGGTGTGAACCACTGCACAAACCTGCAGCAAAAGCACAATCACATTTTAAAATTTGGTTGCCTGCAAGCCCACCTTCCTGATGAGCAGCTAGCCTGGGATCTCCCTCTTGAGTCTCCCTCCCCCAGGCCTCTTGAACTCTTCATTGACCCTAGTAGCATACTTGGTCCAAATGGGGTTGCCTTCTTCCAAAGCCAAGTGCAGAGACTTCATCAGCCTAATGGCCCAGCATGACTGGAACTTGCTGCAGTGCTCTGCACAGCCCGCGGGCTCCAGTTCTCAGACCCTAAGGCCTCTGCCAGACCACAGTGGGGCGCCAGGGCCTTCAAACCTTCAGCACACATGGATCTCACTCATACCCTCAGCGGTTATTTCCAAAGTACAAACTCCATCCAGTGGTCTCTGGGCGTGGAGGATCTTCTGCACCACACACATGGTTTGCCCAAACCAGTACTCTCCCATGAACTTCTATGGCCCTCTTTCAGGCCCAGATCGCTCACCTGGACATCCTTTTTCCTTAAGATAACTTAGAGTCCTGAATTTTACAGGACTTTAGTTCAGCAGCAAGTCTCCCTGACCTGTTGAGTCGTAGAGAGCTCAGGAAGTTAGGCCATTTATTTCTTTCCTCCCAAAAGTCTCTGGGCTTTTTATGTAAATTGGGCTTCTGCCCCAGCCATAAAAAGGTAAGGTAAATATTGTTAAACCACTTAAAAAAACAAAAAACAAAAACAACAATAGAATACTCAAAGCACAGATTTGGTTACATCTTGATCCTTTGAACAATGAACGCCTTCTAGCGTCATCTTTGTGTACGTAAGAGGGTTCCTCAGTTGACACTTGGCAGGACAAAGAAGATCAGCTTCACAAGGCAAGAGCCCATATAAGTGACCACTTATTATACGGAAGTGAGAGGTGAATTGTTTCCAAGATTGGCATGTAGAGTGAGGGGAAGGCAAAGGAGAAAGGCTTCAGAAAAGTGAGGCTGTAACAAGAACCCCCATCCCCCAACATTTTATTATGAAAATTCTCAAGCATACAGAGAAGTTGAAAGAATTTTTCCGTGAACACTCAACCCACTGCTTAGGTTCTACTATTATCATTGTATGATACTTAATTCATCACATCTATCCCCATCTGTCAATTAGCTTTACTGATTAACGGCTTTACTGCTAATTTTATTCATACCATAAAATTCACCCATTGTAAGTATACAGTTCAATGATTTTTAGTAAGTTTATACCTTTATGCAACTATCACCACAATAGAGTTGTAGAATACTTATTAATACTTCCATCACTCCCAAAGACCCCCTTCATGCCCGTATGCTGTCAATTACTACTCCTACTCCAGGCTCAAGGCAACTACTGACCTGCCTCCAACCTCTATGTGTTTAACTTTTCTGGAAATTTCATGTAAATGGAATATGTAATACAGCGGTCCCCAACCTTTTTGGCACCAGGGACCGGTTTTGTGGAAGACACTTTTTCCACAGACCAGGGTGGGGATGGTTTCGGGATGATGCAAGCACATTACACTCATTGTGCACTTTATTATTACATTGTAATATATAATAATTCTACAGCTCACCATAATGTAGAATCAGTGGGAGCTCTGAGCTTGTTTTCCTGTAACTAGACAGTCTCATCTGGGGGTGATGGGAGACAGTGACAATGTTAGATCAACAGGGCATTAGATTCTTATAAGGAACATGCAACCTAGATCCCTCGCATGCACAGTTCACAATAGGGTTCACGCTCCTATGAGAATCTAATGCCCTACCGACCTAACAAGCAGGCAGAGCTCAGGTGGCAATGTGAGCCATGGGGAGTGGCTGTAAATACGGATGAAGCTTCACTCACCTGCCAGCCCCTCACCTCCTGCTGTGTAGCCAGTTTCCTACCAGGCCACGGACCAGTAGGGGACCCCCGACATAATACATAATCTTGTGTGTCTGTCTTCTTTGACTTAGCATAATGTGTTTGTGGTCCATTCTTGTTGTTGCATGTAACAGTAGTTCGTTTCTTCTGGTTGCTGAGTTCTATTCCATTGTATGGCTGTACCACAGTTTCTTTATCCATTCACCAGGTAAGTGGGCATTTGGATTGTTTCCAGTTTGGGACTAGTATGAATCATGGTGCCGTGCACCTTCCTGTAAAAGTTTTTGTGTGGACATATGTTTTCTTTGCAAGGTTTTAAAGGCTAAGTAGGACCAGGTTTGTTAAAACCAGAGGGAAGCATTCCTGGTGGGATGCATGTGCAAAGACTCAGAAAATTAAATCCCTTTTTGTTTGCAGGGGATGGCAGGAGTTCAGTGTCACAGAGGAGTGCGATAAAGAGGTAGCAGGGGCTGGACCACAAAGCCTGGGGCACCGTGCTCAGGGGAGGCAGGTGTGGATTATATCTTAAAGGCTCTAAGGAACCTTGAGGAGTTTTATAGGAACCAACATGGTCAGAAGTGCTCTGTAGAAAGATCATTGTGTTGTGGCTTAGAGAATTGGGCCAGTTAGAAAAGTATTGTAATTGTTAGGTGAGAGACACAAGGTTCTAAACCTGGTCCTGGGTTGGGAGCATGGGGGTTGGTGGGTGGATTGGATAGATTGAGACTGTGTGTATGTATGGGTCATCAGGGAGGGGAAGACATGGAGTGTCGCGGGGGCAGCTGAGTGATCCAGCCTTGCTCAGTTCCACGAACACCCCTTCTCCAGCAAGGAGGCAGCCCCAGCTCTCTTCTCGCCAACCTGTGTGTGGCTCTCAAGGTTAGTGCCATGGGGGTCAGTGCTGTTTAAATGTTGATTACAGAGACGGTGGGAGCTGCTCAGATTTCTAATTAAGATTAAAGAATGTACCCGGCTTATAAATGGTTCTAGGAATGTATAATTTGATTAGCCTGTTTTCTGCGGGCGCTTTAATTTCTGGATTAGTGAACGTGGCCTCTGACTGTGGTAGGGCTGCTTACCCACCACACGCAAAGTTTGGGGCCTTACAGGGCATTGGGAGTTGGGTGAAGATGGGGAGATGGTAGGGTAAGATGAGGAGTGAGCTCTGGGGAAATAGGCCAGGCCAGAGTGGTACTTCTTTTTCTTCTCCTCTTTTTCCCCACTTAGAGAGAAGAATGAAGGATGTGCAATTTCAGATCAAAAAGGACCCAAAATATTTACTATAAAATAAATGTGCTCACCTGGACCTCACTTACATTCATTTACTGCTGCCCAAAGGCACATAGGCCAGGTCCTCCCACTCCTGCATCCAGTCCTCTTTCTCCCCTCTTTCTCATTTTGAGCCCAGCCTGCCAACATTCCCTGCAGGACCCAGCCTGTAGGGCAGAGGTCATTTTAGGGATCATTGTTGGCATTCACAGGATGCTCCATTGTCAATCATAATTGCCATGACAACTCTAGGGCCCATTCAGCAGCTGCCCCTTTCCATTGGACCCTGGGCACTGCCAGTGAGGGGCCTGGTTGACAGCAAGCTCTGGTTGCCATGGGAAGTCATATCTGCCCTGTGGGAAGCCTCCTATGTGTCAGGGCAGTCACCTGCCACCCTCCTCACATCCCTTGTCCTCCTGCCCCAGGCCATTTTATGACTTTTGTGGCCCCTTAGGCACTTTGGCTTTCATGGGTTCCTTTCTCCATTAAAAAAACTCACTATGACTGTATTAGTAGACAGATGAATAAGTTAATATTGTATATTAAAATACTTTATTCTCTCTGAAAGCTCATTTATTTTCTTCTGATGTTAAAAGAAATCAAAACATTTCCATAGGCTCCTAAAAGTGTTGTGAGCCCTCGGCCCTGAGCCTCCTGCAACTAGTGGATAAGGGGGTCTTGTGTACCCCAAAGCTCCTGACAGGCAGCACACCTGTCTGCCCACTGACCCAGTGACAGGTGGCACAACCTCTGCAGAAGTCCTCAGAGGAAGGCTGTCCGAGCTCTGCCCTCGGGCTGTCCCGGCGGAAGAGCAGGGGGCTTGCAGCGCCACACAGAGTGGGCCATCGGCTCCCTAGCCTCTCTTCACCCACACTCTGAGAGCAAGGCACTCCTGTAGAGAGGACCAAACATTCCCCACCCTCCACCAGGCCTGCCAGATGGCCCTGCCTCCCTGGGATCCGCCTGCACTTTTACCTGGCTGACTGCTGAGAGTTTCTGTGCAATGCTCAGCTCTTGGTGGGCAGGGGTTCTCAAGGAGGGTTTGGAGGAATGCCCGTTATCTAGACTGCCTGAGGAGTGTGTGTGTGTGTGTGTGTGTGTGTCTGTGTGTGTGTGTGTGTGTGTGTGTGTGTGTGAAGTGTTTAAAGCAGATTCCAGGGGCTCTAACACAGACTGTTATATCAGAATCTCTGGCTGGGCCATAAATCCGCCCTTTAAGGGACTCCCCCAGTGATTTCTAGCCCTCTTGGGCTCAGGGAAGGTTGAGAAGCCTGGCGTCCCTGGCGTTGGCAAAGGGCATGAACTCAGCCTCCTGGCGTCTGCTTCCTTCTCGGAGGCCTCCACTACTTGCTTCTCCAGTTCACCTCGGCCTGGAGTTCAGCACACACTATTCAACAGCATGTTAGGAATTACGGGGGTGAAAGGGGTTGGTGGCGTCCAACCCCCTGCTTTGCAGAGCTTATGAACTCTTTTCCCAGGAGGTGGGGAGTACCCTCCCCCCAACTCCACTCTGCCTCATTCAAGAGGCTGGTCTTCGCATGCCTCTGAGGACGATGTCTGGGCACACAGCTCTACCCACCAGCTTCTAAAGACAACAGGAAATGTCCCTGGGTATGCTTGTTGTTGGATAAATGCCCAATTTCAGGAAAGCGGTGGTGAGCAACAGAGTATGGGAGGATTACATGTGTGCAAAGAATTACAGCTTCAGCCTCTCTCAGAAAAGTGGGCTTGGAGACATCACAAGGAGTCTGGGGACAGCAAACCCAGGCTCTAGCCCTAGTCCTGCTAACATTTCTGAGCCTCAGTTGCTCATTAGGACCTAATCGGATGATGCATATAAATGCACTTTGTAGACTGTCAATTCCATATCATTCATGGTTGTTTTTCACTGGGATGTGTTCTAAGTGTTGCTGGAGTTATTCGAAGCGTATGTCCCCCCAGCACTGAAGGAGGAGCTGGATACCAATTGGGTTCTGCTTCCCACTGGCAGTGGTGTGGGGGCCCCTCGGGGTCTGGGCTGTGTATTCATCATCCCTAATAAAGGCGGGAGAAGGGAATACTAGCTTGGTTTTACAACTTCTAGGGCAGTCTTACTCTGAGGGCAAGGCCAAGATCTGCCAGAAGTACAGCCTGGCACAGCCAGAACAAACTCTGAGCTCGGGTGTCTGTCTCCAAAGTCCTTCAGCCCTGGCCCGGGCCTTATAAGAGATCTGGATTGGGCAATAGTGTCTTTAGTCGATGGGGGCGAGCTTCTGGAGTCTGCCTGGGGAAAACCCTGAGAGATTTAGGAAGACACGGTGCTTAGGGAAGTCCACGCCCCGGAAGACTCGCCCCAGGTCGCTGCGTGGACTCCGACTCCTTCCCCAACACTGGAGGCCCTCCTGAGTGAGGCCTTCCCGGGCGTCCCCTCTCTCTTACCCGGAGGGGGACGGATACACCTGCAGTTAGCTGTGTCTCGTGCCCCGCTGCTCTCCCTACCCCTTTCTGCCCTGGTGTCCCAATTTTCGGAGGGCCTGGGAAAGGGATCTGAGCCAGCAGGGGTGGGGGGCGCGGTCTGGCTGCGGTCCCCGCGTTCCACCCGGCCGCCTGTTGGCTAGGGGACACTCCTGGCTCTCCGCACCGCTCGGGAAGCGTGTTGGGACGGGGCTAATGATAATTAACACTTGGGGCGCGTTTTGTCTTCCAAGTGCTTTACAAACACGACCTAATTAGCCTGCGGGGAGGAGCGGCGCCACTGAAACGCTGTCTTTATTATTCAATTCCGTACCGTCTGGAGCGGGCGGCCGGGCGCGTGAGGGCTGGCGGGGAGGAGGCGCTTGAGGAAGGCTCCGCGGGGTTGAGACTCGCCTTGCAGTTCGGCCCATTCTTACGCATCCCATTAAATCTTTGTCGCACTGGAGAATAGCTTGAACCCGGGAGGCGGAGGTTGCAGTGAGCCGAGATCGCGCCACTGCACTCCAGCCTGGGCGACAGAGCGAGACTCCATCTCAAAAAAAAAAAAAAAAAAAAAAAAAATCTTTGCCGCAATCTAGACAGATGGCTAGGCCCTGGTGCTCAAAGAGATTAAGTGACATGTCCAAGACCACACAGCTGATACGGGTGTGCGGCCACTCCAACCCGGGCCGCGAACCGCAAAGCTCCAGGTCTTGGTCGCTTTCCCCGGGCGCCTCGCGGGCCCTGCGCGGGGAGGCTCGGGGCAAACGCCCGGCTCGTGGCCTCCGGGCGCAGGGACGAAGGCGGGCGGCGGAGCGCGCGCTGCCGGGTGGGCGGAAACTGTTGCGAGCGCAAAGCTCCCCTCTACACCTGAGCGGGGGACAGATGTGCATCAATATTTATTCGGAACTCCCAGGAAACCTGGATGAAGTGTAATTATCTCAGCTCAATCAGCTTGGATTAGCATAACATCAAGTCACCCATCAGACGGAGGGTTTGATTTCGGGGATCAAAGCGACGGCTGTAGCCGCTGATTAATCGGGGAGAAGGAAGCGGCGAGAAGAAAGCGGCGCCGGCTCTGCTAGCCACAGCTGCACCGCTTTGAAGCGCCGGTGGTGCCAAGTTAACTTTGCCGGCCGCCCCCGCCGCTCCTCGGACCCGCTGCGCCCGCCGGGTCCGCGGGTTTTAGCGCCGCTCCCTGGGCTGCGAGTCGCCGGCTCTAAAATAAACCGTGCCCCCTGCCCACCCGGGGCTGTGTTGGGGGACTGTTTTTCCTCGGTCTAGGATCTGCTCCGAGGTGGAGGGGCGCTGCGGGGCTTGCCCGGCCCGGGACCTGGGCTGGAAGCTCACGAGAAAGGACGCTCCTCGGAGGTGTGCACTGAAGGCTGCCTAAGGCTGGAGCGGAGGAGTGAAATGATGGAGCGCAAGGCCTTCCCCAAGCTGGTCTCAGCTGGCGTTTCCTGCCTCACCTGCCCCATCCCCTCACACCACACACAAATTACTTATTTTCTTAACTCATCAGGCTTTATTGGTTCTGTACCTTTGTACAATCCGTTTTCCCCAATTGGGGTGCACTTCTGTCTCCTTCTGTTCCCAAACCACTCTGACATCCGTAATAATCAACCCTGGTAAATTTTACCATTTTACCCAGTGGCATTTTACCCAGGGTCCCCGGAACCCTGGTTGGGCCCTGGAGAAAAGCACTTTCTGGGGGTTGGGAGTGGTGAGGAAGGGCAGCTGGTTAAGTTTGCATTGTAATCAGTGTGGCTGTCCCGCTGACTTCCAGCTCTCCCTCCTAATTTGTGCTGGCTGGGCCGAGGGCGGGAACCCCTCTTGCTTATGATTGAGTCACCTTGGATACAGTCCTTGGCACGAGGTGCATGTGGATTCCAACTCTTGGCCTCTGCTAACTCTGTTCACCAGGCCAAGGCACTGGACCTCCCAGGAACTCAGGCTGATGCTTTGCAAAGGTCTTTGTGGCTGCTCAGTTAAGCTGCTCCCAGGGGAGAGTGCCCCATCGATGTCAGAGATTCCTAGAACCTTAGGGTAAAAGGGAAGCTCACAGACCCCTTCCGCATTCACCTGATAACCCATCTCCATCCTCTGCTTAAGGGGCTGCAGCTGGCCCACTTGAGAGCTTGCCCAGAATGGCAGGCACAGGAGGACTGTGAAGAGTGGCCACATGGCCACTCTCCAAGGCTTTCTCTGGCTGATGGGATGACGGCACCAGAGTCCCCTTGCCAGCCCTTCCCATCCTCCTGCCTCACTCGGGAAACCAGACAATTGAATGTCCACGCAGATGTGTAATTGACACAGTAACAGCAATTCACAGTGCCCCTGCCCAAGAACTTGACCTGGCCAAAATATAAACAAAAATAAATTTGAATTTCAAAGCTTCTGCTTTGCAGATGATTTTTTCAATTTCACATCTCAAGTTTTCTGTAAATTGCTATAAAAGTGTCTACCCCTATAACTTCAGTGATCTTTATCACAGCCCCTTGAGGTACTGTAAAATGACTACATACATGTGTACGGCGTGGGACTATTACAGAGCCTCTCCCAGCCATTGTCTTGTCTGATCCTCCCAGCAACCTTTGAGAGCTAGAGCAATGTGCCCAAGTCCACAGAGCCAGGTGAAGCCAGGAGAGAATGGGTCTTCTGGTGGCTCAGGCTGGGATTCTTTCCATGATGCTGTGGAGCTGAGTAGTTTTTGTTTTAGAGAAGATTGAACAAGGCCCCAAGAGGTGAAGCGACTCATCCAGGGTCTCAGACAAGTCACTGCCCATTTGGGTGTAGGACGGTGTTCTGCCAGTTCCTTCTCTCCTCCATGCCATGGCATTGCCTTATGGGGCTGGGGGGCAGGACCTCAAAGCTGAGGCATGTGTATCCATTGCTATTTTTCTTTGGAATGTAATCTCCTTGAGGTCAGGGACCATTTCTATTTTGTTCCTTACCCGTCCCAGAATCAAAGCTGAATGCCTGGGACACAATAGGTTCTCAATAAATAGATGTAGAATAAATGTAAGAAGGAGGTAATGAAAGATGAAGGAAAGAAGAAATGGAGGGAGGGAGGGAGGGAGGGAGACAGTGAGGGAGGAAAGGAAGGAGGGAGGGAGGGAAGATTAAAGGATTGCCAGCCCTGGCAGGGTGCTGTGTCTTGAGAGTGGGTGGGCATGTGCCCAGTATACTGGCAGAAAGATGATTTATCTCCATTCCAAATCTCAGCTCTGCAACATCGTGGGTTTTTCTCTCCCCTTTAATTAAGAACTAAATATAGATCTTAATTAAGACACTGATGAATTTAATTTAGAGTGGCATTAGGGCCCTAACTTGCAGAGCTCAATGCCGTGTTTGTATAATGTTGGATATAAGCTAAATGAGTGCTTGCTTGGTACCACCATAAATAATTCCCTGGCAAATCCCTTTTGAAGCATGGCTGACGTGAACCCACTCCCATCTAGAGGATGTTCTTGGATTCCCACTGCCTAGCCCCTTTTCATGTGTCCACATCACAAGTGGTCCTGTCTTGCCCCATATGCTCTGACTAATCTAGAACCTCCTTCTCCCATCATAGCTGCTTTGCTCACCTCTGCGTCTTTGTTCACACAAGTTCCTCCCTTGGGAAGTCCTTTTTCTGCACTTCTCATTCCAAGCCTGTCAGAACTTTTCCCCTTCCTTTCAGTTTCAGCCCAAGTGCCTGGGTTTGGTGAGACCCTCTCTCCTCTTTCCCTGCCTCCTGATCTCTAAGCATGCAAGGCGTGAGCTCTAAATTGCCCCACTTGTGTGGTGTCCGGCACTCCCTCTGCCACATGCTGATAGTATTTATAGCTGTCTTTTCTCCCGGGCGCTAACTGGGGAGTGAGTGCCAAGCATAGGGCCTGAACAGAGTAGGTGATCAGGAAGAGGCTGTCACTTTAGCTTCTATCCATGGAGCTCAAGGAGCCAACCTTCTCATTTCAGTTCACTTCAAAAAATGTGTGTTGAGCACCTGCTGTATGCCAGACACTGTGGTAGAGCCTGGGAGACCCTTACAGTTTATGCAGCAGGTCAGGGGATGAGTGAAAACACATGGCAAGGGCAGGCAGGCTGTCTAATCATGCCATGTGGAGGGGCAGAGCATGGTGTGGGCCTCTCTCATCCATTTGCCCACTCTCCCATCTGATGCCAAGACAGCAAGCACAGCATGGTGGTTAAGAGCTGGTGCTCTAGATTCTGGCAGTCTGGGGCTAGCCATGTTACTTGGGAAAGAGGGTTGATATTAGACTAAATGAGATTTTGCCCTCAGTGCAGTACCTGACACATAGTAAGTGCTCTATAAACAGTAGTGATGTTGATGATGGCATCTTGTTGACATGCTGACCTATTGGAGGTTGGGCAACTTTCCATCAGATGGAGGAGCAGGCTGTGTCATTCATGCTTTGTACAAAACCGGGGTCCAGAGAGTGGCCTCTCCAGGAGCTCCATGCTTTTGATCCACGTTGTCTCTGGCTCTGGGCCCTTCCTCCACCCTCTGTGCTTCTCACTTGTGAAAAGACAGTGATTTCACCCCTTCCCTTTGTCATCTCAGGTGACTCAGCCCCCTGGCACCTCCTCCTCTCTTTCCTAATCTTGCATTGGTGCAATTTCACCACAAATGTCTCCAGAGTGGGGACTGTTTTTCAAGCACCTCCCCCTGCCCTCTGCAGTGCTGGCACATAGCTCTTTCATGTGGCAAATGGTAACTATCTGTGATTTCTGTCTAGGAGGCTGTAGACCAGAGTTTTTCAACCTCAGCACTGTTAACTTCTGGGGCTGGATAATTCTTTGCTGGGGAGCGTTCTGCACACTGTAGGATGCTTAGCAGCTTCCCTGGCCTCTATGCACTAGATCCCAGTAGCACCCACCCCCCAGTTGTGAAATCTGGGCATTCACCTCACCTCCTTAGCCTCAGTTTCTTGCTTTCAATATGTCGATGATCATAACTCTTAGGGTTATTGTCAAATTCTTTTTTTTTTTTTTTTTTTTTTACAATGGTAATTATATATATATATATATATATTTTTTTATTTAAGTTTTAGGGTACATGTGCACATTGTGCAGGTTAGTTACATATGTATACATGTGTCATGCTGGTGCGCTGCACCCACTAACTCGTCATCTAGCATTAGGTATATCTCCCAATGCTATCCCTCCCCTCTCCCCCCACCCCACCACAGTCCCCAGAGTGTGATATTCCCCTTCCTGTGTCCATGTGATCTCATTGTTCAATTCCCACCTATAAGTGAGAATATGCAGTGTTTGGTTTTTTGTTCTTGCGATAGTTTACTGAGAATGATGGTTTCCAATTTCATCCATGTCCCTACAAAGGACATGAACTCATCATTTTTTATGGCTGCATAGTATTCCATGGTGTATATGTGCCACATTTTCTTAATCCAGTCTATCATTGTTGGACATTTGGGTTGGTTCCAAGTCTTTGCTATTGTGAATAATGCCGCAATAAACATACGTGTGCATGTGTCTTTATAGCAGCATGATTTATAGTCCTTTGGGTATATACCCAGTAATGGGATGGCTGGGTCAAATGGTATTTCTAATTCTAGATCCCTGAGGAATCGCCACACTGACTCCACAATGGTTGAACTAGTTTACAGTCCCACCAACAGTGTAAAAGTGTTCCTATTTCTCCACATCCTCTCCAGCACCTGTTGTTTCCTGACTTTTTAATGATTGCCATTCTAACTGGTGTGAGATGATATCTCATAGTGGTTTTGATTTGCATTTCTCTGATGGCCAGTGATGATGAGCATTTTTTCATGTATTTTTTGGCTGCATAAATGTCTTCTTTTGAGAAGTGTCTGTTCATGTCCTTCGCCCACTTTTTGATGGGGTTGTTTGTTTTTTTCTTGTAAATTTGTTTGAGTTCATTGTAGATTCCGGATATTAGACCTTTGTCAGATGAGTAGGTTGCGAAAATTTTCTCCCATGTTGTAGGTTGCCTGTTCACTCTGATGGTAGTTTCTTTTGCTGTGCAGAAGCTCTTTAGTTTAATTAGATCCCATTTGTCAATTTTGGCTTTTCTTTCAATTGCTTTTGGTGTTTTGGACATGAAGTCCTTGCCCACGCCTATGTCCTGAATGGTAATGCCTAGGTTTTCTTCTAGGGTTTTTATGGTTTTAGGTCTAACGTTTAAATCTTTAATCCATCTTGAATTGATTTTTGTATAAGGTGTAAGGAAGGGATCCAGTTTCAGCTTTCTACATATGGCTAGCCAGTTTTCCCAGCACCATTTATTAAATAGGGAATCCTTTCCCCATTGCTTGTTTTTCTCAGGTTTGTCAAAGATCAGATAGTTGTAGGTATGCGGCGTTATTTCTGAGGGCTCTGTTCTGTTCCATTGATCTATATCTCTGTTTTGGTACCAGTACCATGCTGTTTTGGTTACTGTAGCCTTGTAGTATAGTTTGAAGTCAGGTAGTGTGATGCCTCCAGCTTTGTTCTTTTGGCTTAGGATTGACTTGGCGATGCGGGCTCTTTTTTGGTTCCATATGAACTTTAAAGTAGTTTTTTCCAATTCTGTGAAGAAAGTCATTGGTAGCTTGATGGGGATGGCATTGAATCTGTAAATTACCTTGGGCAGTATGGCCATTTTCACAATATTGATTCTTCCTACCCATGAGCATGGAATGTTCTTCCATTTGTTTGTATCCTCTTTTATTTCCTTGAGCAGTGGTTTGTAGTTCTCCTTGAAGAGGTCCTTCACATCCCTTGTAAGTTGGATTCCTAGGTATTTTATTCTCTTTGAAGTGATTGTGAATGGGAGTTCACTCATGATTTGGCTCTCTGTTTGTCTGTTGTTGGTGTATAAGAATGCTTGTGATTTTTGTACATTGATTTTGTATCCTGAGACTTTGCTGAAGTTGCTTATCAGCTTAAGGAGATTTTGGGCTGAGACAGTGAGGTTTTCTGGATATACAATCATGTCGTCTGCAAACAGGGACAATTTGATTTCCTCTTTTCCTAATTGAATACCCTTTATTTCCTTCTCCTGACTGATTGCCCTGGCCAGAACTTCCAACACTATGTTGAATAGGAGTGGTGAGAGAGGGCATCCCTGTCTTGTGCCAGTTTTCAAAGGGAATGCTTCCAGTTTTTGCCCATTCAGTATGATATTGGCTGTGGGTCTGTCATAGATAGCTCTTATTATTTTGAAATATGTCCCATCAATACCTAATTTATTGAGAGTTTTTAGCATGAAGGGTTGTTGAATTTTGTCAAAGGCTTTTTCTGCATCTATTGAGATAATCATGTGGTTTTTGTCTTTGGCTCTGTTTATATGCTGGATTACATTTATTGATTTGTGTATATTGAACCAGCCTTGCATCCCAGGGATGAAGCCCACTTGATCATGGTGGATAAGCTTTTCGATGTGCTGCTGGATTCGGTTTGCCAGTATTTTATTGAGGATTTTTGCATCAGTGTTCATCAAGGATATTGGTCTAAAATTCTCTTTTTTGGTTGTGTCTCTGCCCAGCTTTGGTATCAGAATGATGCTGGCCTCATAAAATGAGTTAGGGAGGATTCCCTCTTTTTCTATTGATTGGAATAGTTTCAGAAGGAATGGTACCAGTTCCTCCTTGTACCTCTGGTAGAATTCGGCTGTGAATCCATCTGGTCCTGGACTCTTTTTGGTTGGTAAACTATTGATTATTGCCCCAATTTCAGCTCCTGTTATTGGTCTATTCAGAGATTCAACTTCTTCCTGGTTTAGTCTTGGGAGAGTGTATGTGTCGAGGAATGTATCCATTTCTTCTAGATTTTCTAGTTTATTTGCGTAGAGGTGTTTGTAGTATTCTCTGATGGTAGTTTGTATGTCTGTGGGATTGGTGGTGATATCCCCTTTATCATTTTTTATTGTGTCTATTTGATTCTTCTCTCTTTTTTTTCTTTATTAGTCTTGCTAGCGGTCTATCAATTTTGTTGATCCTTTCAAAAAACCAGCTCCTGGATTCATTGATTTTTTGAAGGGTTTTTTGTGTCTCTATTTCCTTCAGTTCTGCTCTGATTTTAGTTATTTCTTGCCTTCTGCTAGCTTTTGAATGTGTTTGCTCTTGCTTTTCTAGTTCTTTTAATTGTGATGTTAGGGTGTCAATTTTGGATCTTTCCTGCTTTCTCTTGTGGGCATTTAGTGCTATAAATTTCCCTCTACACACTGCTTTGAATGCGTCCCAGAGATTCTGGTATGTTGTGTCTTTGTTCTCGTTGGTTTCAAAGAACATCTTTATTTCTGCCTTCATTTCGTTATGTACCCAGTAGTCATTCAGGAGCAGGTTGTTCAGTTTCCATGTAGTTGAGCGGCTTTGAGTGAGAGTCTTAATCCTGAGTTCTAGTTTGATTGCACTGTGGTCTGAGAGATAGTTTGTTATAATTTCTGTTCTTTTACATTTGCTGAGGAGAGCTTTACTTCCAACTATGTGGTCAATTTTGGAATAGGTGTGGTGTGGTGCTGAAGAAAATGTATATTCTGTTGATTTGGGGTGGAGAGTTCTGTAGATGTCTATTAGGTCCGCTTGGTGCAGAGCTGAGTTCAATTCCTGGGTATCCTTGTTGACTTTCTGTCTCGTTGATCTGTCTAATGTTGACAGTGGGGTGTTAAAGTCTCCCATTATTAATGTGTGGGAGTCTAAGTCTCTTTGTAGGTCACTCAGGACTTGCTTTATGAATCTGGGTGCTCCTGTATTGGGTGCATATATATTTAGGATAGTTAGCTCCTCTTGTTGAATTGATCCCTTTACCATTATGTAATGGCCTTCTTTGTCTCTTTTGATCTTTGTTGGTTTAAAGTCTGTTTCATCAGAGACTAGGATTGCAACCCCTGCCTTTTTTTGTTTTCCATTTGCTTGGTAGATCTTCCTCCATCCTTTTATTTTGAGCCTATGTGTGTCTCTGCACGTGAGATGGGTTTCCTGAATACAGCACACTGATGGGTCTTGACTCTTTATCCAACTTGCCAGTCTGTGTCTTTTAATTGGAGAATTTAGTCCATTTACATTTAAAGTTAATATTGTTATGTGTGAATTTGATCCTGTCATTATGATGTTAGCTGGTGATTTTGCTCGTTAGTTGATGCAGTTTCTTCCTAGTCTCGATGGTCTTTACATTTTGGCATGATTTTGCAGCGGCTGGTACCGGTTGTTCCTTTCCATGTTTAGCGCTTCCTTCAGGAGCTCTTTTAGGGCAGGCCTGGTGGTGACAAAATCTCTCAGCATTTGCTTGTCTGTAAAGTATTTTATTTCTCCTTCACTTATGAAGCTTAGTTTGGCTGGATATGAAATTCTGGGTTGAAAATTCTTTTCTTTAAGAATGTTGAATATTGGCCCCCACTCTCTTCTGGCTTGTAGGGTTTCTGCCGAGAGATCCGCTGTTAGTCTGATGGGCTTCCCTTTGAGGGTAACCCGACCTTTCTCTCTGGCTGCCCTTAACATTTTTTCCTTCATTTCAACTTTGGTGAATCTGACAATTATGTGTCTTGGAGTTGCCCTTCTCGAGGAGTATCTTTGTGGTGTTCTCTGTATTTCCTGAATCTGAATGTTGGCCTGCCTTGCTAGATTGGGGAAGTTCTCCTGGATAATATCCTGCAGAGTGTTTTCCAACTTGGTTCCATTCTCCGCATCACTTTCAGGTACACCAATCAGACGTAGATTTGGTCTTTTCACATAGTCCCATATTTCTTGGAGGCTTTGCTCATTTCTTTTTACTCTTTTTTCTCTAAACTTCCCTTCTCGCTTCATTTCATTCATTTCATCTTCCATTGCTGATACCCTTTCTTCCAGTTGATCGCATCGGCTCCTGAGGCTTCTGCATTCTTCACGTAGTTCTCGAGCCTTGGTTTTCAGCTCCATCAGCTCCTTTAAGCACTTCTCTGTATTGGTTATTCTAGTTATACATTCTTCTAAATTTTTTTCAAAGTTTTCAACTTCTTTGCCTTTGGTTTGAATGTCCTCCCGTAGCTCAGAGTAATTTGATCGTCTGAAACCTTCTTCTCTCAGCTCGTCAAAGTCATTCTCCATCCAGCTTTGTTCCGTTGCTGGTGAGGAACTGCGTTCCTTTGGAGGAGGAGAGGTGCTCTGCGTTTTAGAGTTTCCAGTTTTTCTGTTCTGTTTTTTCCCCATCTTTGTGGTTTTATCTACTTTTGGTCTTTGATGATGGTGATGTACAGATGGGTTTTTGGTGTGGATGTCCTTTCTGTTTGTTAGTTTTCCTTCTAACAGACAGGACCCTCAGCTGCAGGTCTGTTGGAATACCCTGCAGTGTGAGGTGTCAGTGTGCCCCTGCTGGGGGGTGCCTCCCAGTTAGGCTGCTTGGGGGTCAGGGGTCAGGGACCCACCTGAGGAGGCAGTCTGCCGGTTCTCAGATCTCCAGCTGCGTGCTGGGAGAACCACTGCTCTCTTCAAAGCTGTCAGAGAGGGACATTTAAGTCTGCAGAGGTTACTGCTGTCTTTTTTCTATTGTCAAGTTCTTAACACAGTGCTTGACACTTGGTAAATATTCAATAAGTATTAGCAAATATTCATTTGTATATGCACGTTCAAACTCAACAAACATTTCTGCCTGCTTGCTATGTACCGTTAATAATTATTGAGTACTTACTATGTGCCAGGCACCATTTCAGTGTATTGACTCATTTATTTGACCCTAATAGGAATCCATGTGGTAAATACTATTCTTGTTATCCAGATGAGGAACAGAAGCACAGAGGGTTAACACATTTGCTGGCAACTTGGATTCGAACCCCAGACCACGTGGCTCCAGAGCCCATGCTCATAGCTGCTGTCCAGTGCTGTGACACCAAGCTGTTAGAAGCTTTCATGTTCATGTCATTTACAAGTTGCCAGCCCCCTCTTCAGAGACGCCTTTTTCTAGAACTATGCTGTCCAGTTTGGTAGCTACCAGTTACATGTGGTTATTTAATTGGAAATTAACTAAAATTAAAAAATTCAGTTCCTTAGTCACACTAGCCACACTTCAGGTTTTCAACAGCCCTGTGTTCTTAGTGGCCAGGTATTGGACAGAGCAGATATAGGACATTCCCCTCATCACAGAGTTCTACTGGACATCTCTGTTCTGCAGGTTGTGGGAAATGAATTTCCTTCTCCTAAGAGTGTTTTGATGTCCCTTTAGATAATTGGTGTCAGCCAGTCAACGTTGTGCCCAGAGTTGTATAGCAAGCCACCAGAGTGTTCTGTTCATTTAACATTTATTAAGTCCCAACTATGTGTCTGGAACAGTATTTGGGACTGAAGAAATAAAGATAGATAAATGTGGTCCCTGCTCACAAATGTAGTTTATAATAGCATTAGGGCATTAACTTGCAGAGCTCCAGCCGCGTTTGTGTCATGTGGCCTAGGGACTAAGTGAATGTGATAGGTGCTAAATTTGTGCGAGAGCACAGATGTCATGGTAGCCAAGGCGGGGGGCAATTAATTCAGAGCTGGGCCAGGGCTTTGCTGAAGGAGGGACCCGGGAGCGCTGCCTTGAAGCATGTGTGGCAATCCTTGGGCCGTCAGAGATTGGGCAACATCTTCGTGGTCCTAGAGACTCTCAAACTCACATTGCCTGGAATTTCTGCTGTAGCAATTGCAGGAAAGAGAGTTGAGATATTAGAGCAGGTCAGCATTATTTAAAGGAGAGCAATTGGTAAAGAAGTTACATCCCAGGTGAACCCAGGGTTGAGCCCAATGAGTGGGGCAGGAAGCCCAGAGACAGGAAATATCAGGGTATCACCTCTGCTGACAACTCTGGAGACTCCAGTATCCTTCTTTCCTAATCCCAAGCGAAGCCCTTCCTCCCCTGCTCCCTGAAGCTCTCCAGACCCACTTGTGTCAGCTGACCCTGCCCAATTGCCCATCTTCCTGCTCCAATTCAACACTCCCCTAGCTCAGAAATTGCTTGGCGATATTGGGAACAATGAGGCCTGACTCTGTTAGTTCAGAGCAAAATGGCTTTTTTTTTAAAAAAAGGGTATTGCATTCCTTGTAATGTATGGACAACTCAGGAGAGCAGAGAAGGGCAAGTGCAGGAGGGGAAGGTGAGGAGTTGAACTCCAGGGTAGCTGGAGCCTTGTCAGGCAGGGAAGGTGGCTGATTCTGCTGACTCTTGGACTCTTGGTCCCGCAGAGCCAGGCCCAGGCTGAACTGGGCTAGAGAAAAAGCCCTGGGTGCTTGTCGGCTGGGAGGGGTAAGTCACCAGCACTGCCAGTGAACCAGGGGCTGTGGAGAGCTTATTCTTTCTAGGGAGGCAAGAAAGGTGTGGAATTTAGCTTTTGTCTTGTCCTATTGGACAAGAGTGAGGCAGTGAGATGGGCCGGAGTGAGAAGGTTTCCCTGGGAGCCACATTCAGGCCCAGAAACTGCAAGTGATTTGCCTAGGATCATGCAGCACATCAGTAAGTGGCTCTGTTACTAGAACCCAGGAGTGTGTGTGTTTGTGTGAATGGTGTGAATGGTTCACTCATTTTTATTGCTGAGTAGTAGTCCACGCTATACCTGTAACACAATTTAGTTTAAACATTCACTGGTTGGAGGGCATTTGGGTTGTTTCTAAGTTTGGGCTATAAATATTTGTTTGTTTTAATTAACAGATTTTATTATTATTATTTGAAATGGAGTCTCAATCTCTTGCCCAGACTGGAGTGCAGTGGTGTGATCTTGGCTCACTGCAGCCTCCGCCTCCTGGGTTCAAGCAATTCTCATGCCTCAGCCTCCTGAGTAGCTGGGATTACAGGCATGCACCACCACACCTGGCAAATTTTTGTATTTTTAGTAGAGACAGGGTTTCACCATGTTGGCCAGGCTGGCCTTGAACTCTTGACCTTAAGTGATCCAGCTGCCTCGGCCTCCCAAAGTGCTGGGATTACAGGTGTGAGTCACTGCGCCCCACCGACAGACTTTTTTTTTTTTTTTTTAGAGCAGTTTTAGGTTTACAGTACAGCTGAGTGAAAAGGACAGAGTTCCTATATGAATATGACTCCTCCTGTCCTGCTCACAGGGCACAATCATTTTACGGCGCTGAACGTCCCCTGTGCTCCATCCCTCCCTCCCTCCCTCCAGAACCCCTGACAACCACAGATCTTTTTACCGTCTCTACAGTTTTGCCAGAGCGTTTTTTGTTTGTGTCTCTTTAGAATTTTCTGAGGGTTCCCTCTTGGATCTCTAGGCCCAACCATGCCTTACTACAGAGCCTCCTTGGAACGCAGGCCCCATGGGGAGTTAGTTGCAGGGGTGTGTGAGCAGCTTGCAGATGAACTCGAATTGCTTTCTTTCTAGGACCGACTATTGCTGGAATAGGCTGATTCAGCCCCATTCCACTGGTTGAGCTGTGGCCTCAAGAGGGCTCGGTGCTCCAGGCCCTTTTTGGGGGTGAAGGAGAGCAGAGGAGAGGAAGAGTGGCCCTGTCAACTGAGAGCTCAGCTCTGGGGGCCTTTTCCAACCCCTAGGCCCTGGGAGACCGCAAGCACTCAGCTCCTTTACAACCCAGCTCCGAAGCCAGCTGCCTGGTCTTCTCCCTCCCGGTGCCTCTGGCTCAGCCTGGGGCTGCCTCCTGGCCTGCAGGCTCCCCTCTGAGTCCCACTTTCATTTCTAAGCAGACATGAAAATAAGCAATTGGTTTTTGGATATTACATAAGCCGGCGAGAGAAACTTTAATAAGGAAAAAAGCAGAGGAGGGGTCTGAAGCTCTTAAATGGAAAACTACAAAAAGCCCACCATTTCCAACTCAAACGGAGACAGCTGCAAATCTGCTATGATCAGCAAGATAGTGCAGGTCTTTGGGAGAAGACTGGCCCAGCCAGCCAGGACTCTGCCATGTCCCACTGCAGGGCTGAGACCAGGCGGGGTTCTTCTCCTTCCCTCCCACCCCGGCTTCTGCGGACATCCTCTTTGTTCACAGACTTTTCTGCACCTCCACATTCACACTCATGTGATTCTCAAACAACCTTGGAGGCAGGGCAGGCTGGGACTTCAGACTATCAGGGGGCACACAGGATGTAGGGTGGGAGGGACTGCAGAGGGGAAAGTCAACTACCTCCTTTTACAGATAAAGAAACTTGGGGTGAAACTTGCTGTTTATGCAGAACAGGGGCCGCAGCTCAGTTTCGCAGTGCCCAGGGCAGTGCCCCCCTTCTGGTCCTCAGGGAGATGATTATGCATAGTGTTTTGCAGGGTGTCCGGGTGAGGAAACTGGGATTTGGAGAAGGGGCTCTCCCTTGTCCAGGCCTTTGGACTCCTGGTTTGGCGTTTTTGAGTGTTCCGTGTTTTCTTTATGGTTCTAGCCTATTTCAGGTTGAGTAGACTGTCCAGATGAGGCCATTGGTGTGTGTGTGTGTGTGTGTGTGTGTGTGTGTGTGTGTGTGTGTGTGTGTGCGCGCGTGCGCGCAGTGTTTTTAGGGTGGGGAAAGACAGGGGTTGTGGGGATGGATGGCAGGGAGGAATAACTGACTTGGCAGGAGGAGGTGGACGGTTAGGAAGGGCCTCATGGATCCTGCCATATGCTTGATCATGTGCCAGCTGCCCAGGCTTAGAAGATTCTCGTTCAGAACATATGGCCCTGAGCAGCCACATGGGTGCTGGTGTAACCTCTGTCCTGCCTTTTCTTAGCCCCCTTCAGCTCTAGAATCCAAGGAATGCTGGCATACAGGCCCATGAATCCCCCATCTCCCCACAAACCTGGTATCCTATCAACAGGAACCCCAGAGGGCTGAGAAAGGAAGATGGGTGACCCTATCTCTATGACCAATTGCTGACCTGCTTTGAGGTCCGTGGTGGGGTTGGGACTTGAAGCCAGCAACTGAGAGGTACTCCCCCTCCCACTGACCACAGTGAGGGGACATCTGTCCTACATCTGATGGCACTGTACTTTTCCCAGTGACTAACTCCTGACCCAGTCTCTTGGATTATCTTTAAGAAAATAT